>NC_000008.11:142964090-143266168 GCF_000001405.40 Homo sapiens | reverse complement strand
GTTTGAGACCAGCCTGACCAACAGGGAGAAACCCCATCTCTACTAAAAATATAAAAAAGCTACCCGGACACGGTGGCGGGCACCTGTAATCCCAGCTACTTGGGAGGCTGAGGCAGGAGAATCACTTGAACCGGGAGGCGGAGGTTGCATTGCGCCGAGATCGCGCCACTTCACTCCAGCCTGGGCAACAGAATGAGACTCTGTCTCAAAAAAAAAAAAAAAAAAAAGGAACTAGTACTATATCTGATACTGTTTGGAAGTGAGCCCCCTGCACATCTCATGGAAATGTGGCCCCTGATGGTGGCGGTGGGACCTGGTGGGAGGCTATTTGGGTCATGAGTAGCTTGGTGCCCTCTCCTTGGTGATGAGTGAGAGCTGGCTGTTAAAAAGAGCCTGGCGCCTCCGCCCCTCTCTTGCTCTGGCTCTTACCAAGTGACGGATGCCCTGGCTCCCACTTTGCCTTCTGCTGTGAGTAAAAGCTTCCTGAGCCCTCCCCAGAAGCCTCTTCTTGTACAGTATGACCAGGGACAGCAGCACCCTCTGAACGCTGATCTGAACTGTGAGCCAAGCAAACCCCTTTTGTTCTTTATTTACTTTTGAGATGGAGTTGCCGCTCTTGTTGCCCAGGCTGGAGTGCAATTGGTGCGATCTCGGCTCACTGCAATCTCCGCCTCCCAGGTTTAAGTGATTCTCCTGCCTCAGCCTCCCAAGTAGCTGGGATCACAGGCATGCGCCACCATGCCCGGATAATTTTGTATTTTTAGTAGAGACGGGGTTTTGCCATGTTGGCCAGGCTGGTCTTGAACTCCTGACCTCAGGTGATCCACCCGCCTCAGCTTCCCAAAGTGCTGGGATTACAGGCGTGAGCCACTGCGCCCAGCTCCTCTTTTTTCTTTTCTTTTTTTTTTTTTTGAGACGGAGTCTCGCTCTGTGGCCCAGGCTGGAGTGCAGTGGCGCGATCTTGGCTCACTGCAAGCTCCGCCTCCCGGATTCATGCTATTCTCCTGCCTCACCGTCCTGAGTAGCTGGGACTACAGGCGCTCACCAACTTACCCAGTCTCAGGTATTCCTTTATAGCAGTGCAAAATGGACAAACACAGAACTACATCAGGAGAGCGGCGGACGACAATGCAATTGACTCGATGACAGGCTGCAGCTGCATTGCACCAGGCTGTGCAGACTCATTTTTGGGGGCAGCTGTGTCTTTGTATGTAGTTCTTGACGTCCTGTCACACGCACAGGCTGTTCTGTCACACACACAGGCTGTTGTCACCAGCTCCCTGTGCATCCAGCGCATCACGGGAAGCTGAGTCACCCAAGCTACCGTCCATGTCGGCTGACCCATGAGAAGCTGTGGAGCGTCTCACTCCCCAGGCCCTTTGGACAAATCCTCAGCCTGGCCAGCTCACAGGAGTGAAGGGAGATGGGAACGGGTGTAATCAGAGTGGAAGAATCCCCTTCCCCCACCAGGGAGGTGTGAAGGTGACGGGCAGGGCTTTGGAGGGAGTGCAAAGGTTGCTGATTTAATGAGCTCGGAGCCAGCAGCCAGTCTGGTCTGTTGGAGCAGCAGGTCCCCGCTCCTCACCTCGAGCAGGGTTTTGTTGGGTATTCACTGTAAATAATGAGCTAGTGTTTGTTATGCTGGGAGGAGGGGTTCCAGCCCAAACAGCCCCAGAGCCCCTGGTCCTAAGACGTGGGAGTCGGCCCACAGCCAGCCCCCCCAGCCTGTTGTCTTGATTTGTCCTCTTGGACTGTGGATTAGAAAAGGCCTCCATGGGCTTCTTTTGTTGAGATCGGGGAATCCAGTGCCTGTTCAGATACCCACACAGGCATGGCCTGCTCCAGCCAGTGCTGCTGGGGTTGGGGTGAGGGTGCCATCTGGACGGGCAGTGCCCTTGTCTCTAGGGGTCCCTGTGGGAACCTTCAAAGCTTCCCTGGCAGGAGGGCTGGTCAGAGACCCCGAGCCACTGGAGTAGAGAGGCTGAGAGCACTTCCTAGACCACACCTGGAGATGAGGGGCTTAGAGGAGTGGCCAGGCTTAAGGTCCAAGAAGGCTTCTCTAAGGGGCAGCATCAGAGAGAGATAGGGGTTGGAGCAGGAAGGAGGGAGGGGAGGCAGCAGAAGGGAAGGGCCAGCCCATCACAGAGAGGCAGGAGGGGCGCAGGGGCAGAGGTCTGATGCCTGAAGGAGTTGCCTGGGGTTCGAGTTTGGAAGACCAGGCAGGGGAGTGTGGTGAGCAAGGGGAGGACAGAACGGGATGGGGACAGACCGAACAGCCTTGACACCTCCACTGGGGGCTCAGACGTCATTCTCAGGGCACTGCGGGGCACAGGGGTCTGCAGGGAGGGAGGGAGGAGAGCTGACATGCACTGAAGATCTGCCTGGGGCTGTGGGGTAGAGAAGAGCAGGACAGAAGGGAGAGGGGGTCAGTGGCTGCAGTCCCCTGCACGTGACACAGCTGGCAGAAGTCCGCCTAAGTCCCAGGCCGGGATGCGGATGATGAGGAAGCTTTAGGCCTGGGCTGGTGGGGCAAAGACGGGGCCACTCTGGGTGTTGTCCTCAAGAGTGGAGAAAGGCAGTCAAGCACACTTGCCTCTCGCCAGCGCCAGCCACCGTGTCGCCTTGCTGGCTTGGTTGCAGGGGAGGGAGAGCTGGGAGGGTTCTGGTTAAGTGTGTGAAGGCATGACCAGTCTCCATCCCCACATCTCCAGCCACCGCAGAGGCTTGTTCCCGCACCGCTCCATGCCTTTCCAGCTTCTGGAACCCCAGGCGTCTCTGGGCGGTTCCCTGGGGCCTTGAGAGCCACCTTTCCCGTCCTTTTCTTTGTCGTCACAGGGTCTAAATCTGTATCTCTCACCTGCAGCACCTCTGGCATCTGGGCAGGACCCCCGCCTCTGCACACCAGATTCCGGTGGTGCCCCCGCCCAGCTGTGACCGCCAACACGGTCCCGGACATTGCCGAGTGGGCCCCAGGGGCAGAAGTACCCCTGGTTGAGAGCAACTGCCCTGACGAAGGAGGTGCGAGCCGGGGAACAGAGGACCAGACAAAAGTGAGTGCTGTTTGGAACTCAGAGGGCCTGGAGAAGGGCTGAAGACAGGGCCTGAAGAAGGCGTTCAGGAACCCCGGGGCCTCCTCTGGGGCATCCTGAGTGCAGGCACTAGGCCACCTAATGAACCCTTAGCTTCCCAGGTATCCGGGGCCAGAAAGGCTGAGAGCATTTCCGCACTGCAAAGGGTTGCTCCCATTGTGAGTTAGTGAACAACTTTCTCATTTATGTGTCAGTCTCCTGTGAGTCTGGCTAATGGGGAGTGGTCTTGTGGAGACCCATCACAGGCAGCGACCAGCCAGGGTCCTGTGGTCCTGGGAAGCAGCACCTGCACTGTTCCCTGGGAGGAAGCCGGTAGCCTTCGTGGGGTCGCTGACTGCATCCCCAGAGTGCAGAGAGCTCAATGAAGACAGCACTCGAGTCAGAAATCAATGTTTACTGCAGAGAACACAGAAGCCAGCAAGCAGTAGGCAAGGGAGGCGTCGCAGTGAGTGTGTCGGGCAGGCTGGGAACCAGCGCAACGGCCCACGTGGACCGAGGACTCACGCAGAGCAAGTCACAGAAAGCGCAGCTGAAAACAAACGGATGCTTATCCCAGATGCACAGGACACTTACCAAGGACTGATGGTCTATCAGAGTAATGCTCAGCAGCTTTGGCTGGCAGGACAGTTAAACTTTTGGACAACAGAAAGTAACTGGGAAATGGGACATCTGCCACCAACACGAGAGGCCAAGACCACAGCTGTTACAGGAGGGGTCAGCGCCACAGTACATGGGTGGCGGCGGCGGCTGCACATGCATGCCTGGGGAATGTGAGTGTTCAGACATGCCAGGCATCCAGCCTCACCAGGAAACAGGCACACGGGGACACAGGCACAAACACTAAAAACCCTCGCTGAATCCATTTGGCTGAGCGGTGGCCACGGGAGCACGGGGCTGCCCTCCTCACAGACCTGCACCTGGGCCCCAGGGCAAGACGGGCGTGGGAGGTGCAGGGGTGCGGGTGTGGGCAGGGGCTGCCGGAGAGGGGCGTGGGAGGTGCAGAGGTGCGGGCGCGGGCAGGGGCTGCCGGAGACAGCCGTGAGGGGTGCGGGTGCAGGCAGGGGCTGCCGGAGACGGGCGTGGCAGGTGCAGGGGTGCGGGTGCGGGCAGGGGCTGCCGGAGACGGGCGTGGCAGGTGCTGCCGGAGACGGGCGTGGCAGGTGCTGCCGGAGACGGGCGTGGCAGGTGCTGCCGGAGACGGGCGTGGCAGGTGCAGGGGTGCGGGTGCGGGCAGGGGCTGCCGGAGACAGGCGTGGCAGGTGCAGGGGTGCGGGTGGGGGCAGGGGCTGCTGGAGACGGGCGTGGAAGGTGCACGGGTGCGGGTAGGGGCTGCCGGCTCAGAGGCGTGTCCAGGAACCCCCGTCAGGCCAGAGCCCTGCCCTGAGCGGCCTGCAGGGGTGACTGCGAGACAGCAGCGTTAGGCCCGGTCTCGGCTGTGAAGTCGCCCCCACCGCCACGCACGACCCTGGGGATTCTGTCAAGGTGGGGGCCGTCTGCTAGGCCCGGGCTCCCTGACCACGTGGCTAGGTTTGCGGAGGAAGCCAGGAGAGTGCCAACACCAGGCTCTGTAAGCGTGAGGCTCCCTGCCGGCCCCATCCCGGAGTTCACCCCATCCTTCCTGCGTCCCTGGACCTCAGCTGTTCCTCATTGACCTCAGAGACACCCTGCCCTGCCCCGGCTTCTCAGGAGCCCTGCCCACCACCGCCTCAGCTCTGGGGACACGGCCTTTCTCCCGGTGCAGAGGCGCAGCTCGCTGCCCCCAGGGCCCATCTTCCTCCCCAGCATGTTTTTACCTCAGCTCATTCTCAGGAAAGAAACGATCACATCTCAGCGCCCCAAATGGGGACCAATAGGAGAGGTCACTGGGAATGAAACCCAGGTACACCCCAGGGTCCGTGGGCTCCCCAGAAACGCAGGTGGACCCCACCACAGCCAACAGGCCTAAGTCGCTGATCGGCCCCTCCCTGCTTCCCTGTGTCGAAGAGGAAACAGAGGCCCAGACAAGGAGGGCTGGTCGGCTGCGTCCCCAGACCTCTGGTTCCGGGGCTGGCTGGGAGCACCCCTCTCCCTGCTCCCTTCCTGCTCTCCTGAGAAATGGCTCAGGGATGGGACCTGCAGGGATGGATGCTGGCATAGCTCTCAAAATGCTCGCACAAGGGACACTCCATGGCAGGTCCCTGCAGCAGAGCAAAGTCACAACATTTGAGGTTCTCTGCACTCTGAGGCCTACAGAGCTCGGCTGGCCGAGTGAGGCTGGGAGGATGGTGCCCGCTGGTCAGGGCAGCTGAGTGGGGCTGGGAGGATGGTGCCCGCTGGTCAGGGCAGCCCTCTGGGTCAGGGTGACTGAGCAAGGCTGGAAGGATGGTGCCTGCTGGTCAGGGTGGCCGCGTGAGGCTGGGAGGGTGGTGCCCGCTGGTCCGGGTGGCCAAGAGAGGCTGGAAGGATGGTGTCTGCTGGTCAGGGCGGCCCAGGAGGTGCTGTCCAGGCGGAGCCCGGGGCTGGTGTGGGTGCGCCATGCTCCTGAGAAGTTTCTGGGTTGTGGCTTTAATGTTCTCCTGCAATAAGAACGCTGACACTTGGCTGAAAGGTCCTCACGTCTCCCCCAGTACACTTCTGAGATGCCAGGAAGGCATTCTGAACATCAGGCTGATTCCTGGGACTCCCCTCCAGGGTGACCTCACCGGAGTCAGGAGCCCCCGCCCCGCGCCCACTGCCCCACTAGGATGGCTCTGCAGTGGCCTGAGGACAGTGAACACTGGGGTGTAAAGTTGCCCACTGTGATGGTTTTGACCTTTGAAGAAATTTGGGAACCAAGTGAAAGCCCGGCAGCTATTTCTAGGCATTTCAGAGGGTGCTTCCCTGCACGATTTCAGAGGGTGCTTCCCTGCACGATTTCAGAAGGTGCTTCCCTGCACGACTTCACAGGGTGCTTCCCTGCACGATTTCAGAGGGTGCTTCCCTGCACGATTTCAGAGGGTGCTTCCCTGCACGACTTCACAGGGTGCTTCCCTGCACGATTTCACAGGGTGCTTCCCTGCACGATTTCACAGGGTGCTTCCCTGCACGATTTCAGAGGCTGCTTCCCTGCACGCACTCTGCCGCACACCGCACTCCCTGGGCCAGGAGCCTGCTGCACAGAAGGAGGTTCCTTTTCTTCTCTTTCCAGCGCTTTTCTTCTCCTTTTCTTCATCTCTGCTCCTCCTCTAACTGAGGAATGTGCGAATCTTTTTTGTTAGTTTTGAGGCTGCTTCTTATGCATATTTCATCTGGAACTTCTTGCTTTGGGGGTGATCTGCTCTACCAGCCTGAAAAGGATGAGAAATATCTTCTGAATACATGAGAAGTGCGGTGATTACCCGGTTCCTCTGTTGGTAAAGACCACACTCTGAAAGCAAGAAGATGGCTTAAATTTGGGTTGAGTGGAAACAGGCACCTGTGGGCAACGGAGGCCAGGGTTGGGGGCGGGGGGGCCTCAAGATCAGTGGGGGGCGTGGAAGTGGGCGTTAACCCGTGCACCCCAGGGCTGGATGGCACCAGGTTCATGAGGAAGTGCTCCCTGTTTTCTAAAAACGTTAAGGAAGGTGGGAGGGTGTCAGATGTGTAAGCTGAGTGTACATGACATGATCCTTTAACCGCGCTAGAGCAAATGCTCACTCACCCTCCATCCGGTTTAAGCGCGAGATACCACCCAGGGGCCCGTGCCCTGTGCCGGCCCGTCTCTCCTGAGTGTGAACCATGCCTTTGCCTTTCTCTGCAGTTGGACCACATGTGTCCCCAACCACCACACTGTGTAGTTTTGCTTGGTTTCGAACTTTGCGGTGGTTAAAATCACGCCGTGTGTCTTCTGTGCCTTACATTCTCTGCTCAGTGTGTGTCTGTCACGTAGGGGTTGACGTGGGTCCTGGCTAGCTGCGTGGCCACTGTGCCAACAGCTTCCCTTGACCAACAGACCATGATTTACCCGCTTCGCTACCGACAGGCATTTGGGTTCTTTCCGGCTTTCCTGACAGTGCATGCCATGAACGTTGTTGTGTCTCTGGCTGCGTGCACACACGTTTCTCAAGGGGAAGTCAACAGGCGGCTCCTGGGTCAGCAGGAACGCACATCTTCGCCTTTGCCAGAAAACGCCAGGCTGCTCTCCAGACTGTGCTGCTGCCTGGTGCCGCAGCAGGAGATGAGGACCCCCGCCCGTCCCATGCAAGGATCCGAATCCGACCTGGCCATCTTTACCACGCTGTGGGGCACAGAATTGGATCTGTTGTTTTAACTTGTGTTCTCTGATTTTTAAAGAGATTGAGCATGTTTTCAGGTATTTACGAGCCATGGATGTTTTTTTCTTCTGCGACTTTTGCCCATTTTTCTTTTTTCTAGAGATGGGGTCTCGCTGCGTTGTTCAGGCTGGTCTTGAACTCCTGTTTTGGCCATTTTTCTATTTAGATATTTGTCTTTAAAAATCCTGGTTCCTATGAATGCTGCACATATTCTGAACATTTGTCATTTGTTGCTACAGTGGTCAGGGTAAGTAACGGTGGCTGGGATAACGAAGAACCTCCGCATGTCAGCGTCTGGCTCAGGAGGCCTCCCCTTCTTGCTCACACCATGACAGGGTCTTGAGGCTCTCCCGAGGGTGACTCCAGGACATGGCTCCTTCTCTTGGTGTGTGGCTCTGCCATCTCTGAGTCCTTCTCTCTCAGTCACAGGAAGGGAGGACAGCAGATGATTACAGGGAAGATTTCAGGAGGCCAGGCCTGGAAGAGGCGTCCATCACTCCTGCTCACGTCTGCAGAACAGAATGCAGTGATACAATCCCAGTTCACTGAAGTGTCAACCTCCTGGGCTCAACTGATCCTCCTACCTTAGCCTCCCGAGTATATGGGACCACAGGCGCACGCCACCATACCTAATTTTTAATTTTTATTAGAAATGAAATCTCACTCTGTTGCCCAGGCTGGTCTCAAACTCCTGAGCTCAATCGATCCTCCCACCTCAGTCTCCCAATGTGCTGGGATGACAGGAATGAGCCACCGTGCCTGGCCTGCAAGTGCTTAGTACCTTTGTTCATGTATATGTGTATGAGTGACACTGAACTGTAATTTTGATATCCAGATTACACTCACTTCAGAAAATAACACAGGGTGTGTTTCTTGTCTGTCTCCGAGTCTGGGTAAAACTGGAGCTGTTTCTTGAACTCACGTGCAAAGCACCTGGACTTGGTGTTCTTTGGCAAGACTGAGAATCATCCACACAATCTCTGTCATGGCGATGGATTCTGTGTGCGTGTCTCCTCGAGCTGGGCTGCCACGTGACTTTCCTCCTGATGGTCGAACCGTTTTGGTGGAGTTCTCTTTGTCAGCACAGGCTTTTCTCACCTTTTCAGCATCGGATGTGGCTGAACTGTCTTCCTTTCTCATTCCTGATGGGTGATTTGCTCCTTTTTTCTTAGTCATTTTGCCAGAGGATGTCAATTTTAATAGTCCTTTCAAAGAACCAACTCTTAGCTCTTTTGTCCTCTCAATGGTGTCTGTTTCCATTAATTGTATTAATAAGTGGCTTTATTTACTTATTTATGTATTTATTTTTTTGAGACAGAGTTTCACTTTTATTGCCTGAGCTGGAGTGCAATGGCGTGATCTTGGCTCACTGCAACCTCCGCCTCCTGGGTTCAAGCAATTCTCCTGCCTCAGCCTCCCAAGTAGCTAGGAATACAGGCATGCGCCACCACACCCAGCTAATTTTCTTCTGTATTTTTAGTAGAAATGGGGTTTCACCATGTTAGCCATGACTTGTCTTGAACTCCTGTCCTCAGGTGATCTGCCTGCCTTGGCCTCCCAAAGTGCTGGGATTATAGGCGTGAGCCACCGTGCCTGGCCTGGGCCTTTCTTCTTCTAACTGTTACACTGGGTGCTTCCCTCCTGACTTCCAGCTCCTCTCCTGACTTCCAGCTCCTCTCCTAACAGCAACAGAAGCACACAGGGTTGGATACTGCCCTTGGCTCCCACTGCCATCAGGTGCTCTGTTAAGTCATATGATCACTGAATTTTAAGTGTCTTATCTTTCACCTGGGTCATGTAGGTTTTCTCTTCCTGCAATAAGAGCTTCTTTTAAACAAGACACCGAAGCAGAGGTCAGCCTAGACGGCCTCCGGCTTCAGCTCTTGGTCTTGCTATGACATCAGGAATTCATCTGTCTGTGCCTCCGGCTTCAGCTCTTGGTCCTGCTGTGACGTCAGGAGTTCGTCTGTCTGTGCCAAATGATAGGGACAAAAAAGATGGCAGACTGGTTTTGTTTTGGTTATGCAATTTTTCTCATAACCATAAACGTTAAAAAAAATTTCCAAGTGGATTTAAAAAAATGTATCTTTTATTTTTGAGACAGGGTCTTGCTCTGTCATCCAAGCAGGTCTTGAACTCCTGGCCTCAAGTGATCCTCCTGCCTCGGCCTTCCAAAGCACTGGGATTACAGATGTGAGTCACCACATCTGGCCCCAAAAATGTATCTTTTGTTGTTTTCCATGCCGATTTTGTTGAAGCCAGCTCTCTCATCTTTTCCTTGGAGAAGTATCCAAGGCAGTCAGTTTGCATGGCCCCCATTTCGTGTGTGAACCAATATCTGATCTCACTAACACCAGCATGTGGGGCGAGCCCTGATCTCACTAACACCAGCACGCGGGGCGAGCCCTGATCTCACTAACTCCAGCACGCGGGGCGAGCCCTGATCTCACTAACTCCAGCACGCGGGGTGAGCCCTGATCTCACTAACACCAGCACGCGGGGCGAGCCCTGATCTCACTAACACCAGCACGCGGGGCGAGCCGTGATCTCACTAACACCAGCACGCGGGGCGAGCCCTGATCTCACTAACTCCAGCACGCGGGGCGAGCCCTGATCTCACTAACACCAGCACGCGGGGCGAGCCCTGATCTCACTAACACCAGCACGCGGGGCGAGCCGTGATCTCACTAACACCAGCACGCGGGGCGAGCCCTGATCTCACTAACACCAGCACGCGGGGTGAGCCCTGATCTCAAGAACACCAGCACGCGGGGTGAGCCCTGATCTCACTAACACCAGCACGCGGGGCGAGCCCTGATCTCACTAACTCTAGCACGCGGGGAGAGCCCTGATCTCACTAACACCAGCACGCGGGGCGAGCCGTGATCTCACTAACACCAGCACGCGGGGCGAGCCCTGATCTCACTAACACCAGCACGCGGGGCGAGCCCTGATCTCAAGAACACCAGCACGCGGGGCGAGCCCTGATCTCACTAACACCAGCACGCGGGGCGAGCCCTGATCTCACTAACTCTAGCACGCGGGGAGAGCCCTGATCTCACTAACACCAGCACGCGGGGTGAGCCGTGATCTCACTAACACCAGCACGCGGGGCGAGCCCTGATCTCACTAACTCCAGCACGTGGGGCGAGCCCTGATCTCACTAACACCAGCACGCGGGGTGAGCTCTGATCTCACTAACACTAGACGCGGGGCGAGCCCTGATCTCAAGAACACCAGCACGCGGGGCGAGCCCTGATCTCACTAACTCCAGCACGTGGGGCGAGCCCTGATCTCACTAACACCAGCACGCGGGGTGAGCTCTGATCTCACTAACACTAGACGCGGGGTGAGCCCTGATCTCAAGAACACCAGCACGCGGGGCGAGCTCTGATCTCACTAACACCAGACACGGGGCGAGCTGACACGGTCACACAGTTCGTAGGATCCAGCAGTGTGCTTACGACGTCACGTATTACGGTTCTTGTTCTTGGCAACCCTGTGGGGTTAAGCACTGTCAGCATCGCCATTTCACACCTGGGAAAACTGAGGCAAAGGCCCCACAGTTCCAGAGTGAGGGTCAAGTCCACAGCCCCTGACTTGAGAGCTATGCTCTTGACCCACTACGTGCGTCCTAGAAATCAAAGACATCAGATTAAAGTGTGAGTTTAGGATCAGGAACCCACCTGCCTGCTGCTAGAGAGGCTGAGGTGGTCCTGCCAGCCATGCGCTGCTGCAGGCGTCTCTGTGGGCATGACCTGGGGCTGGCATTTGGTGAGATGTCAATCCACACCTGGGAATCCGTCCTATTGGCCCTAAATATGGAAAAGATATTTATTGTGGCATTATTTATAATAACCTAGGTTGGAAACAGCCCACATGCCCATGCTGGGAAGTGGATAAGTCACCTGTGCCTTTTCGATTCAACTGGTCATTGTGCAGGCATTAAAAGTAATGCTTCCTTCCTGGCCAACATGGTGAAACCCCGTCTCTACTAAAAATACAAAAATTAGCTGGGCGTGGTGGTGCGTGCCTGAAATCCCAGCTACTCGGGATGCTGAAGCAGGGGAATCGCTTGACCGCGGGAGGTGGAGGTTGTGGTGAGCTGAGATCGTGCCACTGCACTCCAGCCTGGCAACAGAATGAGACTCTGTCTCAAAAAAAAAAAAAAAAAAAAAGTAACGCTCCCTATTGTCAGTAACGGGGAAAAGCAACGATCATACTATCATAAGTAAAATCAAACCAAATGCAGACACCACCAGGGAATGCGTGCCCGTCTCCTGGGCCATCCTAGACAGCCGTGTCCACACTTGCCACCCTCTGTGGCACATCCCGACAGACAGCAGAGGATGCCTGCTCTGAGCAGCTCCCTGTCCCGCCCCCTGGTTTCTTTCTTGTGTCCGAGTTCCTGACTCCTGACGCCGGCTCTTCCCTGCCAACAGCTAATTCTGAAGGACACTAAGACACAGAGAGCGTGTGCAAGGACTGGGAGTTGTGTTAGTTCATTGTGTGTTACTATAAAGGAACACCCGAGGCTGGGTAAGTTTTTGTAACGAGGTTTACGTGGCTGGCGGTTCTGCAGGCTGCACAGGTATCTGCTTGGCTTCTGGTGAGGCTGCAGGGAGGGAGCAAGAGACGGGAGGAGGCACCAGGCTCTTTAATGCAGGAGTCCCTGACCTCAAGACGGGTCCATGGCCTGTTAGAAGTGGGTCACACAGCAGGAGGTGGGTGGCAGGCGAGTGAGCGTTACCGCCTAAGCTCCGCCTCCTGTCAGATCAGCGGTGGCATTAGATTCTCACTGGACCACGAACCCCACCGTGAACTGCATGCGAGGGATCTAGGTTGCACGCTCCTTATGAGAATCAAATGCCTGATGATCTGAGGTGGGACAGTTTCATACTCAAACCATCCACACCACTCCCTGTCCACGGAAAAAACTGGTCCCAGGTGCCAAGAAGGTTGGGGACCACTGCTTTAAACAACAAGCTCTCCAGTGAACCTCAAGAGTGAGAGCTCACTCATTACTGTGAGGAGGGCACCAAGCCATTCTCGAGGGATCTGTCCCCGTGACCCGAATACCTCCTGCCAGGCCCCTTCCCACACTGGGGATCACATTTCCACATAAGATCTGGAGGGGACAGACGTCCAAACTATACCAGGAGCTCGAATGCACCCTTCACCTAGGACAGGATCGGCAAGCAAATCCGGCCCACCTCCTACGTTTGTAAATAAAGTTTTATTGGCACAGCCACGCTCGTTCATTCATATGCCATTGACATCTGCTGTTGCCCTACACAGCAGGGTGGGGACCTGCTCTTCACGGGAGAGCTAGTTGTTTAAAGCAGTGGTCCCCAACCTTCTGTGGTCCCCCGTGGGTGCTGAGGCACAGGCTGTATGGCTGCAGTGCCAAGAATATTTCCTGCCTGACCCTTCATCGGAGAAGCGTGCCCACCTGTGCTCTAGATTCCCCATGACTGACATTTAGCCACTCTCCTCTGTCACTCTCCGGGGACGTGCACACACCGTTGGCATGAACTGCAGACGCCACGCTCTGCGGCCAAGAGCCTCAGTGTGCATCTGCAGTAGGAGGACGTCAGTGAGGACCGCCCCGTCCCTGCTGCGCTGGTGCTGACTGTGCCTGCAGTTGACTGTGCCTGCAGTTGACTGTGCCTGGAGTCTACAATCCAGGTCGGCCAAACGTCCCAGCAAAGTCCTTCAAAGCAACTCTTCCGATCCAGGATCACACGTCACACGTGCTCTGATGCCTGCTTCTGAACAATTCACCTCCTGATATGTCCATTTCTGGGAGTGCGAGTATTCCTCTCCTGGTGACAGCTGGCTGAGGCCGTCCAGCCTCAGGACATACCGGGAACGGCTGCATAAGGAGATCCGGGCCAGGGGGCCCACCAGGATGTCCTGCCCTGTGGGGGTCAACACTGGCCGTGGTCCGCCGGCGGCATCCAGGGACAGTCTATCTAGGTGAGGCTGAGGCTGCCCGCCCCCTCGCTCCCTCACCCCCTCACCCCCATGCTGACGGCAGTGGGCTGACCACAGCCCCGGGGAGCCCCACGGGAAGACTGGCCTCCCCAGCACACGCCCAATAGTGTGAGACACAGTCATCACAGAGGCAGGTACACGACACCACGGGACTTGCCACCTACCTACCCCCATTGGGACCACGGGCCATTGAGAAGCCACGAAGGCCGTGCTTCCAGCAGCGACTGAGGCGGCAGGACCATCAGGAGGCCACAGGCGCCACGGCTCCCCTCTGGTGGTTCACCTGCTCACCTGCGCTGGGGAGGCCCCTCCAGTGTGTGTGGTCCCGAGAGCAGAACCCCCCCAGGCAACACGTCTGATGAAGGCCAACACAGCCTCAACCCAAACAAAGGCAGGGCCCGCAGGCGAGCACAGCCACACCAGCAATGCCATGGGGGCATGGCGGGGTGGGGCCTTCCGCATGGACCAGCCTGCCTGGGTCCGCAGCCAGCCCAGGCACTGAGTGTCACCCGACCTCAGAGAGCCCTACAGCCATCTGGGAGATGCTGCCCTGCGGGTCAGGACCCAGTGTGAGCAGGTGACGGGCTGGGCTCTGGGACCTGCTATATAGAAAGTTAACCAGGCCAGAGGCAAAGCTAGTGTGGGTGACAGTGTGGTTCTGGGATTTACGGGAGTTTTATTTTCCAGTTCTAGGCTATTTCTATTTCTGCGGGGAAGGGGAAGTGAGGAGACACATCTGTCAGTGCAGCCCATGGGCAGTGGGCATGAGAGAGGCTGGGAGCCGAGCAGCCTCCCCACGATACTACAAGTGGCAGCACTCAGGACCCCCTGCCATGGAACAGGCTCCTCTGTCCAGGCCAGCAGCAGGAGCAGCCGGGAGAAGAGACACACTCTGCGTGTGGAATGTGCTTCCAACACGTCTGAGTGCAGAGGGACTGAAGCATCCTCCCAGTGGGAGGGGAGGCCTGCCGAAAGGCTCCCTTTCCAAGTGACCCCACAGTGGCCAAGCTGGTATGGGGCCTACACAGACAGGCAGGAATATTACAGCCCTCAGAAAGACCGCGGCAGGAAAAATGTGTTAACCCAGTAAACGTTTCCACCCAGACAGGACTGCTCTCCATCATCCGGGCAGTGTACCCTAGTCCATTTCTGAGACTGCTCAATGGACAAGGCCAAGGCCATCTCCAGCTCGAATCGGGACCCTCCTTCCAGGACAGAATCCCCAAAGACTAGGGCCGTGATTAGTGTTTCACGTCTAAACAGCTGAAAACATAGGCGCCAACATTTCCCAATAAAAAACCTTACCTCCTGGTTTACAAAGTCATTTGCTACCCTCTTATAAACCACAGTCCCTAGAGAGCACAGGATCCCGTCCACACTGCTCCTGGATGGACACAAGGGTGGCACAGGCCTGTGGACCTGCCACTGGGTGGGACAGGACTGGGTACAGGCATGAAGAAGTAGAACTAACCTGAATGCTGGGCTGGTCTGTGGGGCTGGGGCCCACCGCCCACGTCGGAAGGCCGAGGGGCAGATGCAGGCTGGACCGAAGCTGCCGAGGGCACCCCAGGGGCCCCACTGCATGGCTGGGACGGGAAGCTCAGCAGGTGGTGGTGTCCAAGGTCCTGAGGAACCTTTGTCCCAAGTCCATCCAGGTAAGTCAGGCCGCCTCTCTGGGAGGAAGGCTGGGCCAAGAGGGCACGTGGTGTGGCCCAGTTCCGGGGACGGGGGTCTGAGCTCAGGGACTGGCACTCCAGCAGGAGGAGAGAAGCCAGAGGACCAAGCACAGTTGGGGCACAGAGGCCGGGCAGGGACAAGCGGCCCCGGGCACTGAAGCTGGCTGGGCAGGGATGAGTGGTCCCAGGGCTCGCTGCAGAGCTCGGGGACCCAGAGGGCAGAGAGTCCAGACTGGGGCCTTCAGCGGCAGATGAAAGGCTTAAGCAGAGTGGACATCACAGGCAGGCAGCAGCGGGAAGTGCTGGGCTGCCCACTACACCAGGAGCCTCTCCTGCTGGGTGCTCTGAGGTGACCCAAACACGTCCAATGGATGGCAGTGAATACTCCCTGGTCTCTGGTGCTGAGCCCCGTTCGCCATCGGGAACTTGGAAAATGCTCTGTGGCTGCAAGGAGCCTCTGGTGGCTTCTCCATCACTGCGGTGTCTTGATCAGAGAGACTCTCTGCAGTGGAAAGGTCTCTCCCTCGCTGGCACGTTCCCACATCTGACTGGGCTGCTTTTCCGGGGGTCCCCAGGGCACGGAACACAGTGCGCACGGCCCTGCGCCCCCATCAGACGCGGGACACGAGGGAGCCACGGAGCAGGTGTCCGGCGAGGCTCGCACCGCAGGGCCCGAGTCCGCAGATGGCCCCGGCTCAGGGCTTCTTCCGAGGGTGGCGTTTCTGATGGCGGATGAGACAGGAGCTGTAGGCAAAGGCTTTCCCACAGTGCGTGCATTCGTAGGGCTTCTCCCCGGTGTGCGTCTTCTGATGTTTCAGGAGATTGGAGCCGCAGTTAAAGGCTTTCCCGCACTCCCCGCATTTGAAGGGCTTCTCTCCCGTGTGAGTCCTCTGGTGTTTGGTGACGTCAGAGCTGTGCCGGAAGGCCTTCCCGCACTGCGCACACTTGAAGGGCTTCTCTCCAGTGTGGACCCTCTGATGGCGAATGTGGTCTGTCTTGTGCTTAAAGATCCGCCCACACTCACTGCACTCATAGGGTTTCTTCCTCTGAAAAGGAATGAACACGGGAACCCCCTCAAAGTCATCTTTAAATGAAGCGTCGAAGGCATCAAAGACGTGCTCTTCGTCTTCAGGACTCAGGCAGGGCTCTGTGCGGGGCTTCCTGGGCACAGTGGGCCTCTCAGGTGGCTTTCTGTCCCCGGACACCTTCTCCTCTCTGAGCGCACTCTTCTGCACGTCTGCCTCCTCCCTTGGGGTCGGCGTCTTCTTTTTTCTGCCTGCAGGCTTCTCCATCATTCTGTTCCTTGGAAGCGTGAGGGCTAAGGGGCTGCTGACCTCTCTGTTGGCCCCACTTCCTCAATGGCTTGCTTCCCACGCACCTCTCCACACTCCCAGCGTGGGACTGATGCTCTGCACCAGGAGGCCAAGGGCCACCATCCTCTTGGTGCTGGGGAGAAGCAAGAACATGAACCTCAGATTAAAGGTTTGCCTTTCAGGGGATGTGGGATTCAGGTGCGGCCCCTCCCTTCCCATGTGTTCCCCCAAGAGTGTCTCAAACGGCATTGCTGATCTCCCCGGAGCCCCACCTGACTCTCTCCCGGCCTTTCCTTGTCTCGATGAAGGGATCAGTTGCTCACCAAGGAATCCTTGCTCCTCTGCCGGGGTTCCGGGTCTGCACACCATGTCCACAGGATCTGATGTACCCACCAACTGCCCTGCGGCTTCCCTCCTCCACCCCCGAATCCCCCTGGTTCCTGCCGTAGTCTCCTTCTCCACCATACTGGGCTTGGAACCAGTCACCGTGCTTTGAAGCTACAGGCTGCAGGGACCACACGTGCCCAGTGGAGAGTGCTTCCATCCCCCAGAGGCTGGGTTCTGAGTTCATGAAACCAGGGCTGCCCCCCTGCCATGGACCACAGCAGCCAGCAGAACCCCTCATGTCACATCCTTCCCACCTCAGCTTCCTGAGTAGCTGGGACTACAGGTGGGAGCCACCATGCCCAGTCATATTCTAAGAAATAATATTCCGTACCCTTTGTATTAGTTCTTGGTCAACCAGGCTGGAGTTTGAGGCCAGGGTTGACCCTAGGTAGAAAGTGGAGCTGATATGCATGTCGTAAGTGACACAACTCAACACATAAATACTTTGAATTCTCTTTGTTGAGAGGAGGTTGGTGGCCTTCCCTCCTCTCCCTCATGAGTGCAGGTAACACATAAACTCACTACAGATTTCCTATCTCAACAAGGAGGGTCTGGTCTTTTCTACAGGAAAATGTTTAGATGAATGTGACTCAGTTTCAGGCCAACATCACTTTCTAGGGCTCTATCTAGAGGTGGCGTGTGGGAGGAGGCAGATCAGGTGGGCGCCAGAACTGAAGATGAAGGCCACGTGTGCTGAGGGAGGATGCAGGCATAAAGCAGCATCTCTGCTGGGGTGGGCAGGGGGTGGGCCCTGGTGCCCAGGATAGAGGATCACAGCCCAAGCTGGCTGGAGTTTGAGGCCGGGGTCCAGCTCTGGTAGGAAACAAAGGTGAGAACCAAGAACCAGCACAGAAGACCAGTCGACCAGCTGTTTGCCTCATGGGCAGGGCGGAGCTGGAGAAACGGCAGCTCTCCAGGGCATGGCGGGAACCTATCTGGCTCTCTGCAGACTCCACTCCACGGCGGGGCGGGGGGTGGTTTGTGAACCCACTGAGCCTAACGGCTGCTGCCCGAGGCCTGTGTGGGGGTCCTCCATGCTGTACAGCACTGTTCCTTCTTCCAGACACTTGTCACTGCACGTGTGGCTGGTCACTGACATGGCAGTCTCCTTATGCGACAGGGTCTCCTGAAGGCGAGGATCGTATCTTTTTTATCTCCAAATCCTAGTCACATACTGTGGTCAGGGAACATTCTCCATAACGGCTCTGTCGACTCAACTTAGGCTGGCAGGTGCTAACCGGCAGAGACTGGAATGACTCACTTCTCTACACGCTGCCCACCCTGAGAAATAAAATATTTCTTAAAAGCAGAGTGGACTGGCCGGGCGCGGTGGCTCATGCCTGTAATCCCAGCACTTTGGGAGGCCGAGGTGGGCGGATCACGAGGTCAGGAGATCGAGACCATCCTGGCCAACATGGTGAAACCCTGTCCCTACCAAAACACAAAAAATTAGCTGGGCGTGGTGGCACGTGCCTGTAGTCCTAGCTACTCAGGAGGCTGAGGGAGGGGAATTGCCTGAACCCAGGAGATAGAAGTTGCAGTGAGCAAAGGTCGCGCCAGTGCACTCCTGCCTGGCGACAGAACAAGACTCCGTCTCAAACAAAAAAACCAAACCAAACCAAAACAAAAAACCCCACACGCAAAAAACAAAAACGGATTGGACCATAGCGATTTTCTTGGCCTCACCTCACAGGCCTGTAGACAGGAGTGATTAGCTAGTTACAAACAGCGCAACCCACGCTTGCCACACCCCTAAAGACTGGGGTTCTGGTTCTGTCGTGCAACTCCAGCGTAGCTCCGTCGCCTCTCTGGGCGGAGGACCCTTCACTTGTAATATGAAGCTCTGGGTATCCGTGGGCGGTAAGGGCTGCCTAGAAAACCTCACTCACCCTGGCGCCTCCCTCCACTACTTTCAGGGATCTGGGTCTCATGGAGAGACTGGAACATTAGTGGGCTTGAGATTCAGGGGCAATCTGCACTAAAACAGCCTGCTGGGTCCACGGCCTGCCAGGGGCCTGCTAGCTGTGCCAAGGCCTGAGATGCCAGGCATCTGAGCCAGGCGGAGGGGCCCGCCAGGGTCCCGTGCGTGCTCCTAGTTAGAGGCTCTCCTTTCAACGGCAGAGCCCCGCGGCCCACGTGCAGAGCTAGGTCGGCCTCGGGGCCGGCGCCCGGGAGGTGCTCAAAGCCGGGTCTTGCCACATCCCTGGAGCGCCGGGGTGCGGGGAGGCGGCGGGGCCCATACCGACGCTGCGCGTCCTGGGCCGGAGGCGGCAGGCAGGAGCCCAGTGAGTACCTGGCTGGAGACGAGAGGCGACGAGGACCTCCCGCTGCAGAGCGCGGACGCGCCCGGGCCCTACCAGGACTGCTGGAGGGCGGGGAGAGGCGCGCGCCCCTCGCGGGGGCCGGAGGCAGGAAAGGAGAGCCCTAGATGCGGGACCCCCCAACAGCTCCCCACCAGTGCCAGCGTCCCCGTCGGCCCTAGGCACCGGCAGGAAATGCCCGCCCGCTGACCCGCCCCTTCCGGCGGCCGCGCTAGGAGCCTGGGCCGGACTCGGTGATGGTGGGCGGTGGAGGGCTCGGCCCGAGCGGCTCCATCCCCAGCCGACTCCGCCCCCGAAGACCCCGCCCCGATCAGGCCCCGCCCCCTCAGGCTTCACCCATAACTGCCGCCACGCCCGCAGGGTCCTCCCCGAGCTGACCCCGCCCCTTTACAGTCGTCTATGGCAGGCGCCCTCCCGAAGGCTCCCCCGAAATCAGGTCCCTCCCCGAGCGGGCCCCGCCTCCGAAAGCTCCTTCCCGAGCCGGCTTCCCCTCATGCCCCGCCCCCTCAGGCTCCGCCCTCGTGTCCCGCCCCCGAAAGTTCCTCCCCAGCCACCTCCCCACATGCTCCGCCCCCAGGCTCCGCCCCATGTCCCGCCCCCAAAAAGCCCCGCCCCGAACCGGCACCCTCATGCCCCGCCCCCAGCGGCCCCGCCCCGCAAGGCCCAGTCCCCAGCAGCTCGGTCCCGAGCCGACCCTGTCACGTAGGCTGCGCCCACCAGACTCTCCGGATCCGACGCGCGTGGGCTCCTGGCTCCAGACCCCCAACGGGGAGGTCGCGGCCGCGTGCTGGGAGACTTGTCCCTGAGGACGCTCCCCGCCAACCCCCAGCCCCCGCCGACCCCCAGCTCCCGCCTCCGCCGACCCCCAGCCCCCGCCTCCGCGGCGCCCACGGCTTGCCTCCACGGGAAGTCGCTGTCTCCGCCTTCAGCGCGGAAGGAGAACCGACGCCTCTCCAGGCCGCGGGCCCCTAGCTAGGCGGGCAACGCCTCCACCGCCGCCGCCACCGCGTGCGCGCCCTGGCGAGCCGTCCCCCACCACGTGGCCCCTGCCGCTCCTCCCGCCGCAGGCAGCCCCTCCGGGATGTGCTCCCAGCCGCTGGCTGTGCTCACTCCACTTCCTGCCTGCCCAGATCGCACTGAGCCGCCAGGCCCGCCAGAGCCCCGCGTGTTAGTTCCCTACGTACCGCAAATTGGGTGTCCTAAAACGACATCCGCCTATTATCTCAAGGCTTCTGTGGGCCAGAAGGCCAGGCTTAGCTGGGTCCTCAGCTCTGGTCAGCCGCTGTGTTCTCATCTGGGGGCTGGACTGGGGAAGGATCACTTCCCACCTCATGCGATTGCTGGCAGAAGTCATGTCCTGGTGCCTGTAGGACTGAGGGCCGGCAGGAGCTGCTCTCAGCTCCCGGGGGCTGCCTGCCAGTCCCTACTGTGGGAGGGTGGGCGGTTCACAGGGTGGCCGCTTCCCCAGGGTCCGTGGGAGAGCCCCACCCCCAGATGGAGTCCTGTGGAACAGAACCTAATTGTGGGTGACATGCCACCCCCTCGGCCCAGTTCTACTCAGATTCAAGTCACAAGTGCCGCCTGTAGCCAAGGGAAGGATGGGCATTGGGCTGGCTCTGGCACATCTCCTTAGGATATCTGCAGCATTCTGCCCCCCCAACACTTCCCATTTCCACTTTCTATATGATTTCCTTATTATATTTATTATTAATTATCCCCCGCTCCCACACTCCCATGCAAATCAGCTCTTGGAGGGCAGCCACCTGTTCTTGTTCTGGGTGCCTGATGTGTGCTGGGCCCTCGTGTCGTGTGGACTGAGTGAGCATGAGTGGAGATCTTAGGTGCTGCTGGTGTCGTGGCACCCTAGGAACTGCCTGCCCCCACCCAGCCCTCTCTCCAACTGCCTCCTGGACTTAGCAAGGTGTTGAAAACCAGGCAGTTCTGCTCCCTCCTCGTCCCACCCCCCTCTCCCATCCTGTTGCTTTTACCTCCCAATGTTTTAAACCACCCACTCTTGTCCAGCCTGCTTCCTCTGTCCCGGCTGCAACCCCATCTCCTCTCACCAGCATTACTTCTGTGCCCTGCCCTGGGGTCTCCCTGCCTTCATTTGGGCTCCCCTGTCCACCCCTCCTACAGCAGCTGGAGGGACTGACTTACCGGGCAAACCCACAGTGGCCCTCCCAGCTTCACGCCTGTCCTGCAGGATGAGGTCTGGGCCCCCTTAGCAGCTGCAAAGGGGCCTGCACAGACTTGCAGGCCGCCCCTCTCACCACCCTTTCCCCTTCCAGGAGACTCAGCAGCAAGTGCTTGCCCTGCCACACAGCATCGGCTGCATGCCTCAACCCTGGGCCTTGAACACCCCCGCTCCGCCTCCGCCTGACAGACCCTTTCCTGCTTTTTAAGACTCCACCTGTTCGAGCTCCTCTGTGCCAGCCCCGGCCTCGCCCCTGCCAGCCTTAGGCCAAGGCTGCGTGGGTAGCTGTCCATACAGGTTACATGCTGCACATGACCCTCGGTCAGGGCTTGTCTTTTTCATCTTTGTATTATCGGGGGCCAACACATAGCCCATAGCAGGTGCCTAATCCATATTTATTGAGCAATTGATGACTGATGGGGCTGGGACAGAGAGAATAAGACTGAGAATAAGAATGGCAGGGTGGGCGCAGTGGCTCATGCCTGTAACCCCAGCACTTTGGGAGGTCAAGGTGGGTGGATTGCTTGAGGTCAGGACTTCGAGACCAGCCTGGCCAACATGGTGAAAACCTGTCTCTACTAAAAATACAAAAATTAGCCGGGTGTGGTGGTACGTGCCTGTAGTTCTGGCTACCTGGGAGGCTGAGGCAAAAGAATTGCTTAAACCTGGGAGGCAGAGGTTGCAGTGATGCTGAAATCATGCCACTGCACTTCAGCTTGGGTGACAAAGCGAGACTCCATCTCAAAAAAAAAAACAAAAGCAAACAAACAAAAAACAAAAGCAGAAGAAGGAGAAAGGTGTCCTTCCCCTATCTCAAAAGAGACAGCCCCTTGCCTTCTAAATGAGCCAGGTGGCCCCTCCAGTCCCTTCAGGCGTGGTGGTGGCTGGGCCGGCCCACCAGAGACTCCATTTGGTGCCAACACCATTGGTATGTGATATGTGGGCAGAGGCTGTTTCCCTGGCCCGGAATCTCCCATTGTCACCAGACCCCCCCGCTCCAGCTACCCTGTAAATATGGAAAGAAGCTCCAAGGGCTGAGGACCCCTTTCCTGCAGAGCTTCCCACAGAGGCAGCCTCTCTGAAGAGGGGCTGGGGGCCCCAGGCTCTGCCATGTCTCTGCTCCTCATTTCTCTCGCACATCCCTGTTTTGTGCCCTGCCTGCGTGCTGCAAAGGCTGGAGCTGCCCGGAAGCCCAGGCCTCTTGTTCTGGGTGGCGGGCTGCCTCTCATGGCTGCCTGGGCACCTCTGGGTCACAGTCCTATGTTCCGATGTGGGAGTCCTATTGCTAGTGAGTGGGGTCCCAGTCTGCTCTGCAGGGGACAGCCACCAGAGAAGAGGACTGAGGACAGGAGACAAACACTTCGGTCTCTTAGCTTAGAGAGGGACAGAGAACTGCTTTCCTCCTGAGTGGTTTACTGTCTGGCCTGTTGGATTGAATGGTGCCCTTTCACTTTTCCCTACTGCCTGCACAACCACCCGGGAGCTTTTCCCTTTTCTTCCTCCCCCTCCCCCTCCTCCCCTCCCCCTCATCCCCCTCCCCCTCCCCCTCCTCCTCCCCCCCTTCTCCTCCTCCCACTCCTCCTCCTCTTCCTGGTGTTTTTTTTGAAGTCATGCCATTTCAACTTTGTCAGAACACACACAGCACATATGGTTCTTCCCCTCTCGACTGCACTTCTCTTTCTATGTTGGGTCTACCATTCAATGTATCACCCCCGTGGGTCTTACGGCTGACCCGTAAGCAGCTTGTGGTTGGAGGAAGCCCATCTAGGAGGTTCCTCCTGATGGGCCTATAGTTGCAGGACCCCTGAGCTCTGGCAAGTTTAAAACTGCTCTCTTGAAGCTGTAATTCCTTGAAGGAAAGCTTGAATGGCTGCACAGTTCGTTGTTTTCTCCCTTTTCTTGAGATTTTTGAAAATGCTGCTTCGTTGTTGCTATGTTCATTTTTATTGATTTTGAGGAGTTTCAGGCCCATCTAATTCTCATGCTCCTGAAAGTTATTTGATGTTTCTGCCTGGAAGCCCTGATTTTTGCAGTATATTATGTAGGGTCCAGCCCCACAGGGTCGGTGGGTTGGGAATTTTCTTTTTCTTTTTTTTTTTTTTTTTGAGATGGAGTTCCGTTTTTGTTGCCCAGGCTGGAATGCAATGGTGTGATTTTGGCTCACTGCGGCCTCTGCCTCCCGGGTTCAAGTGATTCTCCTGCTTCAGCTTCCCAAGTAGCTGGGATTACAGGCATGTGCCACCACACCCGGCCAATTTTGTATTTTTAGTAGATACAGGGTTTCTCCATGTTGGTCAGGCTGGTCTTGAACTCCTGACCGCAGATGATCCGCCTGTCTCGGCCTCCCAAACTGCTGGGATTACAGGTGTGAGCCACCACACCTGGCATTATTTTGGGAATTTTCATAAGCTAAATCATCTTTTCATTTTCCCCTTTCTTTTTATAGTGGTTTTAAATAGATGAAGTTACCCCTTAGCATGTCTGTGGACAGAAGTTTCAGTTATTTTATGAGATTCTTAGTCCAAGAGGGACCTTTCATGTCAGGGTAACAAGGTATGGTTTCTTTACTTAGTGCCTGTTATTTTATTTATTTCTCTATTATTTATTTATTTTTTGCAGGGGGTGAGGGGAGTCAGTGGAGAAGGGTGCTGTGAGGTTTGATTTTTTTTTTCTTTTTTTTGAGATGGAGTCTTGCTCTGTCGCCCAGTCTGGACTGCAGCAGCGTGATCTCGGCTCACTGTAGTCTCCACCTCCAGGGTTCAAGGAATTCTCCTGCCTCAGCCTCCCAAGTAGCTGGGACTACAGGCGTGCACTACTGTGCCCGGCTAATTTCTGTATTTTTTGTAGAGATGGGGTTTCACCATGTTGGCCAGGATGGTCTTGATCTCCTGACCTCGTGATCTGCCTGCCCCTGCCTCCCAAAGTGCTTGGGTTACAGGTGTGAGCCACTGTGCCTGGTCGATGTTTGACTTTTTAAAAAGGTCTTTTGTCTTTCAGCATCTTAATTTCCCCTTCTTGCTTCTTTTTCTCTTTAGTACCTGACTTTCAAAGGCTGCACCTCCCTAACTTTTTTTTTTTTTGAGACGGAGTTTCACTCTTGTTGCCCAGGCTGGAGTGCAATGGCACAATCTGGGCTCACTGCAACCTCCGCCTCCTGGGTTCAAGTGATTCACCTGCCTCAGCCTGCCGAGTAGCTCGGATTACAGGCACCCACTACCACGCCCAGCTAATTTTTTGTATTTTTAGTAGAGACAGGTTTTCACCATGTTGGCCAGGCTGGTCTTGAACTCGTGACCTCAGGTGATCCACCCACCTTGGCCTTCCAAATTGCTGGGATTACAGGGGTGAGCCACTGCACCCGACTACTCCTCCCTAACTTTTAACCCTCTTCTCTCCTGCGTTACCTTCCCAAGACTATCCTCCTGTGTCCCACAGTCTTTTACTATTTTGGCTACCAAGTCTCACTCTGTTGCCTCAGCTGGTCTAAAACTCCTGGGCTCCAGCAGTCCTCCCACCTCAGCTTCCCAGAGTGTTGGGATTACAGTCGTGAGCCGCTGCACCTGTTCCATAGTCATTTTAAATTTCTTTCCAAAATGTAGACACTTTTCTGTATTTTGGCACTCAGATGGACTTTCTTTTTCTGGAAAATGTTTTGAG
The DNA here is from genome assembly GCF_000001405.40 of Homo sapiens. NCBI lineage: Eukaryota > Metazoa > Chordata > Mammalia > Primates > Hominidae > Homo > Homo sapiens. The sequence continues at coordinate 143,241,263 of NC_000008.11, read as the reverse complement.
AGCAACCTCAGGCCCACAGCCAGTTCCTTTTCTCTCTTCTGTGCAGTTTTCCTGGGTGGCCCTTACTTTGTGAAGGTCTGTGCAGGACACTGGAGAGAGAGCTCACTGGGATTTTGTGTTTTCTTTTCTTTTCTTTTTTTTTTTTTGAGACAGATTTTCGCTCTTGTCCGCCAGGCTGGAGTCCAGTGGTGCAATCTCGGCTCACCGCAACCTCCGCCTCCCGGGTTCAAAAGATTCTCCTGCTTCAGCCTCCCAAGTAGCTGTGATTACGGGCACGCACCACCACATCCAGATAATTTTGTGTTTTTAGTAGAGACGGGGTTTCTCCATGTTGGTCAGGCTGGTCTTGAACTCCCAATCTCAGGTGATCCACCCACCTCGGCCTCCCAAAGTGCTGGGATTACAGGCGTGAGCCACCGCGCCTGGCCTGCGTTTGCTTCTTTTTCCCTTTTTAATGCGGCTACGAGAACCTTAGCAGTGACCCCAGGACTGCTGTGCTGAACTCCTGAACCGCAGTGTTCGCTTCTTTACTGCCCAAGGATAAGAGCGTCAGCTCCACCAGGGTGCTTCACAGACAGCGGGCGCTCAGCTAGTGCCTGTGGACTGATTGACTGGCTGACTGATGAGCCCTGGGGTGCGGGTCCTCCTGGGGCCCAGGACTTGCACTGGAACCCCTGTGGGCATTGAGCCTGGGATACCAGCCTCAGTGGGTGACTGAGCCACTGACACTGCCCCTGGAGAGCCCATCGCCCTGGTGCCCTGTGCCTGTGGCATCCTTCTCCGCAGCGGCTGGCACAGGCAACAGCTGTGGCTGAGATCCTCCCGGCATCCTGGGCACAGGCATCAATCACCTAGTTTCGTGCTTGACTCACTGCTGGTGGTGTCTCCACTTTGCAGATAAAACAATGAAGGCTCAGAGGGTTTAAGAAACTCGACAGTGTCAAAGCACTGGGCCTGGACATCAGCACCACTGCTGGCTGTGTGCCTTGGGATGGTCAGTAGATTTCCTGTCAAATGGGGCAAGATGATAGCACCTGCCCTGTGGGGTCATTGTGAAGGCTACGTGAAAAGTCCTCACAAAGCCCTTAGTGCAGTACCCACTTGCTAAACTTGGCTTGTAATTTATAAGTTATTTTAAAATGGGGGCAATGTGCCCACTGGCTGCACCCATGGCCGTCTCGGGAGCTGCCATTGTCAGTGACTGGTGTGGGGCCAATCAGCACCTCTGCCCTCATTTCACTCTCTCTCCAGCCCAAACGTTCAAGGGGCTTAAAGAATCTTCCCACTGGATGGACTGAGCCATCCTAAAACCATCCTAAAACAGCGCCACACTTTTAGAAGCCAGAATCTAACTTTTAGAAGTTAGAAAGTTTTGATTCCGGTCGGGCGCGGTGGCTCACGCCTGTAATCCCAGCACTTTGGGAGGCCAAGGCAGGTGGATGATGAGGTCAGGAGTTTGAGACCAGCCTGACCAACACGGCGAAACCCCGTCTCTACTAAAAATACAAAAAAAATTAGCCGGACATGGTGGCGGGCACCTCTAATCCCAGCTACTTGGGAGGCTGAGGCAGGAGAATCGCTTGAACCCAGGAGGCCGAGGTTGCAGTGAGCTGAGAATGTGCCACTGTACTCCAGCCTGGGCGATAGAGCAAGACTCTGTCTAAAGAAGAAAAAAAAGTGAGTTTTGATCCCAAGGACATTCCAGTCATACTAATGGATCCGTCAGGGTTGCATCAGAGGAACAGAGCCCACAGAGACAGGTGTGTAGACGCAGGCCTGCGCTTTGCTTTGTTCCAGGGCTTGGACCTCCCAGGACTGTGGGGCCTGCTGAGCGGTGTGCTGGAGCCTGGATCCACAGGCAGGCGCCCAGAGTCTCGGACAGCAGGTGGGATGGAGCCAAGGCAGGCGGGTCTGGGTCTGGATTCCAACCCCTGCACCCCACTGCTGATGTGGGCAAGCTCCTCAACTTCAGATGCCCTCAGCGTTCCCACCCGCACGATGTTCAGATGCCCTCAGTGTTCCCTCCTGCACAATGTTCAGATGCCCTCAGCGTTCCCTCCTGCACAATGTTCAGATGCCCTCAGCGGTCCCTCCTGCATGACGGGGTAGGAACAGGATCTCATGGGATCTTCAATGAAGACCAAATGGTGTGAAGATGGAGGATGCCCAGGATGGTGTGGGGCATGGCAGGGCCTAGGGAGTGCCCAGGTCTTCCCTGCCTGGCGGGACAGCTGCTACCTTGGTTTTCACGCCCTTTATGGCATTGGTTCCTAAACCTGCTCATAATCAGAATCAGTTTGGAATCTTTTTAAGAAAAAAAAAAAAAAAAAAAGGGATTTCCAGACATCATCCAAGAGCTGGTCAAACAGAATGCCATTGGGGTTAAGCCTCATAACCTGTAATTTTAGAAGCTTCCCAGTGACTCTGATGATCAGGCAGGGCCTGAGTGGCAGCAGATGGCACAAGCTCCCTGGTGCAGTGGGGCACAGCTCGGGCTGTTCATTTGAAACTCCTAAGAGCTTGGAGAAATGCTGACCAGTCCCCCACCTCTAAGAGATCCCACTGTAGCTGGGGTAGGGGCAGAGGGGCTGGCATCTAGCATCAGCGTTTTGAAAAATCACCCCCAGATGATTCTTGTGTGTGGCCGGGGTCCAGAATCTCTGTTTTGGAGCACAGGCGAGGAGACCGCGTGAACAAGTGAACCGGTGAGGCTTTTGCATGCAGAGCAAGCAAGAGACACAAAAATGTCAGGCCACTAAGCAGAATCATTCTTCCATGAAACCCCAGCTCCTTACCTGTGAGCACATTCCTTAATTATATGTCACACCAATTTAATTGGAAAAATTAACACCCGCCCCTCGGGCTTATAATCTATGACAAGACATTGGTGGTAAATCCATTTATTCTCCAATTACGTAATCTTTCCCATGTTCACCCACTAACGGACTCACTCAGAGGTAACTTATCCAGGGTGGCACAGGCTGGGCAGTAGAGGAAGCTCCCTTCCAGCATAAACCCACTCTCTGAGCTAATTCTAGAACTTACATGGACATACCAAAAGGCTGCAGTTTGTCCAGCTCTTCCACGCTACATTTAAAAGTCCTTTCTCAGGATCATTGCAAGGTTTCTTTTTTCTTTCTTTTTTTGAGACAGGGTCTCGCTCTGTCACGTAGGGTGGAGTGCAGTGGCTCCATCTCTGCTCACTGCAGCTTCAACCTCCCTGGGTCAAGCGATCCTCCTGCCCCAGCCTCCTGAGTCGCTGGGACCATGGGCGTGCAACGGCATGCCTGGCTAATTTTTTCATTTTTTTTTTTTTTGTAGAGACGAGGCCTTGCTATGTTGCCCAGGCTGATCTCGAAACCCTGGGCTCAAGCCGTCTGCCTGTCTCGGCCTCCCAAAGCATGGGATTACAGGCGTGAGCAGTACACCTGGCCAGGGCTTCTTCCTGTGCAAATTATCTGTGTGGATTCTCTGGTGTTGGTAACAGGTTACCTAGACCTGAACGTTTCTGTGAGTTCATTGCACTCACTGGGTGAATGTTCTCCCCTTGGGATTTCACGGGGTTTCTCTGCAGGATGAATCTCCTTACGTGGACTGGGGTCTGAGCCCCTCCTAGGGCACTGCCCACCCATCACATCAGGGTTCTTTCCAGGATGAAGTTTATGATGTTAAGTAAGGCAGGGCAGGCAAGAGGAGCGGGCCCCAGGTAGGGTATAAGGGCATCTGCCGGCCTCAGGCCAGCCCTGGGAAGCAGGTGCATGGCCTGGCTTGGAGAGTCCCCACTTCTCACTGCCCATTCAGTTGAACTCCTAGAAGGGGAAGCCGAGGAGCTGGGTCCGGGGTGGGCAGAGTCCTCTCACCCCACCGCTGGTCCACCTAGAGCAATGGCTGCTGGGTGCCCAAGGAGGCCCCTGTCGAGCTGGTCTTCTGGGAAGCCAGAGAGGAGGATGTGAGGGCTCTGGGACCCGTGGGTCCTAACTAGGGGTGAGGATTCTACTTTAGGGTCGTCAGAAGCCAGTTCTGATGGTCAAAATGAAAATGAAAATGGAAAGACACCATTCACAACATCAAAGGCATAAAGTAACTTGGAGTAAACCCAACAAAACATATGGAGGATCTTCATGGGGAAAATTATACAGTGTTTTTGTGAGACATTAAACAAGACCCAAATAAATGGTGATAAAGCCCAGGCTCGTGAATTGCCTGACTTAATATTTTTAAAATATCAGCTCTCAATTTCACCTTACAGATGCAATGCAATTCCGGTCAAAATCCTAGCAAGACTTTTGTAAACTTGAAAAGCTAGGCTGGGCATGGTGGCTCACATCTGTAATCACAGCACTTTAGGAGGCCAAGGCAGGAGGATCACTTGAACCCAGAATTTTGAGACTAGCCTGGGAGCATAATGAGACCCCGTCTCTACAAAAAAAAAAAAAAAAAAGTTAGCTGGGCATGGTGGCACGTGCTGTAGTCCCAGCTCCTTGGGAGGCTGAGGCAGGAGGATCGCTTGGGCCTGGGAGGCCAAGGCTGCAGTGACCCATGATTGTGCTAGTGCACTCCAGCCTGGAAGACAGAGTGGACCTAGTCTTTAAAAAAAAAAAAAAGTTAAAGAAAAAGGAAAGCTAATTCTAGAACTTACATGGACATACCAATGGTAAGACACGGCAGCTGAGGAACCAACGAAGAACACGGGAAGAGAGTTTGCTCAAGCAGACACAGCCCTTTGGAAGCAACAGTAACTGGCACAGCATAGTCTCAGCACAGGAGCAGAGAAGCAGCCCAGAGGAAGAGTGGGCTGCACACCTGGCAGACACCTGACTGTGACAGTGGTGGGGGAAGTGGGGAAGGGTTAGGCTTCTCCATTCGGGGTGCTGGAACAAAGAACATGTGTCCATGCTTCGCTTCACACCAGCAGCAGCCCCCCTCATTCGCGGTTTTGCTTCCTGCAACCCTCAAGCACCGCAGCATGGCCTCGGGGAAGCCTCCTCGGAAGCCTGAAGGAGGGATGGTGGGCATGCCATGCTGTCTACAGCAGAGGGACTGTCCTGGCAGAGGGACAGACAGCAAATACCATGGCCCATGGCTGTGTTCCCACGCATACAGACATGGCCATGGAGCGTCTGTCCGTGAGGACGCATAGTCAGGAATGTATTTTGGGGGCATATTTCTTTACAACCTTCTGTTTCCCATCTCTCTGTCACCTGGCAGCAGCCAGGACCTGGGACACAGACGCGCCTTTTCTTACAGAGCTGTAACGAACAGCGAATGGAAGTGGTCAGTGAAAACGAAATGGTTCTATTTTAGAACCTGGGGCAAAACTCTTGGCCACTCCTCCTATCCAGAGACAGAACCTCATTCGCCTCCTTGAGTGTGGCCTGGGCTGAGTGACTCACTTCCACAGACGGAATAAAGTGAGGTCCAGACAGAGTGACTTCAGACACAGGTCCCAAGGGGCTCCATGGCGTCCGACTGCTCTCACCCTCTGGTCACTTGCTCTGGGAGAAGCCGGCCGCCATGTTGTGAGGAAACCCAGAAGCCGATGGAGACGCTCATGTAGTGAGAAGCAGCCGCCTGTGGGGCCATCTTGGGAGCCAGCCCCAGACGACACAGCTCCGGCCGACAGCACGGCTGCAGCCCCATGAAGTACCCTGAGCCCGAGGGACCTGCTGAGCTGCTCCTGTGAGCCTGACCCACAGAAGCTTGAGAGAAGCGCTTGCTGTTCCAGCCAGTACATGTCGGGGGAATGGGTTATATAGCAACAGATAACAGGTGCAAGTTCTGTGGCCGTTTTGCAAGCAGTCACACTGGCTTTGGTGAATTGGCCATTTGGATAACCGCCAGGACTATGTTAGTCCTGCACCATGTGCCTCGTAGGCAGGTGCTGTGTGTGTGATCCTGTAATCCTTGTAGGCAGGTGCTGTGTGTGTGATCCTGTAATCCTTGTAGGCAGGTGCTGTGTGTGTGATCCTGTAATCCTTGTAGGCAGGTGCTGTGTGTGTGATCCTGTAATCCTTGTAGGCAGGTGCTGTGTGTGTGATCCTGTAATCCTTGTAGGCAGGTGCTGTGTGTGTGATCCTGCCAGCTCAATATGGTAGGAGCCGTGGACATCATCATTTTACAGATGAAGAACCACGGCTCAGAGAGGGCAGGGGACCAGGCTGATTTGCACAACAAGTAAGCTGTTGAGCCAGCATTGGACATCAGCCCACCTGGCCCTGGAGACCAGTGCTGCCTCATGATTCTCCAAGGCAGAGACCATCCTGAGTATGGTGCATGGCCAAGGCCTTGTCCACACCTGTTCTGTGCAGCTGGCAGAGGTTGGAAGGCCACTGTGCATGATGAAGCACAGATGGCCCCACCATGTTGAGGGGGCTGTGGGTAGGGTTGAGTGTGTGGACCCAGGAGCCAGGCCACCTGTGCTTAGATCCCAGAACTGCCTCAGAATTGCTGTCTGGTCCTGGGCAAGGCACTTAGCCTTCCTGTGCCTCAGTTTCCTCATCTGTAAGATGGGAGTGATGAAGGTCACAGTCATCTCCTCTCAGGGATGTGAAGAGGTCTGTTCTAAGATTATTTTTGTCATAGCTATTATGCTCCTTGGAATCCTCAGCGGGGGTGAGCTGTGATCTTGAGCCAACCAAGCTGCACTGCCCTGGGTCCAGGGAGCCAGCGGGGAAGATACGAGAGTCCAGTGTCTGTAGGGAAGGCAGACACCTGGCCTCATAGTGCCGAGGCCGCCCACATCACAGTCCGGGAGAGACGGGATCCTGGGTAGAAGAGACCTGGGCCCAGGAAGAGATAGACCCGAACCACAGTGCTGGGGGGAGGGTTATATGAGTCCGCCAGAGGTCTCAGCACTGGGGTGCATCACTGTGGAGGAGTGTGGTCAATAGGCAGGGGGTGACTGGACCAGGGCCCCCAGCACCTGAGGGAGGTCTGTGTGATACTAGGGTTTGTGTGTGGCTTTGGGACTGATTTACGAGACAACTCAGCACATGGTTAAGACAGAGCTGCTGTGGCCCTGGTGGTTGTGCAGCGCTGGCTGGGGGTCCCTTGGGAGTGTGTGACGGTGGACCTCACGGATGCCTGACCTTCACTGCACACTCATGTGCACCCAGGGCCCTCAGTTGTAGCTGCTGTCATGGCACAGAGGGAGAACTGGAGCAGCGCGCCCACCTAAAGTGCATGCCAGGAACATGGCAGATCGAAGCCCAGTCTGTCTGGCCTCATGGCCCCAGGGTGTGAGGGCAGAGCATGAAGGTGGATGGCCACAGGGAGGAGAACCCAGCAGCCGGCGTACAGGATCCGCACTGGCTGGGCACTGTCTCGGCCTTTCGTGCGTCCTCCCTGTGTCCAGAGCTGGCCTTCCTGTGGTGGTACCAGGCACACCCTATCCGCTGGGTGCTCATGAAGCTGGTGGCCTGGGCGCCTTCAGGGAAACAGAGGGGAGGGTACCCAGGTTTTCCCACACTAGTTGAAACCAGTCAGTACATACCTATCTTCTGTTTTCTGCAGGGTTTGAGCAAGGGCTGTGCCAAAACACACAATAAAACCAAACCAAACCCAAACTACGACAACATGGCTGGGCACTGTGGCTCATGCCTGTGATGCCAGCACTTTAGGAGGCCAAGGCGGGAGGATCACTTGCACTCAGGAGTGTGAGACCATTCTGGGCAACACAGCGAGACTGTCTCTACAAAAAACACCAAAAAATTAGCTGGGTGTGGTTGTGCGTGCCTGTGGTCCCGGCTACTTGGGAGGCTGAGGTGGGAGGATGGCTTGAGCCTGAGAGGTCGAGGCGGCAGTCAGCCGAGATCACGCCACTGCACTCCCACCTGGGTGGGAAGGTGAGTCCCTGTCTCTGGAAAAAAAAAAAAAAAAGAAAAAGAAAAAAAACAAAACAACAACAATAGCAAAACAGCACACAACCAGCTTTGTTCACACGGAGCTCAATCACCTTGACTTTTCTTCCAAGCCGACTCAGCCTTGAGCTCTCAGTCCCTCACATTCTGCCCACCCCTGGGTCTCCTGGGCCTCAATCCTGACATGTGAGCAAGGGCCTCCTTCTCTCTCTGTTTTTTTTTGAGACAGGGTCTCCCTCTGTCACCCAGGCTGGAGTGCAGTGGCGTGATCTTGGCTCACTGCAACGTCCACTTCTTGGTTCAAGTGATTCTCCTGCCTCAGCCTCCCAAGTAGCTGGGATTACAGGTGCCCACCACCACGCCTGGCTAATTTGTGTATTTTTAGTAGAGACCGGGTTTCACCATGTTGGCCAGGCTGGTCTTGATCTCCTGACCTCAGGTGATCTGTCCACCTTGGCCTTCCAAAGTGCTGAGATAACAGTCGTGAGCCACCGTGCCTGGCCAAGGGCCTCCCTCTCTAGGGGGCAGAAGGGCTGGGGCCTGTGCGCCCCCCAGCATGTTCCCACTCCATGACAGGCCCTCCCTCCAGGGAAGATCTTCAGTGCCCAGGGAGGGCTGATCTGCGCAGAGCCTTCCATGCTCCCTGCCACAGCTTCCCCGCACTGGGCTCCAGGGGTCCGGTGAGCACCTGGCACCCAATTCTCCCCAGGACGCCCACAGGCTCTCCCTCCAGCGGGGCTCCCTGACGCTTCGGACACCTGCTTTTATTAAAAATAGTCTGCCTTTAGTTTTTTAAAAATATTTTATTTTATTTTATGTTTTTTGAGATGGAGTCTCGCTCTGTCACCCAGGCTGGAGTGCAGTGGCGCGATCTCGGCTCACTGCAAGCTCCGCCTCCCAGGTTCATTCCATTCTCCTGCCTCAGCCTCCCAAGTAGCTGGGACTACAGGAGCCTGCCACCATGCCCGGCTAATTTTTTTGTATTTTTAGTCTAGACGGGGTTTCAGCGTGTTAGCCAGGATGGTCTCGATCTCCTGACCTCGTGATCTGCCCGTCTTGGCCTCCCAAAGTGCTGGGATTACAGGCATGAGCCACCATGCCCAGCCGCCTTTAGTTTTCAATTAAAAATTGTAATGAGGTCATTGTCGATTCACATATGGTTGTAAGAAATAACAGAGAGACATTCATTATATGCTTCGCTCGGTTTCTTCCAAGGGTAACCTTTTCTTTCTTTCTTTTTTTTTTTTTTTTGAGATGGAGTCTCACTCTGTTGCCTAGGCTGGAGTGCAGTGGCATGATCTCAGCTAACTGCAGCCTTTGCCTCCTGGGTTCAAGCTATTCTCCTGCCTCAGCCTCCCAAGTAGCTGGGATTACAGGTGCCTGCCACCACGCCTGGCTAATTTTTTTTTTTTTTTTGTATTTTTAGTAGAGATAGGGTTTCACTACATTGGCCAGGCTGGTCTTGAACTCCTGACCTCAGGTGATCCACTGGCCTTGGCCTCCCAAAGTGCTGGGATTACAGGCGTGCGCTACCGTGCCCAACCCAAGGCTATCATTTTGCATAACTTGGTGCAATATTACACCCTCCGCTGTGGGGAGGGGCATCTGGGAGCCCCTGTGGCCACTCATTGGTTCTCTCCATTTCCAGAATTGTGGCTGCAGGGAGCTGTGCAGAGGAAGTTGTCCTGGAGGCCGCCTGTTGAGAGGCCACTTTCACTCCGGAGAGTCTCTGTAGTTCCCCCTGGCGGCTATGCCATTCAGCGGCACCGCCTTCCTGTGGCTGGGCTGTCTCCCCTGGTGCCCATGGAACCAGCTGAACCCTTTGCCATTGAAGGACATCTGGGCTGCTTCCCAGGTTTTGCCTAAAACAAGTAAAGCTGCTGTGAACACTCATGAGCAGGTTTTTGTATGAACATGACTTTCATTTCTCTGGGGCGCATCAGGGGGTCGTGGGAGTTGCGTGTCTAGTTTGATAAGAAACAGCCAAGCTGTCTTCCAGAGCGGCTGCTCCATCGTCCACTCCCAGCAGCAGCAGGTAGGTGACCCAGCTTCTCTGCCTCCCCATCAACATGTGGGGTGGTCATGGTTTATTTATTTATTTATTTGATTTATTTTTATTTTTTCAGATGGAGCGTCTCTCTGTCACTCAGGCTGGAGTGCAATGGTGTGATCTCGGCTCACTGCATAATCCACCTTCTGGGTTCAAGCAATTCTTCTGCCTTAGCTTTCTGAGTAGCTGGGATTACAGGAGCGCACAACCACACCTGGCTGATTTTTATATTTTTAGTAGAGACAGGGTTTCACCATGTTGGCCAGACTGGTCTCAAACTCCTGACCTCAAGTGATCCTCCTGCTTTGGCCTCCCAAAGTGCTGGTATTACAGGCTTGAGCCACCGCATCCAGCAACAGTTTATTTTTTATTTAGCCGTTCTGATAGGTGTATAATGAGATCTCACCGTGAATTTTTTGTTTGTTTAGAAACAGGGTTTGCTATGTTGCCCAGTCTGATCTTGAACTTTGGGGCTCAAGTGATACACCCCCCTCGGCCTCCCAAAGTCCTGGGATGACATGAGTGAGCCATCGCTGCAGCCTCACCGTGGTTCTAGTGTCGGAACGCTGAGGGTGCGTGGTGTCGAACATCTGTTCCTGTGCACGTTTGCCTTCTGCGTGTCCTCGTCAGGGAAATAGCTCTTTACGTCGTTTGTCCATGTTGTAAGTGGGTTGTTTTTGTGCTGTTGAATTTTGAGATACGTTGTGAATAGATCGTAGATTCCAGTCCATTGTCCGCTATGCAGTTTGCAAACATTTTCTCCCAGTCTGTAGTTTGTCTTTCCTTCCTCTTCCCTGGGTCTTTTGTGGAGAAGTTTTTATGTCGAGGAGGTTGTCCTCTGCTGGGTTCCTACCCTCCTCTTGTTCATGGGATGCCCCAGCCGGGAGCTGGGTCCAGGCTTCCTGCACCACCAAAGCGGCAGTGAAAGGGCTCACCCCCGTGAGGTCTCTGCTGCTGGAAGCCTGAGTGTCAGGCAGCGCTCCCACCTCCTGATGTCTGGAAGCCCCTGCACCCCGCGGTATCCAGCATGGAACTAGCTGAACCCCCTTCCCCTCCCACCTGCAGACCCTAGAGGGCAGGAAGCCTTGGCTGTGCCCTGGTCTGAGGCCAGCCTGAAGGTGCATGACCTGCTTCCATGACAGGAGCTGGGGACGCCTCTCTCCTCTGGAAAGGTCCCAATACGGGCATCTCCTGTCAGGGACCTGGGTGCAGGAGCGGTGGCCTCGCCCTGCTTCCTGCAGAGCTGACCCATCCCGGTGACCATTAGCTTCTGCAGACCTCAGTGGTCTCAGGAAAGCGTCCCTAGGGTCTGCCTGGGACCGAAGGCAGAGGTTCCTTCCTTAGGAATTTCCTGCTTTGGGGACACTGCCTCCTTCTCCAGCGAGTTCCCACAGACTAGAACAAGGAGCCGGAGGCCCAGCAGTGGATGCCCGCTTCCTGTCCTGGGGGACAGGAAATCCCCAGGAAGATATCAGATTAAAGCAGATCCCCACATTCTGTCACCTTCCTCTGGGTGAGTGGAGAAGGAGCAGGTGACCCCGGGGAATGGGCGCGGGCTTGGGACATACTTGGTCTGAGCAGGTGACCCGGGAAATGGTGCGTGGGCACGGGACGCACTCGGTCTGGACACGCGACCCAGGGGACGGGGCGTGGGCACGGGACGCACTCGGTCTGGACAGGCGACCCGGGGGACGGGGCGTGGGCACGGGACGCACTCGGTCTGGACAGGCGACCCGGGGGACGGGGCGTGGGCACGGGACGCACTCGGTCTGGACAGGCGACCCGGGGGACGGGGCGTGGGCACGGGACGCACTCGGTCTGGAGGCTGCCATGCTGGAGAGGAGGAGCCCTCAGGGTCTGTGTGGAAGAGGGAGGCAGGCCCTCCCAGACCCATCTAACAGACTCGAGCAGGGTCAGCATGCTGGGCAGGTCCCCCTCCTCTATCCCTGGAGCCAGGCCCAAGTGCCCCTCACTCCAGCTGCAGGTCACGGCCGCCCTGAGCCAGGAGGAAACAGGGTGTTCTCACTGCACTTGCTCCTGGGTCAGGGGCGGTTCAGGGTCACAGGGGCCGGTGCAGGGTCACAGGGGCCAGATGGTGGCCCCAGGGCTGGGTTCTGGGTGGGTGGTGAGCCAGCTGGGGGTGGGGCTCGGTCCCCGTGGGTTTGCTGGTCCCTCCCTATTAAGGGTGCGTAGGTGTGGCAGGGGTGTGTGTGAGAAGCCGGGCCTCGGGCAGACCCCATGCCGGAGGAGGGTCCGAAACACTGTGGGGGGTGGGGACAAGCAAGGAACCAGAACCCGGCTTGGGAAACAGACTGCAATGAGGCAGGGCAGGGGTCGCCCAGCACATGCCAGGGTGTGGCGGCCGAAGGTCAGAAAATCTCCACACCAGTCCCGTGAGATGGGCTTGGTTTTTCCCAGTGTCGTGGACGAGAGACCCGAACACAGAGCGGCTAAATGGCCAGCCTGAGACGGCACAGCTGGCAGGCAGCAGGTCCACACTCCGGTCCCAGTGGGATCTCACTCCAGGCCACACAGGTCCCTTTCTCACCTCGGGGCCCACACAGAGGCGTTGCCCCAGGCTCCAGGCCCCGGAGGTTTCCAGGGAGGGGTGCTCTCTGGACGGGCCCAAGCCCCTGCAGGTGTCGGGGCTGAGAGGCGTGGCCTGGAAGGTCACCAAGGACTGGGGCCTGTGCCTGGACGGCACTCAGAGCAACAGCGAACAGGAGGCACGGGGGCTTGGGAGGAAGCCAGGAGCAGGGTCCGACCACAGAAGGGGTGCATGTCGACTGAGCACCCGCCCCGGGCTCCAGATGCCTTCGAGGGCTCCCTCCATGATCCCACCCAGGGCCCACTGGGAAAGGAAGTGCCCTCCTCATCTACCTGTGCAGGTAGCCTTGGCCACCAGGACAGAAAGGGAAGCAGCAGGATCTGAACCTGTTCTCCCCCCCGCCTCCCTCTCCCCCCCGCCTCCCTCTCCCGCAGGCACCAACACTGGGCACAGGCTGCTACGCTCCAGAGGGGCAGGGAACCCACCGCAGCCCCTGGCGCCCTGAGTGCTCCTTGTGGAAGGGGAGGCAGGTTATGATGGAACGGGAGTACAGAGAGGAGCCCAGCCCACGAGGACCCAGGTGGTCAGGCCTGCAGAACAAGGCGATATTTGGATTTAAACGACAAAGGAGGCCGGGTGTGGTGGCTCACGCCTGTAATCCCAGCTACTTGGGAGGCTGAGGTGGGAGGATCGTTTGAGCACGGGAGTTGCTGATGAGCCTGGGAAACATAGTGAGACCCCATCTCTACCAAAAATAAATAAATTAGCCAGGCATGGTGGCACATGCCTGTGGGCCCAGCTACTCAGGAGGCTGAGGTGGGAGGATCGCTTGAGCCCAGGAGGGTGAGGCTGCAGTGAGCTATGATTGCACCACTGCACTCTAGCTGGGGTGACAGAGTGAGACCCTGTTTCATAAATAGATAAATAAATGGGAGTTTGCTGGGAAGGTGGCCTGGGAGGAAACAGCAAGTGCTGAGGAAACAGCAGCGCAGGGCAGGGGTGGGGCCCAGGGCAGGGGTGGGGCCCAGGTATTCTGGTGCCACTGGGCCAGGTCCCATGGGTCCAGCAGGGGATGGAGCCTGAGGTCAGACCTGGGTGCCGGTGGTCCTGCTGCTGGCCAGGTCGTGGTGACAGCTGAGTCTGGAGGAGGCAGAGGCACCATATGGAATTAACTAGAAGCTCAGGTCAGTGGCGCGTGGTGCTCGCCGGCACTGTCCGTGGTTCTGAAGGAGACCGAGTGGGTAGGCATGTCTTGCCTGGGGTGCAGAGGGTCCTGGAGTCTTGTGGGGCTCAGACACAAGGTCAGAGCCCAGGTGCCAGCAGGCAACCTCTGGCCTGGCTGTTAGGTGGCCTGGGGCTGACCCCACACTCATTCCTGTCATATCGCTCATCCTCACATCCTCCCAGGCATGACGGCACTTCTCTCATGGCACTGGCCTCTCTGTGCCAGCACAGTCACCTCCATAAATTAAAATCCTGTGGATGCAAAGTCACACACAGCCCCTTCCTCTCTGCAGATTCTCTTTCACTGCAGTCTCTGTCTCTTTCTTTTATTTATTTATTTTTAATTTTAATTTAATTTAATTTTATTTTTTTGAGAGGGTCTCAGTCTGTTGCCCAGGCTGGAGTGCAGTGGTGCAATCCTCACTCAGTGCAGCTTCAACCTCCTGGGCTCAATCGATCCTCCCACTTCAGCCTCCTGAGTAGCTGGAACTACAGGCCTGCGCCACTATGCTCGGCTAATTTTTTTTTTTATTTTGTAGAAATGGTGTCTCACTATGTTGCCCAGGCTGGTCTGGAACTCCCAGGCTCAAGTGGTCCTCCTGCCTTGGCCTCTCAAAGTGCTGGGATTACACGTGTGAGCCACCACGCCCGGCCACTGCAGTCTTAACAACAACTTCAGAACCTTCTTCAGAGAGCTGTGCCTGCACCGGCCTGCCCTTCAGGAGCTTCCCACCAACTGGGACACTGGGCAGGACCCCAGGCGGCAGCAACATAAAACTGTGAGCTGATGGGTGCAGGACAGAAGGAGCCTGGGGGTCAGAGAAGGATGGAGAGGGCAGGGCAGTCAGGATGCTCACTGGAGGACAGAGGAAGCAGGCAGAGCCCAGAATTTGGAAAACCCTGGGAGAGGCAGCCCTGTGCTCCGGAGCCGAGAAAGCTCCTTGAATCCTGGCTCCAACAGGTCTCCTCACAGCCTCCGCATTTTGCAGAATGGAGTGCAACAGCAACCTCACAAGTTGTGTGGGATTGCATGAGACCGTCACAAAGACCCAGCCTGGGCCTGGGACGGGGGAGCCAAGGTGAGGGGTGCTAAGTCCATACAACGATGGGGCAGGAGCGTGCTGCGGGGCGGGGCACTGGCCTGCAAGTTGGGGGCCCCCACGTCGTGTTGTGAGGAAAGTTGCATCACTTGTGCAACCTTTGTGAAAACAAAAAGCTGAGTCCTTTCCTCTGCCTGGGCCTCAGTTTCCTCATTCAGAACAGGAGGGGCTTTTGGGTCAGGAAGGTCTAAAGCATGGGGCTTGGGCTGGGGAGAGAAGTCCAGGGCAGAGGTGGGGCTGGAGTATGGAAAGGCCCTCGGGGCCCTTCATACATATTCCCAAAGCACCCAGGAGGGACTTCAGGGGGACCAACTGCATGTGGGGAGGCGCAGGATGCAGGGGGCCAGGCAGCTGGGCACCCCCTCCTCCAGGCAGGCCTCCCTGTACCACACGGCTGTCTCCGCTTGTGCCTGTGTTTACCAGCCTGGGCTTTGTGGGGTCTGGGATGTTCTCACTAAGATGCGTCTCCCCCAGCCCCAGCCCCACTTCCCACATAGTGCCTGGCACAGAGTTCTGGGAAGGTTTGTGGAATGAACCCGGGAATGACTCACGGGCACCGCAGTAGGGGAAGCTGGGGGCAAGGGGGGCCTCCCTCAGGGCCATGCTGTCTCCTACCACCACCTCCTTGCTCCTGCGGCTGACATCCCAGATCCCGGACCTGGGCGCCCACTCACCTTGGTCCAGCATGGAGCACCCTGCCCAGCACCCCAAGGCCTGCTGGGCTGCGGGGGGCTCCCAGTCTCTCCTGGAAGCCCCACCCCTTCCCAGTTGCTTCTGCGCTGCCTTCCCGCCCTTCTTTCCCTGACTTCAGTGCTCAGTGGAGCGTCACCTCCCTGGAGGCCTCCTGCAAGCCCCAGACAGGAGAGCAGGGGCCTAGTTGCTGTGGGGATTCAGCCACATACATCTTTTCTTTTATTGACATTGACTCTTCATTACAGAATTAGCATGCCTGCCGAGAAGATCCAAATGAAAGAGCAGTACCTCAAGTGAGAAGCAGCGCCCTCCCCACTGCTGTCTCTGAAAGCAATTCCCAGGAGTTTGCTCCCGCTTCCAGACAGTTTTCTCTGCCTATGCAAAAGCACATGTTGAAAACAACAATTTGTTAAAAAAAAAAAAAAAAAAAAAAAGGACTGAGCCTGGTCGCTCATGCCTGTAATCCCAGCACTTTGGGAGGTGAGACAGGAGGATCACCTGAGGTCAGGAGTTCGAGACCAGCCTGGCCAACAGGGTAAAACCCCAACTCTACCAAAAAACAAAAAAACAAAAATTAGCCCGGCGTGTTGGTGCACGCCTGTAGTCCCAGCTACTCGGGAGGCTGAGGCAGGAGACTTGCTTGAACCCAGAAGGCAGAGGTTGCAGTGACCCGAGGTCACGCCACTGCACTCAGCCTGCGTAACAGAGAGAGACTCCGTCTCAAAAAAAAAAAAAGAAAAAGAAAAAAAAGAAAAAAAAAACACTAACTTGTAACCGGCAGGGTTGCTGCATGAGTTTCTTTCCCTCTGTGAGGCTGTTCTTGAGTGTAAGTGAGCCAGTGTGGCCAGGAGGGTGACAAGAAGCAGTGTGCACCTTGCTGTCACCTGGACTTAGAGATTCTGGAGGGGACAGTCCAGGGCTGGTGGGAAATGACACTGAGGCAGCAAGAGGGGGTCCCAAGATCTGTTAAAATCTCTGCAGGACATCACCGTACCCTGTACAGCTGGGGAGGCTGAGGCCGGTGGCGAGGAACCATCTCCCTTCTCAGGGGGCTTACCACAACGGCAGTGCTTCCTCACGTCACTCCACCGACCTCAAGGATATCAAAGCCAAGCTCCTTCTACAGAGCAGAAATAAAGACTGTTACTAGTGATAAGTGCCAGCGCCACTGAGGTTTGAAAGGCCCCTAGCTGGTTTCCGTCACAGACCATCCAAGCTGCTGAAATGCACGCTGCTCCAGATGGCCATGACCTGATCCCAGCAAAAACGCAGGAGACAAAGCTGTGCGCGGAGTTTGTCCAGAATGAAACAGTCATTCGATAAACTAGATAAAAGACTCCAAAACATGGACAAGGAAAAAAACCTGGCATAAATCAGTTGGTTGGTGGTGTGTAGGTCATTGTCATTACTTTCTAAGTTTTCTACAAGAATTACCTGGAGGCTTCATCTACAAGATAATGTAATGGGCAGAAGGGTCTGGCCACCCGTGGCTTGTAGAAGGAAGCCAAAATAGTAACGAGGTGTGATGGAGAATGAGACTTTATTATCCGTCGTAGCAGAAAGCAATTCCACTCTTCCATTTGTGGAGGGAACGCAGGGGGATTTTCTTTTTCTGTTTTTTGAGACAGGCTTTTGCTTTTGTGGCCCAGGCTGGAGTGCAGTGATTCATCTCGGCTCACTGCAACCTCCGCCTCCCAGGTTCAAGCGATTCTCCTGCCTCAGCCTCCCAGGTAGTTGGGATTACAGGCGTTCGCCACCATGCCCAGCTAATTTTTGCATTTTTAGTAGAGATGAGGTTTCACCATGTTGGTCAGGCTGATCTTGAACGCCTGACCTCAGATGATCCACCTGCCTCGGCCTCCCAAAGTGCTGGGATTATAGGCGTGAGCCACCGCACCCTGCCACGCAGGGGATTTTAAAGAGAGGGTTTGCAGAAAAGGCTGGGGGGTGAGGAGGTGCCAGGTGCATGACCCACTCCCGTGGCTTGTCTTGAATTGTTGTTCCTTCTGGTGCAGGGGCCAGCGTGGCTTCTACCAGGTTATAAACTAATTGTTGTCAATCTTGTTGTCAGTCTCTAGACGGGAGTGGGTTCCTGCCTTGAAGTAACCTTTTGCTGGAGAGAGAATTCCAGAGGTGTCTGGTCTGTGTCAGGATCTGACCCTTGAAGGTTTTAAGGAAACAGATGACCAGATTGGTGAGCATAGTGCGCGCCTAACAACCTTCCACGTAAATAAGTGTGCATGAGGCCTGGAGCACAGAACAGGAAAAGAGAGCGGAGGTCACAGCACATTCCGAGGCTGTAAAGTTTATCTCCAGAGCTATGGCTTGAAACTGGGGAGAAAGGAGAAGAGGGGAAATAAAAAGAAGTTTTAAAACGCGGTTTGAGGTGAAGCTGCTAAGCGGCTTGGCTGCAAGAACCTTGGCTTCCACACCCTCCTGCACCCCTCTTAGCTTGACTCTAGCTGATTTCAACTCTTCAGGCAGAGCTTGACCCCTCCAGCCAATGGTCAATCAGGGAAGCTTTCCACCTGTGGCCTGGAAGCCCCTGCTTCCAAATGTCCCATCTTTCTGGGCCAAACCAGGATATACATTACGTGTGCTGATTTGTGGCCTTGCCTGTAACTTCTGTCTCCCTAAAAGGTATAAAATCAAGCTGTACCCCAATCACCTTGAGCATATGCTCTCAGGATGTCCTAAGGCTGTGTCAAGGGTCACAATCCTTAACCTTAGCAAAATAAACCTCTAAATTGATTGAGACCCATCTCAGGCACTTTTGGCTTACAAGGGGCAGCTCCAGCTCAGGGGTAGGGGATTTCTGGCCACAGTCTAGTTACTGTCACAAATATGGGGCAAGTTCCAGGGAAAACTGACTCCAAGGATCCTGAAGGAGCGAGGATGCCAGCACCAGCCCTGGGGTGCGCCCCCAGAGCCTCAAGGAAAGGAAGGGCCTGACCACTGGGGCTCCTGGGTCCCAGGGTTCCCAGGTTGTAGGTTGGTTTGCCAGTTACCTTAGTTACCAGAAAGGGGTCCCAATCTAGACCCTAAGAGAGGGTTCTTGGATCTTGTGCAAGAAATAATTCAGGTTGAATCCACAGAAAGCAAGTTTATTGAGAAAGTAAAGGAATAAAACAATGGCTACTCTGTAGACAGAGCAGGGAGTTCCTGAAAGCAAGAGGAGGAAGGGGCCCACCTCAGGTGTAGTGGGAGTTTCTATGTGAGACAAGAAAGCCAAAAAATCACGGGGGAGGTTGCTCCGCTGCCGGGGCTCCTGACAAAGGATTGTTTATCTTTGTGTAACTACTGTCTAGCAAGAATCTATGTTACTATGTTCAAAGCGAAACTCATTCTTAAGCTAAGAATGCTTTTGTTCCTAAGAGATCGGACATCAGGACATTATTTCCTGGGTCTTTTTGGTAAACATTATTCACTTGTTCCCTTAACTGTAATATCTGGTGACTGAACGCCCAAGGTCCTGGAACCCAGCTGGTCTCAGCCTCATTTCACTCAGCCCCTATTCAGGATGGAGTCGCTCTGTTGGAAGGGCCGTGACACCTTCATGCCGCCAGGAACACCAGGGGCTTGCTGAGTAGATGGTGACGTGTGCACAGAGCACGGCGGAGAGCTGCAGGGCCTTCTCACCCGGGACCTGGAAGGCGTGGCTGCCACTCGGAGCTGCCAAAGTGCTCAGGCGATGGTCCCTGGGGAACCCACATGGACGCTGCACAGAGAACAGGACAGAGTCCCCCTGGGGACACAGGCCAGGGGCAGGGGACAGAGGCTGAAGGGGGGCACAGAGGCACGGGGTTGGGGGGAAGAGGTCCAGGGTGGGGGTCAGTGGCTGGGGACGGTGGAAACAGAGGCCCAGGAGAGGGGCCTGGAGTAGGGTGCAGAGCCCAGGGTTGGGGAGAGGCCGGGGGCAGGGGACAGAGGCTGGGTGCGGAGGTCGGCAGCTCCTCGGGTCGCCCTCGGCTGGGGAGGACCGGCTGTTGGTGGCCCTTGGTGGCTCCAGGGCAGGGCCGGTGGAGGGGGCGGGACCCTAGCACCAGGCCTAACCCCTGCCCCAGGTGGCTCCGGGTCTGGTCTGGTTGTGACCCGCGCTCCCCAGACGGCAGGCGGCGCGGTGACCGGGCTGGAGGCCGTGTTCTGGAGGCATCTCTGCATCCCCTCCTCCTACCCAGTCTCCTGCGGGCTGACCAGGTTCCCTTGGAAGCTACCGGAAGCTCCTGGGCCAGCTTCCCCTTTACAGAAGAGGACGAGGCCTGGAGGGGCAGGAGCAGGTCTCCAGGCCCGGGACCACCTGGACAGGACCCCTCCGCCCACGCAGGCCTGGCCGCACCCCCGGCCCTCCCCAGGGGCATCGGGGGAGTCTAACGCACTGGCCGCCTCCCCCGGTGCCCCGTACCCATCCGAGCTGTGGCCTGCGGTGAGTGGTCTGATGGCGGAGACCCCCGGGCCCTTTTGCCAGAAGCAGACTCTGGTTGATGGTGCAATTCTAGGGCCACCACGGATGAACATGAAGGGCAGTGCTCCCTGACTCCCTGCGGCTTAAGCAGGGTCTCCCCGACAGCATGGCCAGGCCCTGCTCACTCATCCCTGGCTCGTTCAGGGGTTCCCCGCAGTCACCTGCCTCCACAGTTCTCTTTACGGGAGCAAAATGAAACTTCTATTTTAAAGTTGCAATGACAGGATTTTCGGTTCCTGTACCTTGCTACTGAAAGCACTGGGGCCTGATCCAGACCTCGGGCTGACCGGCTCAGGCGCCGAGAGGCTTCCCCTCCCACTCGGAGTGCTGGATGCCCCTGCTGGCCCCGGAGCTCCGGGAAGGGCTGAGGGCCAGGGAGGAAGGACGCCGCCACGCCTTTGGTAGGATGACATCCAGCCGAGGTTTTGCCCCCTTCCCTTCATCTTGTTTCTCAGATGCTGGGTCTCTTCACGGGGAGGTGGAGTTTGTGTTTCCTGAAGCAGTGGTCCGGAGCCAAGGCCCGGGGAGTTAGAAGCTGCGAGAGGTTTCGGGGAGGGGCGTGGCAGGGTTCCCTTTCCCTGGGTTCCTGGGCTCCCTAGCCTGAGGCAGGGGGCAGGAGCCTGAGGCGCTGCAGGGTCAAGGCAGAGCGGTGGCTGCGCAAGCCAGGGCTCCAGGGGAGGCTGACCTGTGGCCTTCAGAGCCCAGAGGGGAGAGAAGGGGAAGGGGGAGCTGGCTTTTGCCCAGGGCGTGGTGTGACTTGCAGTGCATTCCAGAGCCTGCTGGGGACACCACTGAGTCACCGGATCCTGGGCTCAGAGGATCACCAGGGGCAGAGGCAGGGCTGAGGGAGAGTTGGCCTCGGAGGCGAGCTTCTCCAGCCGCCTCCTCCCCTGCTCCTCCTCTGCGCAGACGTCATTATTAAGTCCAATGAATTAAGAGACAAAAAGCCGAACGTGTTAGGAATGAACTCCACTCCTGGATGCCCGTTTCCAAGGCAACGTTGGCTCCATCCTCCAGAGAGTGGGTGCCGGAGCAGTGCCTGCTGGCCCCAGTCCCTAAGGAGGAGGAAAGGGATGGATCTGGTGGGTTCTGGGGAGGATCTCCAGGGTGCTAGGCAGAGTCCTGCTCTCACGGTCTCTCCTGCACTCCCTCGGCTCTGCCACACCCAGGTCTCCCCCACCCACGTATCTGAGTCCACCTGTCCCCGAATGGCTGGCGGGCAGAGGTTGGGGGCCCAGTCCCGGGGGTGTCAGACGCCCCTTGTGTCCTCGTGTGTCCTTATGTGGGAGTGGCCAGAGCTCATGGTGGAGGGAGGCGTGGTTAAGGTTTGTCCGATGAGTTGAGCCAGGAGGGAGGTGTGGTTAGGGTCTGTCCCATGAGTTGAGTCAGGAGGGAGGCGTGGTTAGGGTTTGTCCCATGAGTTGAGTCAGGAGGGAGGCGTGGTTAGGGTTTGTCCGATGAGTTGAGTCAGGAGGGAGGTGTGGTTAGGGTCTGTCCCATGAGTTGAGTCAGGAGGGAGGCGTGGTTAAGGTTTGTCCGATGAGTTGAGTCAGGAGGGAGGCGTGGTTAGGGTCTGTCCCATGAGTTGAGTCAGGAGGGAGGCGTGGTTAGGGTTTGTCCCATGAGTGAGTCAGGCACTGCACCCTGGTCTTGGTCAGTTTTGATGGCGGGGAGACCTGGGTGTGGGCAGACCCAAGGGGTGCGGGAGAGACAGAGTGAGAACAAGCCTCTGCCCGGCTTCTCGTGATGAGCACAGGCGAAGGGGTCTGAATTCTTCTGGGGCAGGAAGAGACCACTGTGGGACTGACTTCTGGACTGTGGCCACCAGGGGCCCGGCAAGGCCTCCTTCCTGGGACTGTGGCCCCCTTGAGCCAGGGAGCTGGGCTTTATCCTCCCCAGGACCGTGGCTTCCAGAGCACAGCTAGTCTCGGAGCAGGTGTCCAGGGAAGGGCTGATGTGGGCTCAGGAAAGGTCTTTGACATACCCAGGTTCAAATCCTCAAGCCTGTGAATGTGCCTTCTATGGCAAAAGGGACTTTGCAGCCATGAGGAAGCGGAGGATCTGAGATGGGAGATGGCTCCGGATTCTCCAGGCGAGTCCTAACTGTGGTCACAGGATCCCTGTAAGAAGGAGGCCGAGGGAGAGCTGACTCGGGAAGCTGGTGAGGGAGCAGTGGTTGGAGCGGCTTCGAAGGTGGAGGAAGGGCCATGAGCCAAGGAGAGCAGGTGGCCTCTTGAAGCTGAGAGGGCGGGGGTGGATTCTCTCCCAAGAAAACGCAGCCCAGCCAGAGCCCTGACGTGAACTTCTGACCTCCAGAGCCACAGCATGAACTTGTGTTAAGTCACTAGGTTCGTGGTGATTTGTTATGGCAGCCCTGGGAAACTGGTACAGAGGGACATGGGTTCTTGGGCCAGGGCCCTGCCCCCTCCCTGCCCAGACCCCGCCCCCTCCCTGCCCAGCCCCCCAGCCCCCAGTCTCCCTGCTGCTGGGCTGGATGAGAAAGGGAGGTCCCTCTATGTTCACTCTTGAGACTGACAGCATGCGTTGGGCTCTGAGACGGGGCCCAGGGTGTCTTGGCTGTGACCATCCGCCCGTTGGCACCGCTGACTTGCCTGGCTCAGACTCGACTTGGCCTGGGAATCTGGCTGGCTCTTGGCTGGCATCCAGCTCCTCCCCAGCTGAGGCGTCCTGGAGCCTGGGACACCTCTGGGAAGCTGGGTGCGGTTGGCAGGAAGCCCGGGGACTGGATCCTGGATCTGTACCGCCCAGCTGTGTGACCTTGAGCTCGAGCCTCATGTCGCAGCTGCAGGCTTTCGTACCTCGGGGGGCTGTGACAGGGCCCACCGTAGACAGCTAAGCACGATACCCTCTCTTCCTGCTCAGAGCCTGAGTGGGTGCCAGGAGAAAGCCCTCTGTGAGCTGCTGGGAGTGGTGTTGGGGATGGTGTGAGGTGGTGTTGGGGTGGTGGTGGGGGTGGTGTGGGGGTGGTGTGGGGGTGGTGTTGGGGGTGGTGTTGGGGGTGGTGTTGGGGGTGGTGTTGGGGTGGTGTGGGGGTGGTGTTGGGGGTGGTGTTGGGGTGGTGTGGGGGTGGTGTTGGGGGTGGTGTGGGGGTGGTGTTGGGCCTTGTGGTGGGTGGTGGTGGGTGGTGTGGGGGCGGTGTTGGGTGGTGTGGGGGTGGTGTGGGGTGGTGTTGGGTGGTGTTGGGGGTGGTGTTGGGGGTGGTGTGGGGGGTGGAGTTGTGGGTGGTGTTGGGGCTTGTGGTGGGTGGTGGTGGGTGGTGTGGGGGTGGTGTTGGGTGGTGTTGGGGGTGGTGTTGAGGGGGTGTGGGGGTGGTGTGGGGATGGGTACTGGCTGATGGGCTTCTCTGTTCTTGTATTGGCCCCTCTCTGGCTTCTATAGCTGCGGAGACACTCACAGCTCCCGTGCCTTTGGGCAGGTCAGGTGAGAGCCCCAGGAGAGTCTGACTGGGCTTTCTGCTTCCTCAGGGGCAAGGATGAGGGACCCAGCTGCTGGCAGGGCCCAGGACCCTGGGAGAAGAGACAGGACCCCAAGGCTGGGGCAGGCCCTACAGCCAGTGGCTTCAGACTGCACGCCAGGAGGTGGTGTGGGCCGGGAGGGGTGGGGGTCTGTCCACTCAGAGCTGTGCAGGGCTTTAAGGCATCAGTTTGAAGGAAGCATTTGGCGAACTCAGGTTACGTCGCCCAGTGTTTCTAAGTCGGGTGTGGTTAACGAGGTTTCTTTGGATCATGAGGGTCTGGGGCTGGCTCAGGTGGGGCATGTGCTATGTTCACACATACAGATGGCAAGTGAAGAGTGGGGTCATGAGAAGTGTCCTGATGGCCACAGCTCCCATTTGTCGAGCACTTGCTCTCTGCCAGGCACGGGGCTGTAAGCCCTGACACGTGGTGCTCCAGCACTCTGGAGGATCCTCACTGTAGCCCACAAGGAGGGCTCTCCTAGGACTCCCGCTGGACGGAGCCAAGTGAGAGGTGAAGGGGCTTCCAGGGTCATGGAGCTGGGGAGGGCTGGGCCTTAGATTCGAAGCAGGCAGCCTGACCCCTGCACTGTGCTCCAGTGGGGCTGTAGGCGTGCGTGTTCGTGTGCACACATGTGCATGTGTCAGTGTGAAAATGCAAGTAACAGACACCCCAAATAACTAGCTTCAACACAGCAGAAATTTATTTCCCACCCAGGTAAGGGGACCCTGAGGTAGGCAGTGACTTCTGTCGGCAGCGAGCTAGGCCCCTCTCACCAGGCTGCCCTACCGTGCTCAGTGCTGCCTCATGGTGCAAAGTGGTTGCTGAGCTCCAGTCATCACTTCAGCCAGCAGAAGGAGGAAGGAGAAGGAGAAAGACGTGACCCCACCATCTAGGGCATTTGCCTTCCGACCCCCCAGCTAGGCATTGTGTGTTTTATTAATAAGGAAAAGAAGAGAACAGTTAGCGGAGGCCTCCCGCTGTCCACCAGGATGAACTTGGCAGGCCGGACAGGACTCTGGGCTTCCCAGTTAATGGAGTGTTGAACTGGTGGGGATCTAGGGGTTCTTTAAGTCTCACTCTGTACTTCTCAGAAGGGGAAACTGATACCCAAGTCAGTGGCTGAGCTGTGGCCCAGGCTCGGCCTCTGCCTGCTGTCCCAGAGCTCTGTCCTGGCACCAGCTACTGGTGAAGGCAGAGCTTGCAGCAGTCACAGCCCTGCCAGAGGACACCCTGGGGACCCCCCTGTAATGGGCCACCCACCTTCCCGGCTCTGCTACCCAGTCCTGCTTCCTCTGCAGGAAGCTGCAGGCCCATTCTGCCCCCTCCCTGGCACAGGGTAGCCTGTCTGACACCCCCAGATCCATCCATGACACCCACTAGGCTGAGGGCTTGGGGACTGGAGTCTAGAGGGCAGGCCAGGATGAGGCTGGAAAAATTCCATCTCATCTACTCCTCTCCTTTCATCAACTCCACCCCTCCACTGCTCTAGCCTGCTTTAGCCTCTGCTAGAGCAGAGACAGGTATTCCCAGCCTCAGGCGCTGTCCTAAGCCCAGCAGGTACTGACCCTAGATGGTCACCTCAAGGTGACAGGCACCCACCCAGCATCTGGCCCTTCCCCATCCAAGGCTGCAAGTTCACTTTCCAAGCCAGGGTCTCCCATAGCGGTGCTCACGCCATAGCCAGACAGGCCCCGCTGGCCCCATCCTCTTCATACTTGGTGCCTGTCCCCCCAGCCCCCCCCCGCCCCGCCCCTCCGCATGTGGCCTCACCCCAACCCACCTCCCTGTGCCCTCTCATCCTCAGCGCGCCTCTCCCACTGTCCCGCCTCCCCCAGGCCCGTCTTTCCTGGGGGCGACGACAGCCTCCCTCCAAATCCCCTTCCCTCCAGACAGCGGAGAGGCCGACCTGGGGAAGGGCAGGGTGGGCCCGTGTGACCGCTGCAGATGGAGGAATTCCCATGGCAGAAGTTAAGGGTGAGGACTGGGTGTGGGGGCCCCCAGGTGTGTGGTGGGTATCATCTCTGCCTGGCTGTGCTGATGGGGATCCCCAGCCCCCATGAGGGCTGCAGGTCCTGGGGCGTGGCAGCCGAGGTCTGGACCCAGCGCCCACGTGCGGCAGTCTTGCTGCTCACAGGTGGTGGAGAAAGGACACCAAGGACACAGCCGGGAACTGAGGAAGCAACCGGGCCGGGGGGCCTGCGCTGGCTGGATCGCCCAAGACACTCCAAATCCATTCTCCAAAGCTGGTGCAGGGGCAGGAGGGGAAGGTACCAGACAGAGTGCTGGCAGGGCCGGGGGTGAGC
Source organism: Homo sapiens (assembly GCF_000001405.40). NCBI lineage: Eukaryota > Metazoa > Chordata > Mammalia > Primates > Hominidae > Homo > Homo sapiens. The sequence goes on along the minus strand of NC_000008.11, from coordinate 143,215,545 downwards.
CGGGTGGGGGTGGGGAGGGGCCGTGGGTCAGGGTCTCCTGGCCCCCATTGCTCCAAGGCCGGCAAGGAGGTTGAGCAGGAGGGCTGCGCCCACAGTTTCGGAGCTGCCCCGGGGGCCGCCTGCCCCCTTGCCTGTTGGGTCCTGGACTCGGGAGCTTTGCCAGGGTGGGACATTGCACAGGCTGGACTGGCAGCAGGTCATGGTCACCTGGGTCCCCTCCACCGTCTTGGTGATGGGCTGGCAGCTGTCTGTGCACCACGTGGAGTGGGTGGTCAGGAGGCCTGACTCTGGGAAGGGGAGTGGGGAACAAGTGCTGAGGATGGGCGGGGTCTCTGAGGTGGCTCTGCAGGGCTCTGTTCCGGGCCCCTGGCTTTCCCGCCGCCTGGGGGTGCATGTGCTGCGGCCCCACGCCCACTTACCGGTGTTCCCGTGGGCAATGAGGGTTGTGCAGGTCTGGCCATGTGAGCAGTTCTGCGTCAGGTTGCAGCGCTCGTCCCTGGGCAGGGACTTGCAGGTGTAGCACCGCAGCAGCACTGGGGACAAGGCGGGCTCAGGCCGAGGCCGGGCCCCCCAGGGTCTCCTCCCACGTCCCTGTCCACCTCCCCGTTCTCAGCTGTGCTCCCAAAGCCTAGCCTGGTGAGCCTCCAGCACCCACTGCTCAGATGGGCGGGCGACCCCTGACTTGGTCCTGTAAGCTGTGCTGTGTGCGTGAGCCTGTGTGTTTAGGGGGCAAGGGATTGCGGGTCAGGCAGGGCGAACTTCCCATCATCACTCACGTCCTGCGACAATGCTGCCCAGGCTCCTGCCGTGGTCACAGAAACCTGGAGGTGGGTCTGACTCAGTCCTGCCTCCAGGAGCACCAGGCCTGGCAGAGGAGGGCCTCACAGGGGACACCTCGTGGGTGTGTGGGGCAGGGCTCGTGCTGAGGGCAGGCTTGGGGCTCCTGGGAGGGGGGTGGGCTGTGTGTGGTGGGGCATGCTGGGGGCCCTGGCTAGGGAGGGGCTGTGTGTGGTGGGGCACGCTGTGGTCCCTGGCTAGGGAGGGGCCGGCCCTCGGGTTGGATGCGGCGATTTGCTCTGCTTTTCTCGGGATGGGAGAGAGCAGAGGGTGGCCCACGTGTAGGGGTGTGTCAGGTGGGCAGTGAGGGTGGGCTCTTCTTAGCCCTACTCTGCTCTGCTCTAAGCGGTTCCCTGGCTCCCCAGCCCGCAGCAGCCAATCCAGCCCTCCCCTGTACAGGACCGGCCCACCCTGCTGCTCTCTCTGCCCCACAAAACTGAACCCTACCCTGGGGCCTCTGTGCTTGTGTCTCCACCCTAGGCCCCCACTGAGCCCTTCTCTGCCTGGTGAACTCCTATTTAACCTCTACATCCTGGCACCACTGACCCTCCCAGCTGGTGGCTTCTTCCCCTGTTCCCTACTCTGGAAGGCAACTGAGTGTCATGGTGAGCAGCAGTGAGGGGTGTACTGAGTGTCCCCCACTCTGCTGGAGGCAAGCTCACAGCAGGACTGTGGCCTGCTGGCTTCCATCACACAGCCCCGCCCAGAATGCTCCAGGCAGATCAGGCAGCAGGGCTCTGGGGTTGGGGCGGCCATACCTCTGCTCCTGCCACCAGGGAGCCTGTTGGTCTCCTCCTCTTCCACCTCATCCTCATCTTCCTCGTCGTAGTCATCTGGCCCGTGGTCCTCGTCCTCTTCCTCTTCCTCCTGCTGTGTCTGCCCTCTCCCTGGCCGTGCAGGGATGCTTGTAAGCCTCAGCTACCCGGGTATGGAGGACACCTGCTCTGGGCAAGCATCGTGCCCCCAACTCCTTGGCCCTCCCCAGCCATCCTCGGGCCCCAGGGTGGCTGGGGAGGGCCCCTACCCTGAACACCCTACTCACCCTACTCACTGTCCTGCAGCCTACTCACCCTACTCACTGTCCTACTACCCTACTCACCCTACTCACTGTCCTGCAGCCGAGTGTGCCCTGGCATTGTAGTTACAACAGCAGCTGCTGTGGGCTGGCCCTTTATGGTAGCCCCTCCCCGCACCCCACATAAACAGGGGCGCAGATATTTGGGGACTCTCGGGGACCCAGGCCAGCTTCCATCCATGCTGCTCTGGGCTGGGGACTCCAGCCTCATCCCCTCCTTCTTCCTAAGCCCCTGCTGGGGGTCCCTGGAGGTCCCTGTGCTCCAGGACTGCTGTTGCTGCCCCCTCACCGCAGGGTTACCCTTTGCCCCGCACCTGGCCGCCCGAACAGCAAGAGGGCAAGCAGGACAGCCCCGAGCGCCTTCATCTCGCCGGACGCTGCTGTGTCCCTGACTCTGAGTCCTCCCGCAGGGCTCTGGAGCTGCGGTAAGTGGGATGAAGGGCATTGCCGTGGGCTTCCTAGTGGCCCCCACCAGCTCCAGCCTCAAACAATGGGCCTCACACTGGTCCCCAGCTCCAGGCGCCAGGCCAGGGACTGTTGTTTCCCTCCAGGACATCTGGGGCCAGAGGGGAAGGAGAAGTCATTGTGGTTGGCCTTGGAACGTCCTGTGCACCCGTGCCACGGCAGGTGGAAGGTGGTGCTGGCCCTCGCCTGGCTTGCCGCTCAGTGCCTCAGCCCTGCAGTGCAGGGCAGGGAGCCTCGCCCCGGAATGGGCCATGCCTGACACCCCTCAACCCCATGTCTGGGCTCCATAGTCACAGGACCTTGGGGTCACAGACCCTCTATTTGCTGGTCACTGGCCAAGCATCGTCATCCTAGAGTCAGCATCACACCCAGGCCCCTTTAAGAGCATTTAAGTAAAAACACAGTCAATGCCCTCAAGCTAAGGCTGCGTGCTCACCTCCTCCTCACCCACACTCAGCAATGCACTGCTAGGCCCAAGGCCTCCCGGCTGCCCCTCACTATCACCTCGGGTCTTTGCCCCTGCTGCTCCATCTGCAGTGCTGTTCCTGCTGGTGTCCGGTGGAGAGCTTTCTGGAGCTCTTGGGGGCCCGCCCCCTCGGTCTCTTGCTGGGAAAGCCATCAGCACCCACCTGCCTTCTGGCCTTGTGTGAGAGACGGGCTGCTCTGGGAGAGGCTTGGAAAGCCCAGGTCGCTCCCTGAGGCCACCCCCTCCTCTCAAGACCCCACCCAAGCCCTTGGGGGGTGCTGATGCAGAGTGCAGAGTCGAGGCTCTGAGCTGCCCCTCTCCCAAGGGCAGCAGAGGGGTGGGGCAGCGGCAGGGGCTGGACGTCCGGAGCCAGGGTCAAGCCTGAGCGTCTCTGTGTGCCTTGGTGCTTGGGCCAGGCACTTCACCTACTGAGGCCTCAGTTTCCCCGACTGTCAATGGGTGGGGTGGGGCATTTTCTGGCCGGCCACCTGTAACAGAGGTTGAGTTGGTTCTGGAGTGAGCTACCTGGGTTTAAGACCCGGTTCCTCCTTCCCCCGGCTGTGGGTTCTGGACTAGCCCCTTGGGTTCCCCAGGCCTCAGCTCCCTCATAGGGTGAGGTGACCATCAAGGGTCAGTACCTGCTGGGCTTAGGACAGCGCCTGAGGCTGGGAATACCTGTCTCTAATGTCCCAGCCACCGAGTCAACCATCCTTCCTTAATTCACCTGAACCTGTCATTCTTTCCACTCTACCGGCACCCACCCAGCATCTAGCCCTTCCCCAGCCAAGGCTGCAAGGTCACTTGCCAAGCCAGGGTCTCCCATAGTGGTGCCCACGCCACAGCCGGACACGCCCCGCCAGCCCCAAACTCTTCATACCTGATGCCTGTCCCCCCCAGCCCCGTCCCGCCCCGCCCCGCCCCGCCCTTCCCTGCCCCTCCGCGCGTGGCCCCACCCCCACCCGCCTCCCTGCGCCCTCTCGCCCTCGGCCCGCCTCCCCCACGCCCCGCCTCCCCCACTGCCCCGCCTCCCCCACTGCCCCGCCTCCCCCACTGCCCCGCCTCCCCCCACGCCCCGCCTCCCCCACTGCCCCGCCTCCCCCACTGCCCCGCCTCCCCCCACGCCCCGCCTCCCCCACTGCCCCGCCTCTCTCACGCCCCGCCTCCCCCCACGCCCCGCTTCCCTGGTGCCCCGCCTCCCCCACACCTGTCTACCCCATGCCCCGCCTCCCCCACTGCCCCTACTTCCCGTCGCCCCGCCTCCCCATCGCCCCGCCCCCATTCGCCCCTTCTCCCCAGCGTCCCACCTCCCTGTCGACCCGCCTCTCCTGTGCCCCGCCTCCCCCGTGCACCGCCTCCCGTCATCTTCACCCCTCCTCCCCCACGCCCCGCCTCCCTGTCGCCCCTCTTCCCTGGTGCCCCGCTTTCCTGCTGCCCTACCTCCCCCGCGCCCCGCCCCGGCTACCGCTACAGGCCCTTGAATCTAGTGCTGCAGGAGCTGCTCCTAGGAAGGGCGCTACTGGGATTCTCAAGGGGCCTCCACCTGCCGCCTCCCCTCCACAGGGGCCCAGGCCCTTGCACGTTGCCTCCCTCTGGGCCCAGCTCCTCTTCAGCCCAGGTGCAAACTGCCCAGCCCAGGCAAGTGCTTATTGCGAGAATCACCTAGGGACAATCAGAGCACATTTGATTCGCAGATTGAATTAAATTTAGTGCTCGCCACTGAGAGGCTGTTCCCTCTGTCCCGCCCCGGAAAGGCTAGTGGGTCTGGTCCAGCCCCTACAGAAGGTGCCACCTGGGATGGTGCGCAGGTGTGAAAGGGGACCCGCAGTGGCAGACACCTGGTTCCCCAGCACTGCCTACAGCCGGCAGGTAGGCGTGGTGGGCTCTGTATGTGGAGCCCACCCCCTCATCCCACCCAGGCACCACGCAGCCTCCCTCAAGCCCCCAGGGCAAGGTCATGACCTCTCAGACACTCCAGGGTGAAGATATGATGCCTAAGACCTTCAGGGCAGGGCTGTGGTCCCCCAGGGCCAGGGCTAAGGTCTGGTGGTCCTGATGGCAGCTGCATGGGTCATTTTCGAGCCTGCACCTGCGCCCCTGGGCTCAACCGCCTTTCCAGGCCCAGGCTTCCTCCCTGAGCCATGCGCACACCCCAGGGCACCGTTGAAGGGCAGCCCGGCCACCCCCGCTCCCTGCCCACAGACCTCTGTGCCTTGGGGCCTGGACTTGCCTGCTCTGCTGGCTCGTGGGGCTGGCCCTTCTGACACAGCGGTTCTCTGGGCCTCCTCTCACGGTGGGGCCTGCATGACTCACGTGGCTCTTTTTGGCAGCGGCAGCCTTGGGCTCAGAGCTTGGTGCTGGTTGTGGACAGGGGATGCCTGGCCATCCACACTCCATCCTGCCTAGGTGACATGTGGGGGCGGGGCTCGGCAGGCAGGGTCCATGCTGGCATCATGCCCAGGTGGGGCCATGGGCTCTGCTGTCCTGGGGGGCTGTGTGGCCCTGTCCTGGGCCTGCGCGTCCTACTCTGTACGCCCTCCCCCGTGTTGACACCAGCTCGAGTCAGATCCAGACCTGTGCACTGCCATCTCTGGGAGGCAGCCTGCCGTGAGATTGGGTTTGGAATGAGGGAGGCGTTGGGAGGAGGGCACCTTGGGGCTGGGCCTGAGGGGTGAGCAGAGTTTTTCTATAAGGAAGGGTGGGCAAGTGTTTCTGACTGAGGGGCAAGTGTAGGGTGTCCATACCGGGAGAGTAGGGCCTTTTGGGGCAGATGCAGACTGCAGATGTGCTGGCCCTTGCAACACTTTCCCTGCTCTGAGCTCCTTCCTGCCCTCTCTGCAGCCAACCTTCTCTTGTCTCACTGAACCTGAGTCTGGCAGAGGGAGGGGCTTGTTTTTAGAGCAGAGTCCAGACTCTCCTCCCCTGGGGTTACTCTCCGCTTATTTTTATTTATTTATTTCTTTTGTTGAGACAGAGTCTCACTCTGTCGCCCAGGCTGGAGTGCAATGGCAGGATCTTGGCTCACTGTAATGTTCGCCTCCGGGGTTCCAGCGATTCTCCTGCTTCAGCTTCCTGAGTAGCTGGGATTACAGGCTCGCACCACCACGCCCAGCTAATTTTTGTATTTTTAGTAGAGACAGGGTTTCACCATGTTGGCCAGGCTGGTCTTGAACTCCTGACCTCAGGTGATCCACCCGCCTCGGCCTCCCAAAGTGCTGGGATTACAGGAGTGAGTCGCTGTGCCCGGCTCTCTCTGATTCTGATGACCCCACAGTGCCAGGCTGAGCAGGCTGCCCACCATGTGCACTGAGGTACAAGCCCTTTTTCTTTCCTGGGATCCAGCACTCAGAGGTAGCTGTGGGTGGGCGGGCCGGCCAGGGGGAGCAGCTCCCACGGGTCCTGCAGCTCCCAGGCACCCCTAGAACCCACGAGGGAAACACATCCTGGTTCCAGAAGCTCGTTCATTAACTCGTTCACGTGTGGTTCACTCAGGTACCCTCCCTGGCCTCCCAGCTCCCCTCCATGCTGCTCTGCACCTGGAACCCTCTATGCTCCATTTCCTAGTCCTTAGACACCCTCAGCCCCACCACCATAACCCTGGAGAGTCTCCTTTCCCTTGCTCTTCCAAGGGGGTCCCTCTTGTCCCCCACTTGTGAGGGTGACTGATCTCTGTCTAGCTCCGCTTAGCAGAGCTTCAGATGGTCCTTCAAGCTCCCACCCCCGCTGCCTCCTGCCACTATCCATCTTCGATTTCTAGAGGCAGGGCCCAGGCACCATCCTCTCCAGAGACCTTTCTCCACAGCGGCACTCCTGTACCCACCCCTAGCTCGGTGCCCTCGGAGGGATTCAAGGCTTGGCTTTAACATCCCCCTATGGCCGTACTGGGTCCCCCTCTTGGAAAAATGCAAGAGCAAGGAATACATTGTTCCTATCATTTATTTTATCCGTTTAGAAATCAATCTCCTTCACAGTGAGATTGTTAAAATGTTAAAAACAATGTAGCAATTTCACAATATTGAAAGAGACTAAAAATAACGATGCAGGGATACTTTGCAGCTGTATGACAGTGAAGAAGCTCTTTACATCCTGATCAGAAAAACAGGAAGCGGAGGAAGCCGAGGACTGAGTGTCCCAGCACGTTGCTTTCTGCAGGAACAGGAGAAGGCAGGATCTGCGCCTGCTGCTGTGTGTTCATATGGAGACTGCCCGCTGGGCTCGCCTTCTGTCAAGGTCCACGTTTGGCCACTGATCTGCAGGGCCATGTCTTCTGCTCAAGCCGACCCCTGGGCCCTGCCACCCAGCAGAGGCCTGCGAATGAGAGGCCTGGGGCCCTGCAGTCCCTGGAAGGCAGGAACTTGATGGCTGAGCTCAGGGTGGGATCTGTGTGTGGGTGGGTGAGCGGCAGGCACTCACCCACAGCGGCGGGGAGAGGGTGTGTGGAGGGAGAGCAGCTACCAGAGAAGCCAGAGAGGTGCAGCCCAGGGCAGGCAGGAGCCCCCCCAGGCTATGGCGTGGGCCCCCAGCCTTGGGGGTGGCACAGGGCCTCCTGGCAGCCTCTGCACATCAGGACCACGTCACTGGGATGTCCCACTCAGACTCCTGGCAGGCATGGAGGCAGAACTTCCAGTGTTTTCCACAGTGGCCCCACTGGAGGGGCAGGGGAGAGGATAGGAGGTTAGGTGGGGGAAGCAAGGAGGAGGGGAGGGAGGAGGCCACGGGAGGTGGTCTTGGGTGGGGCCTCCCTCTGCCCGCAGGTGGTGATGGGCAGCTGACCACCTGCACCAAGTGTCGAGGTGGCTCTAGTGACTATGGGGACGCAGGGCCTCCCGGGCCACCGCAATGGCTTTCTCACAGTTGGTCCTTTGGATCCAACTGGATTTGGGGTGTGAGGTGGGTGAGGAGAGGCCCCAAGCTCGAGGGCCAGGATGCAGTGAGCCCCAGGGTGGGATACCCTGATGATATCCAGCCACCTGCTGGAAATGGTACCCAACCTCAGAGCCTCAGCCTTCCAGGGAGACACAGTGGGTCCCGGGCAGCCACACTCCAGGGAGACACAGTTGGTCCCAGGCAGCCACACTCCAGGGAGACACAGTTGGTCCTGGGCAGCCGCACTCCAGAGCCAGCCTGCGATCCCCGGCAGCCGCACTCCAGAGCCAGCCTGGGGGCCCAGGACAGGAGTGTGCACATCAGCCCCTTGTACCCCCAGCCTGGGTGAGATGCTGCCCCTGTGCCACAGGACACCCCTTCTGACTGCCCACAGCCCTCATCTGATGCCTGTTCTATTCTGGCTCACAACGACCCGGAGGAAACAGGGGTCTGGGAGTCAAAGCCAGGGCTGCTCCACTTGAGGATCAAAAGCTCCTGTATACTGCACTGTCCTGCGCACTTTAGCATGGGCCCCCGGAGGGGGAAGTAAGGAGCAGAGGTGAGGGCCCAGCAGGGGTGGCAGGGCCACCTGAGCTCCTGTTTGTGAGTGGGCTTGGGTGGAGGGTGGATGGAGAGCCCTAGCCCCCAGCCTCACCCAGCCCTCCAGGAATGGCAGTGGCCACCAGCAGTCTCCCGTTCGTCCCCACTGCGTGGGGCTCAGCCTGAGCCTCCTCTCCCCACCTGCCCAGACCCGCTCCTCTTCTCCAGCCTGACTTATGAAGCTCTGTGTTTAGCCCCAGGACGCAGCCCTCATGTCCCAGCCAGAGTCTCTGGCTGCAGAAGCCCAGGCTGTAAGCCCCTCTTGAGCTCACACAGCAGTGTGGGGTGGGACCTCACAGGGAGAGGTGCCGGGAGGCAAATCACACAGAGCGGGATGGGGCTTCCGTACCCCAGTGTCCCGGACACACTTCCTGTCAAATCACAGAGCGGGATGGGGCTTCTGCACCCCAGTGTCCCGAACACACTTCCTGTCAAATCACAGAGCGGGATGGGGCTTCCGCACCCCTGTGTCCTGGACACACTTCCTGACAAATCACAGAGAAGGATGGGGCTTCCCCACCCCTGTGTCCTGGACACACTTCCTGTCAAATCACAGAGCCGGATGGGGCTTCCGCACCCCTGTGTCCTGGACACACTTCCTGTCAAATCACAGAGCGGGGTGGGGCTTCCACACCCCAGTGTCCTGGACACACTTCCTGTCAAATCAAAGAGAAGGATGCGGCTTCCGCACCCCTGTGTACTGGACACACTTCCTGTCAAATCACACAGCGGGATGGGGCTTCCACACCCCAGTGTCCTGGACACACTTACTGTCAAATCACAGAGCGGGATGGGGCTTCCGCACCCCTGTGTCCTGGACACACTTCCTGTCAAATCACAGAGCGGGATGGGGCTTCCGCATCCCTGTGTCCTGGACACACTTCCTGTCAAATCACAGAGAAGGATGGGGCTTCTGCACCCCTGTGTCCTGGACACACTTCCTGTCAAATCACAGAGAAGGATGGGGCTTCCGCACCCCAGTGTCCTGGACACACTTCCTGTCAAATCACAGAGAAGGATGGGGCTTCCGCACGCCTGTGTCCCGGACACACTTCCTGTCAAATCACAGAGAAGGATGGGGCTTCCACGCTCCAGTGTCCCGGACACACTTCCTGTCAAATCAGAGAGCGGGATGGGGCTTCCGCACCCCTGTGTCCCGGACACACTTCCTGTCAAATCACAGAGCGGGATGGGGCTTCCGCACCCCAGTGTCCAGGACACACTTCCTGTCAAATCACAGAGCGGGATGGGGCTGCCGCACCCCTGTGTCCCAGACACACTTCCTGTCAAATCACAGAGCGGGATGGGGCTTCCGCACCCCAGTGTCCCGGACACACTTCCTGTCAAATCACAGAGAAGGATGGGGCTTCCGCACCCCTGTGTCCCGGACACACTTCCTGTCAAATCACAGAGAAGGATGGGGCTTCCGCACCCCATTGTCCCGGACACACTTCCTGTCAAATCACAGAGAAGGATGGGGCTTCCCCACCCCAGTGTCCCGGACACACTTCCTGTCAAATCACAGAGAAGGATGGGGCTTCCGCACCCCTGTGTCCCGGACACACTTCCTGTCAAATCACAGAGAAGGATGGGGCTTCCGCACCCCAGTGTCCCGGACACACTTCCTGTCAAATCACAGAGAAGGATGGGGCTTCCGCACCCCAGTGTCCCGGACACACTTCCTGTCAAATCACAGAGAAGGATGGGGCTTCCCCACCCCAGTGTCCTGGACACACTTCCTGTCAAATCACAGAGAAGGATGGGGCTTCCGCACCCCTGTGTCCTGGACACACTTCCTGTCAAATCACAGAGAAGGATGGGGCTTCCGCACCCCAGTGTCCCGGACACACTTCCTGTCAAATCACAGAGCGGGATGGGGCTTCCGCACCCCTGTGTCCCGGACACACTTCCTGTCAAATCACAGAGCGGGATGGGGCTTCCGCACCCCTGTGTACTGGACACACTTCCTGTCAAATCACAGAGAAGGATGGGGCTTCCGCACCCCAGTGTCCTGGACACACTTCCTGTCAAATCACAGAGAAGGATGGGGCTTCCGCACCCCAGTGTCCCGGACACACTTCCTGTCAAATCACAGAGAGGGATGGGGCTTCCGCACCCCTGTGTCCTGGACACACTTCCTGTCAAATCACAGAGAAGGATGGGGCTTCCGCACCCCAGTGTCCCGGACACACTTCCTGTGAAATCACAGAGAAGGATGGGGCTTCCGCACCCCTGTGTCCTGGACACACTTCCTGTCAAATCACAGAGAAGGATGGGGCTTCCGCACCCCAGTGTCCCGGACACACTTCCTGTCAAATCACAGAGCGGGATGGGGCTTCCGCACCCCTGTGTCCTGGACACACTTACTGTCAAATCACAGAGCGGGGTGGGGCTTCTGCACCCCAGTGTCCCGGACACACTTCCTGTCAAATCACAGAGCAGGATGGGGCTTCCACACCCCAGTGTCCTGGACACACTTCCTGTCAAATCACAGAGCAGGATGGGGCTTCTGCACCCCTGTGTTCTGGACACACTTCCTGTCATCTCTGCCCCTGTGTCGGAGGCTTCACCTTCTCTGCTGTATCAGACAGGGACCCCAACTGTGGGGAACTGCAATGGACTCTGGCTGGTTGGAGCAGAAGAGGAGTTTGTTGAAAGGTTCCTTGGAGTTCATAGGTTGAGAGGGAGGGCGTAGGTGCAGAGGACCCTAGGGCCACTCCTGTCTCTCCCCCTCCCCGGGGAAGTGGACTGTGGTGGCCACCTTTACTGCAAGACTCCATGGATCAGAAAACACCTGTTCGTGGTGGGCTGTCCAGTGGCACGACCCCTTGGAGCCCAGTGCCAGGCACATGCTCACCATCTGGGCTGCTAACCAGTCAGAAGCTGTTTCGTGGAAAGAGTCGTGATGTGGGTCAAACAGTCCCCTGAAAAGACATATCCAAGCCCCAGTGGCCACGTATTAGTCTGTTCTCATGGTGCTAATAAAGACCTACCCGAGACTGGGTAATTTGTAAAGAAAAAGAGGTTTAATGGCTCTTTCACAGCTCCACATGGCCGGGGAGGCCTCATAATCATGGTGGAAGATGAAAGAGGCTAGTCTTACATGGTGGCAGGCAAGAGAGTGTGTGCAGGGGAACTGCCCTTTGTAAAACCATCAGTTCTCCTGAGACTTATTCACTAACACGAGAACAGCATGTGAAAACCTGCCCCCATGATTCAGTTACCTCCCACCGGGTCCCTCCCACGACACATGGGGATTATAGGAGCTGCCATTCAAGGTGAGATTTGGGTGGGGACACAGCCAAACCGTATCACCTGAATGCATGAATGTGCCTTTGTTTGGGCAAATGGTATTTGCAGATGTAATTAAGAATCTTGGGAAGACATCATCTGGAGTTAGGGTAACAGATGTCCTTACAAAAGAAAGCAGGGAGATGTGAAGTGTGGAGACAGAGGAGAGACCGGAGTGATGTGGCCACAAGCCCAGGAAGGTGGGGAGCCCTGGGAGCCCCTGGCCAGGAGGGACTTTCCCCTTGAGTCTCCGGAGGAAACGTGGCCCTGCCAGCTCCTTGACTGCTGCGAAGAGCTTCTTGCGAGGGGCCATACCTTGCTCAGACCCCAGGGTCTGTGTGGCTCTCCTCCTCCCAGGGCTGCCACAGGCTCTGTCCAGGACTTGTTCTGGCACAGCTGGCGGATACCATTGGGTCCACCGGGCCAGGGCAGGGCAGCACCATTCCTGCTGCAGCCCTTGAACCACTGCTGACTCTGTGGGGACAGCAGAGCCAAATGCAGGTGTCTTTCCTGCATAAGGAGCTGAGCTCCATCTTGGTGGGTGCACTGGTCCTTCAGTTTCATGGGCGAAACCCACCCTGGCCCCGACCACTGGGCCCTGGGAATGCACTGAGTGGTGGGTCCCACATTTCTCCAGCTCCGCTTTTGGAGGTGAGTTTGCACTAGGACATCTGAAGTTTCAGCAGCTTTCGGCTCTCCCAGGGCTCAGGGCTGTTGGTGCCGGGGCCACGTGAGACCATTGAGGCCCCTCAGTCTAAACCGAGGCACAGAGCTGGCCAGAGAAGCCCTGGAGCAAGACAGGAAGGGAGTGCTGCATCCCTGGCAGACGAGGGAACCCATTTGTGTGTTTTCTGCTTATTGGCAGGGAGAAAAACATATTTTCCCGATCACTAGCCCTGTGTTCCAAGAGCCAGCGTAGACCTGTGGGTAAATTGCCACCTGAGCATCTGATGGTTGCTGTTATTCCTCAGGTCCCGCTTACCATTCACCAGCCAGGTGGTGAGTTGGGAGCGAGGGAATGGGCCCTGTGCCTCTCACGTCCCTGGTCGTGGTGCTGATGGTTGGACCGCCGAGTGTGGCCTCACTAGTGGTTACGTCCTGCAGATCCTTCCTCCAAGGTGGGAGAGCCTTTAAGATGAGCCTGCATGCTGTGGGTGTAGCCACTGCACCTCGGGATTGGGAAAGTCACCAAGGGGGAGGTTCTATTCCCACTGAGCTTGAGGGCAGAACTGGGCCACAACTCAGTCACCTCACCCTCATATGCCCCCACCACACTGCAAAATCCCTGGGCAGCCAGGGTGCCCAGAAAAAGCAGTGATGGCCTGGAGCCCGTGCCAGACTCCCCCGAGAGATCAGGGCACTTTCCTTTCTCAGTTGCTGGCTCCTCTGACAAATGGCAGCAGCCCCGTGCAGGAGGCCGGGAGGACAGCAGGGTCTGTGAACTGGCCCCGGCCCAAGGACTGCTGCAGAGACGTTGGCTGGGCCTCCGTCCCCAGCCAGGGGGCCTCTGTGCACTGCACCTAGCTTAAGTCCTCTTTCCTTATCAGCTGCGCCTCTCGGCTCCACGTGGCCACTGTGAATTCCAGGTTTTTGTCACCAAGCTAAGCAAATTGTTCGAGCTCCTGCCAGCTGCTAGAGCTATCCCTTCAAATATGAAATCTCCACTGAGGGCGTCCAGACCAACACATTGAGCTCAATCCAAAACGATGCCCTCCCTAGCTCCACTCATATTCACCAGATGTTTGCTGATGTAAAATAGCAAACTCTTGTGAATCTTTTGCCAGGTAGCCTCCTCCTTTCAGGTTTGAATATGCTTTGTGCCCTGGGGCATGACGTTCTGACTGCAGTTAGAAGTAAGCTGGAGGCCTGGGTAGCGGGGAGCTGGCAGGGTCTTGGGTGCGACCAGCTTCTTCCTGACCTGTCTCGGAGGTGGAGTGGGCGCAGGGTCCTCAGACAGGGCGGGTGCAGCCTCGTCAGATGCGGATGCCTTGGCCGAAGGCAGGCTGGGGTTCAGGAGACTCCCGGGTCCTCCACTCCTCTCCCCCAGCTCTAGGCCGACGCTCTGACTTTCACACTGAGCTCCTGCCGGGGTGGAGCTCGGCTGATCTGCACAGAGCATCCTGGGGGATCACACTCGGCGTTGGCTCTGGCTCTGTCAGCCATATCGGCAAGAGCAGAAGGTCCTTTAGCTACAGGACAGGAAGTCCCAGTCTCAGGCTGCATCTTGAGCCAGATTTAGGACTTCAGGTTCCTCATTCTCTTTCTTTAAGTTCCCAGTGCTGTTGGGAACAGCCGCCTCATCCACAGATTTTGGGTCTCACTCAGAGCTCAGCCTTCCATGAGCACTCTTTAGGCAGCTTTTTAAGCCCTCTTGTCCCACGGGCAGCTACAGTCCCTTCTGCCAGTGCTAGCTGCATTTCCCCGGCCCTTGGCCCCAGCCAGAGCCAGAGGTTGAGGTTGGGAGCCCTCGCGCTCCTATGAGCATGGCCATGGCCTCCGAGTAGGCTCCTCAGAGTGCTGGGACCCCACCCAGGTGTCTCAAGGGGCCGCAGGGGAGGACTCAGGGGCCTGGACTTCCCAAATCTGACTTAAAAAGGACTAGCTGTGCTTTTGTCTATTTATAGGTTGAGCTTTCGTATAAAGTTTTCTTTGAGGAAAGAGTCCTGTGGGTAGCAAAATGTCCGAAATAAGATGGAAGGAAGACTTAAATTGGATAATGATATGGCTTTTTCTCACTAAGCATGTCCCGTGTTCCACGTTACTTTTGCTACTGACGATGGAAAAAGCAAGCTCTGCCAAAGTATTTAGAGGTTTATCCTGAGTCTATGCAAGTGAGCCATGGAGGCTTGGGAAACACAGCCTCAAGAGGTCCTGGGAAAGTGGTCCTGAGGCCACTGGGTTACAGTTTTATTTTTTATTTTTAGACGGCGTTTCACTCTTGTTGCCCAGTCTGGAGTGCAACGGCGCCATCTCGGCTCACCACAACCTCCACCTTCTGGGTTCTAGCCATTCTCCTGCCTCAGCCTCCCAAGTAGCTGGGATTACAGGCGTGTGCCACCACGCCTGGCTAATTTTGTATTTTCTGTAGAGACGGGGTTTCTCCATGTTGGTCAGGCTGGTCTTGAACTCCTGACCCCAGCTTCCCAAAGTGCTGGGTTTACAGGCGTGAGCCACCACACCTGACCCTACAATTTGGACATTTCAGAGTGACAAGAATTGCAGGTAAAATCATAAATCAGTACATGGGGAGGGGGTACACATTCGTTTGACCTGAAAAGGCAGGACATCTGGAAGCTGGGGCTTGCAAGTCATAGTCGGTTGAGGATTCTTTAGTTTGCAATTGGTTGAGTTGAGGGAACACCTAAGGTAAGGGGGTCTGCTGTCTGCCATGTGATGCCAACGCCACGCCAGAGTTAGGTTGAAAAGGGAGCCCCAGGGCTGGCGCGGTGGCTCACACCTGTAATCCCAGCACTTTGAGGGGCTGAGGTGGGTGGATCACCTGAGGTCAGGAGTTCAAGACCAGCCTGGCCAACATGGTGAAACCCCGTCTCTACTAAAAATGCAAAAATTAGCCGGGTGTGGTGGCGTGTGCATGTAATCCCAGCTCCTCAGGAGGTGGAAGTGGGAGAATTGCTTGAACCTGGGAGGCAGAGGCTGCAGCGAGCTGAGATTGCACCACTGCACTCCAGCCTGGGTGAAAGAGCAAGACCCCATCTCAAAAAAAAAAAAAAAAAAAAAAGGAGCTCCAGTATACTGGGTCAAAAGACCTGTTTAATACAATTTTATGCCTTGTAAGCATGAATTTCCCCAGGCCCCTTAGAAAGGAATTTGAGGCCAGGCGTGGTGCCTCACACCTGTAATCCCAGCACTTTGGGAGGCTGAGGCGGGCAGATCACGAAATCAGGAGATCGAGACCATCCTGGCTAACACGGTGAGACCCCGTCTCTATTAAAAATACAAAAAATTAGCCAGGTGTGGTGGCGGGCCCCTGTAGTCCCAGCTACTTGGGAGGCTGAGGCAGGAGAATGGCGTGAACCCAGGAGGCGGAGGTTGCAGTGAGCCGAGATCGCACCACTGCACTCCAGCCTGGGCTACAGAGTAAGGCTCTGTCTCAAAAAAAAAAAAAAAAAGGAATTTGAGCCAGGAAAAAAAATCAGCAGAGTTTAGTCCTCATTCCCTTTGGGCTTCTCTTCCTGTCTGAACCTTTCCCTCATAGTACTGGGTGGGTTACTAAGCCTTTGGCTAAAAACTGGAGAAAATAGGATTCAAAGTAATATCATGAATGGTGAGAAAAGTCTATCATGTAACGGGAAGTCTCAAGGTAGGGCCACCGCAGAGGTGGCGAACCCAGTGGCTCAGCAGCAGAAGGGCTCAGGATTTTCCCACCTCCTCACCCTGCAACCCTCAGTGCTCAGGACGGCTTCCCTCATGCTCACAAAATGGCTGCTGCAGTTCCAGACGTTGGAGACAAACACAACAGTCCAAAGAAGGAAGAACCCATCTTCCACGCCATGATGTTTGTTGTTTGCTTTTAGATATAACATACATATAGAAAAATGTACAAATAAAGCATACAGCATGATGCCCTTTTGCAAGTTGGAAATATCCACGGAATGAGCCTCTAGACCAGGAAACAGTCCTTTAGCAGCACCTGGGAGGCTCCCTCATTCTCTCTTCCAGGCACTACCACCCCCAAGGGTGGCCTGCTTCCTGAGTTTTCATACCATAGAATAGCTGGGCCCATTTTATATACAGGTGCTCCTTGACTCACAAATGGATTATGTCCCAGTAAACCCATTGCAAGTTGAAAATATGGTAAGTCGAGGCTGAGCGCGGTTGTTCACGCCTGTAACCCCAGCACTTCGGGAGGCTGAGGCAGGCGGATCATGAAGTCAGGAGTTCGAGACCAGCCTGACCAACATGGTGAAACCCCGTCTCTACTAAAAATACAAAAATTAGCTGGGTGTGGTGGCGCATGCCTGTAATCCCAGCTACTTGGGAGGCTGAGGCAGGAGAACCTGGGAGGTGGAAGTTGCAGTGAGCTGAGATTGCACCATTGCATTCTAGCCTGGGCGACACAGCGAGACTCTGTCTCAAAAAAAAAAAAGAAAAGAAAATATGGTAAGTCATGTCAATCTAAATAACAGAGAGAGGTTGTTTGTTTGCAAGAAAAGATGTTTATTTCAGGATAGAGCGTTGCAATGGAAACACCCATGTTGTGGTAGCCTCTGTGTGTTCAGGGAGGTGAAGGAAGACAAAGACGTTTAAAGAAAAAAATGAGGAGGATCACACAATTGTTTGGAGACAATTATCCTTGGCCACAAAGATCAATAACAAGAGTAATGCTGAGGTTAGATGGCAGCCGCTGGGCAGATGTCCTTGCAGAAGCATTTTCTGTGTGAGGCTGGGATGGCTTTTGTGCGAGGTTATGTTTTTTGCAGAGTCTTTTTTGCTGTTGGGGATACAAGCCTGAGAATCCACTCTTTATGGCCTTCCCTGGCTCTGTCTGTCAGGTAATGTTATTTTCTTAACATTCATGACTTCATTTTGATTCTGACAACTTTCACAGTCGAAAATGCATTTAATACCCAGAGAAGCCTATTGTAAAGTCAAAAAATCATTAAGTCGAGCCGTCGTAAACCGGCCACCATCTGCGCTTGGAACCTCTAGCAGGCGCTTGTCTCTGCTGGTGTCTTCTGGAGGCCCCGAGGTCTGTCGGCACTGCTGAGGATCGGGTTGTCTGGTTCTTTCCGTGCTATGTGGCAGTGCGCACGCAACCACGCCAAAGGTACCTATCAATGCCACAGTGGAAGAGCTTTGGGGAGTTCTAGATTTTGGCTGTTTAAAATAGTGCTGCTATGAACATTCCTGCACAAATCTCCTTGTTTGTTTCATTGGAAGAATTGAGGTATAATTTATATAGAGCCTAGCCAACGTGGTGAAAGCCCCTCTCTACTAAAAATGCAAAAATTAGCCAGGCGTGGTTTGGAGGTTTGTCCCCTCCAAAGCTCATGTTGGAGTTTAATTGCCGAGGTGATGGTGTTAGGAGGTGGGGCCTGCAGGGTGAGTAGACTGTCAGGGGGACATCCTCCTGGGTGAGTTTAGTGCTGTTGTAAAAGGACTGAGGAGGCCGTTTTGTTGTAAAAGGCCCTTCTTGGCCTTTCTGCCTTCTGCCATGTGAGGGTCTCACCTTCCTCTCCTCTGGAGGACACAGCATACAAGGTGTCGTCTTAGATGATGTAAATAGCCTCACTGGACACCGAAACTGTCGTCACCTTGACCTCAGACTTCCAGCTTCCAGAACAGTGAGCCAATCAATTTCTTTGTGTTGTAAATGACCCAGTCTCAGGTACTGTTACAGCAGCACATATGGACTAAGATAGAGCTTAAATGTGCAACTCTGGAACGCACACCTTGACAAAATGATGTCATCTGCGTGACATACATATGTGACACACACATATAAAATAACGTGTCAGAGCCACACGTACTGAGATATGGGACATTCCAGAAACCCCACAGGCTACCTTTTTGTCTGTTTTAAAACATTGTATAAATGGAATCCCGCAGTATGGAGTCTGGCCTCTTTTATTGAACAATATGCGTCTGAGTTCGTCCACGCTGCTGTGTGTGCCGGGAGTCCCCTCGCTGTCAGCTGCTTTGCTGGGTGCAGCGTTGGTGTGTGAAAATGCTGGCGTCGTTAGCCTCCTGCGGCGCTCCCCTGCTGGGGGCATTTGGCTGTGTTGTTTTGGCTTTTAGAAGAATGCTGCTCTGAGCGTTCTCCGCATATGTTTTGGTGGACATAAGCCCTCATTTCTACCGGGCAAATACCCGGAGTGGGACACGTATGTGCTTAGCTTTAATAGGCATTGCCAAACACTTTTCCAAAGTGGTTGTACCGATTCCTATTTCCACGAGTTTTGTAAACGAGCTCTAGTTGCTCCACAACCTTGCCAATGCTTGCTATAGTCGGCCTTTTCGGTTCTAGCTATGTTGCTGGGTGGGTAGTGGCACTTATTTTGTGGTTTTAGTTTTCATGTGTGGAAATTGACAGCCAGATTCTAAGATTTATATGAAACCAACTGTATTAGTTAGGGTTCTCTAGAGGACAGAACTAATAGGATCTATCTATCTATCTATCTATCTATCTATCTATCTATCTATCTATTTACCTACCTATCTATCTAAAGGAGGGTTTATTAAGTAGTATTAACTCACACGATCACAGGGTCCCAAAATAAGCTGTCTGCAAGCTGAGGAGCAAGGAAGCCAGTCCCAGTCCCACAGCTGAAGAACCTGGAGTCTGATGTTGGAGGGCAGGAAGCATCCAGCACGGGAGAAAGATGCAGGCTGGCGGGCTAGGCCCGTTCAGTCTCTTCATGTTTTTCTCACAGACACACCCAGGATCAGTGCTTTGCATCCTTCAATCCAATCAAGTTGACACTCAATATTAACCATCACAAGTCCACCCTTTGTCAACTTGAACCCATACACATCTGAGATCATACGTAATCTTCAAATAAAGACAATAATAAAGTCATAATTACGCCTAACATAATACAACTATCCATCGTACAACCGGAAGTGCACCCATCCCCAACGCAAATACTATTACATAAACTTAACGATACTTAAATGCCGATATGAAGCCAATGAATCTTATGTCACATGATAAAGGAAAAAGGAAATAAAATGAAGATATCTGCTTAGTACAAGTGTATACATGCACAAATATGTTTTTAACAAAATAAGCAGGAAATACTCCTGACGATTACAGTCCTCGTTTCTGCAGCTGGTCACGTGGTCGTAGCTGGTATTGATGACCACCTTCTTCTACTGCCCATTTTGTATTCCCTTTGCCTTCAGCAAGCACCTCAGCAGGTAGTGGTTTTTTTCCTGGTGGAGTGACCCAAACCTTCATTCCTGAAGGGTCTGGACCACTTGTAGTCCTGCCTGGTTTGGGCTGTTGTAGTTGCCCATTGACCTTAATCACAGGGCATGGTAATACTAAGAGATGCCCTAATGGATCTCCTGTATTCTATACATACTCTTCCTTACCTCCAGTGTGGAGTAGTAGACTGATTTCATCTTGATAGTCTGGGTCAGTCACCCCAGCCAACACTGTAACTCCCTTCTTAGCCTGTTGACTTAAATGTAGGAGGGGCTCAAAGTGTCCAGGTGGCAATCTTAACTTCCAGTGTAATGGAATCGTTGTTGTGTCTCCTGGTGGCAGCGTTCCTCCCTCTGGAACTAAGACCTCTAGGCCAGCAGGATGTAATGTTGTGGGAACAGGAAGCAAAAATTTTGCTAGTGGATCATTAGGGGTGATGGTGAGTGGTGCCACTTCCACCCCTTGATTTCTAGACCCGTGAATCCTGGCTATGGGAGAAACAGTGTCATATACTGGAGGCTGATTCAGAGCATGCATAGTGTTCTGGAGAACTTTGCCCCAGCAAAGTATTATCACCTAGTTGTCACCCATTCCACTGTTCTATCAATCCAGCTGCTTCAGGATGATGGCGAACACCAACCATACGTTTGAGGCCTTTTGACTCTCCAATTCGGTTGCTTGGGCCTGCATAGCCACCAAAAGTGTTGCCTTTTTCTCTGTCCTTAGCAGCAGCCTCTGCCTTGTGCAGAGCCACATTCTCAGCCAGCCTCAAGTCAGCAACTGCCTCAGAGCAAAGGGGCTGCGGATTTTCAGGTCAGCTCTGAACGGTCTCTTGACTCTGGAATTTTAGTTTATCTTGTTCTCATTGCTTCTCCAGCTCCCTATTGTCTCAAAAAATATGGTTTTGTGATTTATCTGGTTCTTTGATCATCGGTGGGAGACTGTGCCTGCTGGAAACCAATCTGTCCTACTGGAGGTGGCGTCCAGAGTGAGGAGACCTTTCTAATCACCGCCTAGCAGACATCCTCTGGGCCAGAGTTACTCTCCATGCCTTTGAGCAAACTAATTATGGACTGTTGCACCACACTTGGCTGAGAGTGATAAGGATTTACGCCTGGGCTGGGGTCATCTTCACTGAAGGGTACCAGCTGTGTATAGCCTGGCTGGGAATGCTGAAGACATAACACGTATTGGGAGCTGTAGAGAGAAGTTATAGTCAACATTTGCGAAGCTTGGCATTTTACGAAGGTTGCTACCTGCGTCCTGTCCACCAGCCCCTGCACTGGCCCTGAGCAACAGCCACCTGTGTCCTCTCCCCCGGCCCCTGCACTGGCCCTGAGCAACAGCCACCTCTGTCCTCTCCCCCGGCCCCTGCACTGGTCCTGGGCATCAGCCACCTGTTTTCTCTCCCCCAGCCCCTGCACTGGTCTTGGGCATCAGCCACCTGTGTCCTCTCCCCTGGCCCCTGCACTGGTCCTGGGCATCAACCACCTGTGTTCTCTCCCGCGGCCCCTGCACTGGTCCTGGGCATCAGCCACCTTTGTCAGCCACCTGTGTCCTCTCCCCCGGCCCCTGCACTGGTCCTGGGCATCAGCCACCTGTGTCCTCTCCCCCAGCCCCTGCACTGGTCCTGGGCATCAGCCACCTGTGTCCTCTCCCCCAGCCCCTGCACTGGTCCTGGGCATCAACCACCTGTGTTCTCTCCCCCAGCCCCTGCACTGGCCTCGTGCATCTGGGGTCCCCATCTTTAGGCAAGAAAGCCAAGGGAGCAGCAGGTCACCCAAGGGCAAACACATGGTGAGCATCAGAACTGGGGCCCCATCCCAGGCCCATCTAGGTCTGTTTTATTATTTTTATTTTTTTGAGACAGAGTCTCTTTCTGTCACCCAGGCTGGAGTGCAATACCATGATCATAGCTCACTGTCACCTCAAACTCTGGGGCTCAGGTGATCCTCTCACCTTTGACTCCTGAGTGGCTGTGACTGCAGTGGGGGCACCACCATGCCTGGCTAATATATATATATATATATATATATTTTAGAGTTGTGGTCTTGCTGTGTTGCCCAGGCTGGTCTCAAACCTCTGAGCTCCAGCAGTCCTCCCACCTCCGCCTCCCAAAGTGCTGGGACTACAGGCATGAGCCAGTATGCCCAGCCCTATGTCTGTTTTATAGACTTTGAAGTTTCTTCTGATGTAGGGCATGGCACGCTGACACTCCAGAGAAGAAAGGCAGAGTGCTTTGTCACTTACAGCTCCAAACAAGGAAGGCTGCTGGGCAGGGCCACACGGGGCACCCGGGGATGGGGTAGCAGCCAGCTGGGGCTGCCGGGCGGCTGGTGGGCGGCAGCAGGTGGGGTGGCTGGGTTGCTTGGGCTCCCTGTGGATTGGCTAGTTTGGGCGATTTTGAGCTCTGGGGCACAGGGCTGTCCACGGTTGTCTGGAGCTTAGCCTTGGGGCGATCCAGGAGGGTGTGCAGTGGCCTGGAGTGTGAGGGGCCGTAAAGGGCGTGGTCAAGGAGGGAACTGACCGGTCTCTAGCCAGGGCCTCAAAACTGGGTCAAGACAGCACAATAAAAAAACTACCTTAGCATAGAGCTGCAACCTGAGCCCAGGTCCTTCTGCCTCCACAGGCCCCATTTGTTCTCCTTGTAATTAGCCCCAGCTTCTTTCAAGTGCCAGGGACTCTGAGATTCTGGGCTAACTTAAAAGAAGACAGAACAAATAAGTGACAGAAATTCGGCAACTTTAAAAACATCATCCTTGGGCAGTCGAAGAGCCCTGTAGGGATAGGATGCACCTCCTCTTCTGAGTGCACACTAGAGAGAATGCAAACATCTCATTATGAAAATATCCGGACCCCACAGGGAACTCCACGCCCCTCATGCAGCTTCAAGAGCCGTGAACACTTTGCTGCCCTTGCTCTGGCATCCCAGCCTCTCTTTCGACCGTGTGTTTAAAAGCTAATCCCACATGTCATCGTCATCTGTGATGTTGCTGTGACTCTCTTAAAGGGGACATTTTCTTACAAAGCCATGATGCTGTTACCACCCCCACGAATATTTAGAATAATTTCGTCATGTGATCTGAAGCCGTGTTGATGCGGTTTGGCTGTGTCCCTACCCAAATCTCATCTTGTATTCCCGCATGTTGTGGGAGGGACCTGGTGGGAGGTGATTGAATCATGGGGGTGGGTCTTTCCCGTGCTGTTCTCGTGATAATGAATAAGTTTCACGAGATCCGATGGATTTATAAAGGGGAGTTCCCCTGAACAAGTTCTCTCTCTGCCTGCCGCCATCCATTTAAGTAAGACGTGACTTGCTCCTCCTTGCCTTCCACCATGGTTGTGAGGCCTCCCCAGCCATGCGGAACTGTGAGTCCATTAAACCTCTTTCCTGTATAGATTACCCAGTCTTGGGTGTGTCTTTATTAGCAGCGTGAAAACGGACTAACACACCTGTCTACATCTCTGTGTTCCTGATTGTGTGAAAGCATCTTTCTATAATTTGATGGGATATTCCTAACAAAGGCCATGTGCATTTGGTTGTTTTGGTTTTAGGGTTCTTAAAGTCTCCCTCTGTCTAAGGCAGTCACCCCAGCCTGCTCTTTTGTGATGCTGGCCTCTAGGGAGAGCAGTCAGCTCCATGTAGATGTTTCCATGTAGGAATTTGCTGTCCTTGGACTTGCTTCTCCAGCCTCTGTATTTCCTGTGTGGCTTGATTAGATTCATGTTCAATTGTCTGGGGAGAATATTTTACAGGAGGGCTTTCTCTTTTTTTTGAGACAGAGTCTTGCGCTCACTCAGGCTGGAGTGCAGTGGTGCGATCCCAACTCACCGAAGCCTCCACCTCCCAGGTTTAAGCAATCCTCCCGCCTCAGTCTCCCAAGTAGCTGGGACCACAAGTGTCACCACCCTGCCTGGCTAATTTTTTGACTTTTTGTAAGGATGGGGTCATGCTATCTTGCCCAGGCTCAGGAGTGCTTTCTGCCTCCCGTTGCACCACGTCATGAGGCATATAAGGTCTGGTTGTCTCTGTTGGAGTGAGCTGGGCTGGGCCAGCAGGTACCGGTGGTAACGCTGCTCCTGATACGTTTCGATCAACAGATGGGCAATGTCTGACCGATCCCAGTGGCCGAGAAGGCCTGTCCCATCATCCCAGCTCAGAGCCACCTGGAAGGGTACTCCCCACCCCTGCAGAGTCCCTGTGAGGTCTTCCAAGCCTGACCTTGAGGCTCAGTGTCTCCGCCGCCCAGTCCTTCCCACCCCTTCCTGCACTCCCTGACCCACCTCCAGCACGGGCCTTCCTGTCTCAGGGTCCACTCCTGGGAGATCCAAGCTGCTGCCCCGTGCCCAGGTGACATAGTTTGGGTTTGTGTCCCTGCCCAGATCTCCTGTTGAATTGTAATCCCCAACGTTGGTGAAGGAGCCTGGTGGGAGGTGATTGGATCATGGAGGCAGAGCTCCTCCTTGCTGTTCTCGTGATAGCGAGCGAGTGCTCTCCAGAGCTGGTTGTTTGAAAGTGCGTGGCACCTTCCGCTTCGCTCTCTCCTCCTCCTCCTCTCTCTTCCTCCCTCTGGCCACAAGCTGTGCCCGCTTCCCCTTCACCTTCTGCCATGATTGTCAGTTTCCTGAGGCCTCCCTGGCCCTGCTTCCTGTACAGTCTGTGGAAATGTGAGTCAATTAAACTTCCTTTCTTTATAAATTACCCAGTCTCGTGGGGTTTTTTTTTGTTTTGTTTTTTGTTTTTGTGTTTTTAGACAGTTTCACTTTGTTGCCCAGGCTGTGGGGTGCAGTGGCACGATCTCAGCTCCCTGCAACCTCTGCCTCCTGTGTTCAAGTGATTCTCGTGCCTCAGCCTCCTGAGTTGCTGGGACTACAGCCGCCCGTCACCATGGCTGGCTTTTTTTTTTTTTTTTTGTATGTTTTAGTAGAGACAGGGTTTTACCATGTTGCCCA
This sequence comes from Homo sapiens, assembly GCF_000001405.40. Taxonomy (NCBI): domain Eukaryota; kingdom Metazoa; phylum Chordata; class Mammalia; order Primates; family Hominidae; genus Homo; species Homo sapiens. The sequence continues at coordinate 143,191,104 of NC_000008.11, read as the reverse complement.
GGCTGGTCTTGAACTCCTGAGCTCAGGCAATCTGCCTGCCCTGGCCTCCCAAAGTGCTAGGATTACAGGCGTGAGCCACCATGCCAGCCTCAGGTAATTATTTTAGCTCTGCACGAATGGATGAATATACCAGGTTTTTGTAACTTCCTTCTGGAGTCATCATGAACTCATGGCTCGGCTATGTTCAGTATGGTTTCATAAACTGCAGTCATTATTTTTTCTAAGACATTTTATTTATTTAGACAAATAAAAATTGTATATATTGTGTACAGCAAGTGGTTTTGAAATATGTGTACATTGTGGAATGGAAAATTGAGCAAATTAACATATACATTACCTCATATACTTAGCATTTGAAGCGAGAACATTTACAACTACTCTCAGCAATTTTCAAGAATACAATGTTTTTCTTAATGGTAGTCACCCTGTGAGACAATAGAGCTCTGGAACTTACTATACTGACTTTGGATGCTCAAGTGCTCCCATCTGCAGTGGGCTGAGTGGTCCCCACAAGGTATGTCCGAGTCCTAGCCCCAGGCACCTGTAATGTGAGCTCATTTGGAAAAAGGCCTTTGTCCTTAAGTTAAGGGTCTGGGGATGAGGTCATCCTAGATTTGGGGTGGTCCTAAATCCAACGGCAAGTGTCGGTAGAAGAGAGAGGACGAGGAGGCCACGTGAAGACAGAGGAGGGATCAGAGGATGCGACCACGGCCAGGGCGGCCCACCACCTACAGCCACCAGATGCTGGGAGAGGCCAGGAAGGATTTCCTTGAAGAGCCTTCTGGTTGCTTGAAGCTGGGAGTTGGTGATAGTTTGTGATAATTGGTTACAGCAGCCGCAGGAAACGAATGCAGGGGGACACTCGCTGTAAGAGGAGGGAGGCGGGGACCTGGGAGGGCTCCTGTGCTCCCCCGCCCTGGGCAGGCACCAGAGTGCTGTCCCGCTCACACCCAGACCTGGTGAGGAGGTGGTGGCCCAGGGACAGCACTCTCCAAAGGCCCTGACTGGGGAGCTTAGGGGAGACACGCCCTCCCCTTCTCCTCTGCTGTCCTCCTCCAGTGCCAGGGATCTGGCACCAGGGCGTGGGTTATGAGGCTTCAGCCCCCCCCCCCCACTGAAGGGGTGTGCCCAGCATGGTCAGACAGTGGACAGGTGAGGGGTGCCTGCTCCCCAAGAGAGGTGGCCGGTGATATCATCCCTGTGGGGCCTGAGATGCCTGGAGACCCTCAGCAGACACCCTGACAAACACCCGGGGCCAAACATGGGGGCACCCAGCAGAGACTGGGAGAGGTGGCATCTGTGGGGAGAGCCCACGGGGGTGGGGGGTGGGGGGTGGGAGTGGGGAGAGCCCACGGGGGTGGGGGTGGGGGTGGGGGGTGGGAGTGGGGAGAGCCCATGGGATGGGGGTGGGGGTGGGGGGTGGGAGTGGGGAGAGCCCACGGGGGTGGGGGTGGGGGTGGGAGTAGGGAGAGCCCACGGGGGTGGGGGGTTGGAGGGGTCCACGGGGGTGGGAGTGGGGGGAGCCCACGGGGGTGGGGGGTTGGAGGGGTCCACAGGGGTGGGGGTGGGGGGAGCCCACGGGGGTGGGGGCGGGGAGGAGTCCACAGCTGAGGTTGTGGGGAGAGCCCACAGGGGTGGGGAGAGCCCAGAGGGGTGGGGATGGCCTGAGGGTCATATCTTAGCCCATTTGGGTTCTATAACAAAGCCCTCCTAGACCGGGTAATTTATAGACAGCAGATATTTAGTATTCACGGTTCTGGAGGGAACAGAAAATCCAAGATCAAGGCACTGGAAGTCCAAGAGCAAAAGGCCCAGCAGCTGCAGTGTCTGGCGAGGGCCGGCCTGTTCCTGATTGACTGATGTCCTGATCCCATTGTGGGACAGAACCTTCCCGGCTAACCACCTCCTGAAGGCCCACTCTTGATACTTTCACACTGGGGATTAAGTTTCAACTTGAATTTTGGGTGGGAACCAATTTTCAGACCACAGCAGGGAGAGGTAGGAGGGCAGGGCTTGACCTCGGGAGAGGAGACCAAGCCAGGCCCAGCTGCCTGCGGGAGCCATCAGGGCTCTGGGAGGCCTGTCTGTCTCTCCTCCTCTCCAGGGCCACCGCATGGTGCCGGCCTAACAGCCTCTCACCTGGACCTCGGCCAGGGTGCCCCTCCCCCCGCTGGGCTCCTGCCCACCCCCACCCATTCTCCCGCAGCAGTGGAATGGCCTCAGCAGCTGTGCGGGTGACCTGGCCACTTCCCTGTTTAAACCCTCTGGGGGCTTCCCACTGTGTTCTCAAAGCCCAAAGTCCTTCATGGCCCCTCCCCAGCCGGCCCTGCCCTCCTTGCAGGTCTCTAACTCAGGCCTCTTCCTGCCCCAGGGTCCTTGTGGCTCCATGAGGCCGGACTGTCTCCTCTCTATCTGCACCCGGCCCCCTCCCACCCATCCTGAGGTCCTGCCTTAGCTGAAGATTTCCTAGGAAAGCCGTCCTGCCCTGCGCCCCGGCTTTCTGCTCACAGCACCCGTGCTGCCCCCGGAGCAGCCACGCCTGTGTGGTGAAGCGGTGAGTGGCATGGGCGCTTAGTGCCTGGGCTCCCAGGCCGGGTCTGAGTCTGCCCGGGGGGCCCGGCAGCTGGTGCTGTCTGCGTTCGCCCTGAGTGGAGGCAGGGGTGAGCCTGAGCGTTATCTCTAGGCACCACAGCCGAGGTGCCTGAGCATGGGTGTGGGGGATGTCCTGGGGTTCATAATTTTGGGGGGTTGCTAAACATTTAAACCCATGTTTGAACATTTACACCGACGGCACTGGGTTATGTATACTGACCCTCCGCTCGCTGCCCCCAATGGTTCTGTCACATCAGCACAGTCACAAGGTCTCCCACACAGAGGGGCGTCCAGGACCCCCTCCCCGAACCACTTCCTGGTGCCCAGCAGAAGCCCAGTGGGCCCAGAGTCCTCCTGAGACTTGGAACAGCAAGATCCCCCGCAGGACAGGGGACGTGGACTTCAGCAAGCTGGGCCTCTTGAGGGCTGGGGGCTCGGGGTCCTGGCCCTGGGGTTGAACTGGGGGAGTCTCATCTATCCATCCCCCCCATGACCCAGCCTGCCCCCTCTCCTCCACCCTCTACCAGAGACCACACCTCTCATCTCAGAGCCACCCTCCACCTCACACCACCCTCAAAGCTGCTTCCTCTCCCACCTTCCCTCACTGCAGGCAGCCCCTCTCCCCAAAGGGCTCGCTTCCCAGCCAACCCAGTGCCCACTGGCCCTGCATCCTCCATCTCCCATTCACTCCGTGAACAGCTTCCGAGGGTCTCCTCTTGGCCAGCACTGCAGCTGGGCGAAGGGTGGGGTGGGGCTGAGGTGTCCTTACTGAACGAAGGGTGGGGTGGGGCTGAGGTGCCATTATTGAAGACCCAGGTCAGGTGCCACCTCCAGTAGGATGGGCTTCCGGAGGGATCCCCAGGAACCGCTCCCTTCCCTTGGGGAGCCCTTAACACTGTATCTCTTGTCATACTCTCTCCTCCCAGTATCTCCACCCCTTTTCATTTCTCTGTTCCCCGTTTTCAGCTCAGGGCCCAACACAGCAGGTGACAGAGACTATTTGTGGGTGTATCTACCACCATCTTCCCAAACTACACCTGGGCTTCAGGGGTTCAGAGCGCCCCTGAATGCAGTCTTTGTCCAGAGCCAGAATCTCAGATTTGGGGTCGCCTATGGGACATCTGTGCTTCCCGAACGCAGGTCTGTCCCAGGGCCCCAGAAACGGAAGAAGTAGTGGTGCATTGGCTCTGGGGCCGGGCTCCACCCTCCCTGGGGCTCCCACCCCAGCCCTGCGGGGATCTGACGAGTGCCAGGGAGGGTGCGTCCCTTGGCCTCATCTTTCTCTCCAGGCCCTCACATGGCTGCTCGAGGGTGTCCCCCACTCCCATGTCCTCATTAGGGTATCCGTTCTCACGTATGCACTCAGGAGGCGTTGCCTGTGATCAGTCCCGGGAATCCGAGACCACTTCCCTGTGGACAGTATGGCCAGGCACATGCCTCCTGCATCAGAGCCGGAAAAGCTGAACCCTGAGAGGAACGACAGTCAAGGGCACCCTGCAGAGAACTGGACTCCCAGACAGATGACGGTGCCACCCAGCTAGACCCCAGCCAGGGCTGACACTGTAACACACACACACACACACACACACGCACAAACATACATTCACACCCAAGCAGCTTAGGATTTTGTGGTTTCACATCTGTGCTATGTGAAGCTCCTTGCGAGGGGATGACTAGTGGGCAGTGGGAGGGCACAGACCAGCTGGGACCCCTGGGTGGGCCCTTCAGTGCCCACTGCGCCCTTTAGCCTCTGTGCTCAGGCTCAGGGGCCAGGCTCCCTTGCCAGTGGCTGCAGGTGCTAGGGTTAGGGTTAGGCTTGGGGTTAAGGTTAGGGTAGAAATCCCTTTTTACTGCTCTCAATTGGTTCCCAGTCCTCTGTTCCAGGGTAGAGACGCTGAGGTAGGGAAGGGTGGGGTGAGATTTGGGGTGGAGTGGGTGGGACCTGCTGGTCAGTTGCATAAGAGGGGGCGCAGGGATGATTCGCTCCCCCTCCTGGGACACCTGGGCAGGGGGGAAGACGGGACAGGGCAAGGAAGGGCAGGGTTTGGAGGAGGACCAGGTGTTGGGGCGGGACAGGCAGGTGTGGGCGCAGAGCAGGCTCTCCACGGAGTGCAGGAGGTGGCGCCGGCGAGGTCGCCAGGCGTGTCCGGAGCGGAGAAGTCCCCGGGTGTAAGCGGCCCTTTCAGCCCTGGCAGAGGAGGCACGCCCGGGACGCTGGACCAGCCGTGTGGCAGGGAGGAGAGGGTCTTCCGACAGAGAAGCGAGCCCTGGCGCGGGCCGGAGGAGGGAAGACCGGGCAGGAGCCGCGGGGAGCCGGGCCGCGCGGGGAGGTGCGGGCGCAGAGCTGCGCTCCAGGGAGGCCTCCCGACGCCCAGGCCGGAGCCGGGGAAGAAGCCTCGGAGAAGACCGGCGAGCAGGGACCAAGGGGAGGCGGCCTCCTGACCGGTCAATCCTGGTCCCCGCGCGCTGGAGAGGAGGTGTCCCCCGAGGCAGGGGTTCAAGCAGGTGAAAAGAGGCCGCCCCTCTGCCCGCAGTGGGGAGCGCGCCCCCAGGGCCTCCGCCGTAATTTCCCTTCCCGGGGCGCCTGGGAGAGGCGGGCGGGTTTTGCACAGGGCTGGATACGCAGGTTCATCAGGACAAAGAAAACCCAGGCAGCAAAGTCTGAGGCTTGGGACCGAGGAGGGAAGGAGGCAGGAGGGAGTGGACAGGGGAGGGCAGGGGTCTCCTGAGCACCGAGTGGGCGCTGGGTGGGCCTCCTCTCTGTTCTGAAACTTCCGGCGTCCGGCCAGGTCCGTGCTCCAGAATCGCCCTCATCTCCTGACTCACTGAGAGCACAAGAATCGCTCAGGGCTCCTGGGCCAACTCCGGCTCAGCCCCGAGGGACAGGCTTGGAGGCAGAGATGTGGGGCATGGGAGGACTGGCAGGTGGAGGAAAAGGGCCTGGAGGGGAGAGGTCAACAACCAGAGGGAGATGTTGGCTGGGTCCACACCCACCGTGGGGCGTCCACACGCGCTGTGGGTTAGGCTGTCTACACTGGTGGGAGCAGGTGGAACAGATGCCCCTGTCCTCAGTGTGAGGGGAGTGGGCAGGATGACGGGGCACAAGGATGAGCAAGGAGAGGTGCTGGCCCAGCAGACGCAGGAGGCGGGAGGACACGGGATTTTGAGCAATGGGAGGGAGGTGATAGGAATTATTTGAAGGGGGCATCATGGAGCCCAGACAGGCAGAAAGGGTCTAAAGATTTAAACCCCACTCCAGCAGCAGCTACATCATATATAAAAGGATGAATAAAGCCAAGGGTATACAGCTTACAAGAAACATACCTATCACATCACCCAGAGAGAGGACAGTTAAGCACCCAATGCCAACCAGAAAGCTGATGTGGCTGCATTTCCAGCAGGCAAAGCACTTTGGAGGTAAATGTAATTACTGGAGATGAAGAAGGGAATTTCACAGTAAGTCCAATTCAGCAGGAAGATGCTGGCCTTAAATGCATGCACTGGAGGAGAAGGCTGAAAATTAATTGGCTATGCATCCGTCTCAGAAAGTTAGAGAAAGAGCAGTATAAATCTGAAGAGAGAATGAAACACAGATAATCACAGAACTTAATGAAATGGAAAACAAACTTACAGCACACGGCAGCTTGACCGAGGCTGCAGGCTGGTTCTTTGCGCAGCCCAGGGACCCCCTGGTTGGAGGAGTGGCGGTCAGGAGAGCGAGGGCTTGGGTGAGCCTGGTTCAGCTGGTTGCCAATGGCACTGGGGCCTCAAGGTCTTTCCATTTGTCTGTTCTATCTCCTGTCATATCGGCTTCATCCCAAACCTAGATCCTGAAGGGCTGCCAAGGGCAGCTCTGATTCCCTGTGGGTGTGTGGGGGCCACTTCCCAGAGATCCTGGAAGCCCCATCCCAGGGCTGCTCACCCCTCATTGGGCCGAGGGTGTATGAGCCCACTGAACCGTAAGCCGAGGCCAGAGAGAGGCCCTTGATGATCTCAGACCTGAGCCCACTTCCCCCACAGCCCAGGCCCCCATGGGAATAGTGGGTCCCCAAGAGGAGGGAGATGGATGTTTGGGGGGACAATGTGGTATTTCTAGATATTAGTACTTCTCAATGATTCGGCCTAATTTCGAGTCAGCCTCTGTCGTGCCAGGTGGCAAACTTAACCACAGCCAATTCCCTGGGACGCACATGTGCTCCTGGGGTGGCCCTTCCAGGACACACCTGCCTGGTCAGTCTCCAGTGAGGTCCAGGCGGCCTCGGCCCAGACCCCTCTGCAGTGCAACAGACCACAGCCAGACCACTGCTCTGTCCATGGAGCCCGCCTCGGGCTGGGCCCCTGCCGTCCTCCCAGGTCCTCGGATGGAGCAGCCTGTCTGGACAGAATGGCGGGTGGTGAGACCAGGGGACACAGGTACTACACGGCATGAAGGCTTGCCATGCACAGTGGCTCCACACCTCGACTCCCCTGAAACTCCAATCCCCTTCTCATCCAGTGTCTCTCCACCCGGCCCAGGAGTGTGGGGACTGAGCCCCAGCACTGAATTGGGGGTTCCAGGGTAGGGACCCTCACCTGCAAAGCAGCCCTTGGCCGAGGGGTTGCAGATGAGGTGGGACCTGGGTCCAGTGCCCCAAGTACAGCCGCAGCCACCCCAGGTATCTAGGATGGGCCATGATTGATCTGTCCCACCCCATTGAGCACCTACGCTTGCAGAAGGCGATGCTGTGCGGCCCAGGCCACCCGTCACACACCCCCGCTCCGAAGGTGGGTCCAGGCTCTCTTTGTGCCTGGGCCTCTGCCACAGGGTTGTCCCATCCACCAGGGGTGTGTGGGGGAGCCCAGTGGGTCTGGCCCCACTCCCGACCCGGAAGCTCACATACAGGGCTGGGTTCCGCTCATGAGGCGCCAGCTCAGGTGACAGGCGATGTCACCTCCCGAGCCCCAGGTGAGCCCTCAGGAGCCTTCCTCCACTGCCCACCCACAGGCCCCGCTGTGAGGCGAGGCTGAGCGTCACCTCCCACCCGGCCCTCTCAGCCAGCTCACTCAGCCTCTGGGTATGGCGGGGCTGCCAGTCCTTGCAGGAAGTCTGATCTCCGGAAGAACAGAAGACCACAGGGAGACCCAGACCAGACCCCCCAACACCTGCTCCCCACCACCGCCGCTCGGCCCCCAGGGCTCCCTCACAAGCTCGGCCCTCCCCACACCATTTCTCCTTGGAAGGGTCCTAATGCCCCAGACCTGGCACCTGCAGCGTCTGTCAGGGAGCCCCTGAGTCCAGCCCCCTCCTCCGCAGACACCGACTGAGCTCAGCTGCGTGCAGGCCGGTACTGAACACGCACACCCGGGGAGCCGGAGCTGGGGGCGGGGCGTGATGTCACAGGAGCAAACACAGAGCCTGGGGCCAGGAGGTGGGAGATGGGGAGGGGGCTCAGGGAACTAGGGACACTTCACTTCCTGGGAAGAAACCGCAGACTGCAGACCCAGGCCAAGGCTGTCCAGGCTCCCAGGCTCGACTGAGGCTGGAGAGGGAGGGCTGAGAAGGGGCAGGAACTTGAGGGTCTGGGGGCCCCCATAGCTCAGCGGGTGAACAGGAGCCCCCAGGGCAGTCCCTGAAATTTCACTAGCCACTCTTCCTCATCTGCAGAGGAGCCTTTGGCCTCAGAGTCTGCAGACCACACACACATGCACACACTCACACGCACACACTTGCTCACATGCACACACTTATGCAATGCATGTACACGCACACGTGCACACATGCACACACATGCACATGCATGGGCACACATGCACACATCCACACACACAGACATGCTCACATGCACACACACAGACACACACACACACACACACACCCTCACATGCACATGCATGCACACACAGGCACACACATACATGCACACCCAGACACACTCACATGCACACACACACACGCACGCATGTGCACACACATGCACACACAGAATGCTTACATGTGCATAGTGCACACATGCACACACGCACACATGCACACACAGACATGCTCACATGCACATACATGCACACACACGCACACACACAGACATGCTCCCTTTGGTAGTAGTGAGGTGGGGAGGTGACCAGTCCAAACATGTTACAGGGCCTGCAGCACTTCTGAGAAGAACATCAGAGGCCAAGGACGCCACACAAGGGGAAGAGCCTCAGTCCCCAGAGTGTCCCCAACCCACAGCATGTACACCTGCAGCAAGCTGTGCCCTGCACAGGAAGGGAGCCCTGTGTGGCTGATGCGAGTAGGAGGGGAGACACGCATGCTGAGGGCAACAGGAACAAAGGAGGAAAGGGGGAGACAGAGACACACACACACACAGACACACACACACAGAGACATACACACACAGAGAGAGACACACACAGACACAGACACACATGGAGACACAGAGACACACAAACACACAGACACACACAAAGAGAGAGACACACACACAGACATACACACACAGAGACACACACAAAGAGAGACACATACACAGAGAGACAGAGAGACACAGAGAGAGAGAGAGAGAAAGGGAGGGAGGGCAAAAGAAAAGAAGGAAGAAAGGAGGTCAAAAGACAAATGACACACTGGGAGGGAAGTGGAAGCGTACGAGCCAAAGGGCTGATTTCTGCGCATTTAAAAAGAGTTCCTAAAAATCTAGGGGAAAATTAGAAAAATTCAGAAAACATGAACAGTTTACAGAAAAATTCTTACAAATGTCTCTTTAACTGCACGAAAAGAGGCTCAACCACCTTCATAGTCAGAAAAACGCCAATTAAAATTGCACTGAGATGTCTTTTCTCACCCCTCATATTGGCAAAATCCAGCAGTCTCGGCGGGTCACCAGGCCTGCCCTGGGGTGAGGCTGTGAAGAAACGCCCGCGCAGGCACGGCTGCGGGAATGGAGAGGAATCTGTCAGTGCCCTGCAAGACCGTGTCTGGGTTAGCCTTCCACCCGCTCCCAGGATTCCATCCCAGAGGCGTAGCCCCGACACACAAAATGCCGCAGTGTGGAGCTTCTCGATGGGGCGCTATTTGAAATAGCAGGGGTTGGGAGCCTCCCGACTGCCCATCACTGCACGGCTGTCCCAGTGCACTGGTGCACATCCCCCAGGGGGACCACGCAGCTGCGGGAAAGAGTGAGCCCGGTCCCTAAGCACTGATAGGAAGCCTTCTCCAGGCTGCATGAATCCATGTGAAAGTCTAGGGAAGAACGGCGCCATGGGTATCCTTGGGGATCTGTGGATATCCATGGGGATCCGTGGGGAATCTGTGGGTATCCGTGGAGATCTGTGGAGATCTGCGGGGGATCTGTGGATATCCACGGAGATCTGTGGGGGAAAAAAATCTGTGGATATCCATGGAGATCCGTGGGGATCGGTGGGGGATCTGTGGGGATCCGTGGGGATCTGTGGGGATCTGTGGGTGTCTGTGGGTATCTGTGAGGATCCGTGGGGATCCGTGGGGATGCCACCTTTTGTGTAAGGGGAAGAATGTAAATACAAACAACTCTTTTATATATTTGCAAAAAAGAAACAATGACAAGATTATAGGTGAGAGGAGAGAACAGGGTGGGGGTAGGGGGACAGGAAAAAAAGGGAGATTTCTCAGAATGCACCTTCTCAAAAAGTCAAAATCAAAGCCTTGGTTTTGTAATAGTGTGTATGTAGTTTTCTGCATGCAATAAAAATACTAAATAAAAATCCCCAGAAACCGAGAATAAATGGAAACAAAGGAACCTCAAACTGTATATCAAGTTGGTAAGTTAATTTTACAGAAAAGGCAATTATTCCAGCAGCCTCAGAACACTGCACTTTGAAGATACATCCTGGTGGGACACACTCCCAGGACAGAAGGAGCTGCAAAGAAGTCTTGTTCTTAGTTCATAACCTTCTTCTTTGTAATAATGCTAGCCTTTTTATTTTGAAACTATTATGTTATAGGATAAAGCGAATATGTGAATATTCTTAAAAACAAAGTTTTTCAGCATAAAAATGAAGAGATACAGTTTTAAAAAATCAAGTTAAATAAAAGCCCTGAAATCCTGGTTTTGAATTGGAAAGAGGGCAAACATGTGATTTGTTTCCTTTTTTAAAAAGGATACTCAGCCTTGGCAACATGGTGAGACACCATGTCTACGAAAAAACGCCAGTGTGGTGGCACACCTGTGGTTCCAGCTACCACTGCTGCTGCTGCTGCTGGTGGTGGTGATGGGGCAGGGGTTGCGGGAGCGGAGGTGGGAGAATCGCTTGAGCATGGGAAGTCAAGGCTACAGTGAACTGTGATTGTGCCATTGCACTCCAATTCGTGTGATAGAGGGAGACCCTGATTTAAAAAATAATAAAGAAAAGGATACTTACATCCTAACTTTGCTAACTGCAGAGACATAGAGGCAATGCAAACCCCATAGCAATGAGCACACCTGTATCTACATTATGAGATCTAAGTACCATCACCACTGAAAGAACAGAGCTGCAGACGACCTGAGGCAGGACAGTATGGAATTAGGGCAACCAAGGGTTAAGGCAGAAGCAAGGGAACAGCAGGTGCGGCCAGTTCTAGACAGGACGAGGCGGCATACAGGCCACATCCTCAGTCCTGTGATGACAAGACAGAAGTTTCCACCTCAGCCTCTGATTGACTGCAGGCCGAGTTTCCACCTCAGCCTCTGACTGACTGCAGGCCGAGTTTCCACCTCAGCCTCTGATTGACTGCAGGCCGAGTTTCCACCTCAGCCTCTGACTGGTCACACGCCAATCCTTCATATATTGTAACCCACTGGAGGCCTCTAAAGGGCACCTAGGGGTGTTACCAGATTCTTTCAGCTTCATAAGAACCCTAGAGAACACTGCAGTCGGGGCTCTTGAGCTGCTTGCTCGAGCCTCTCCTGCTCTGTGGAGTGCAATTTCGCTTCAGTGAATCTGCACTTTTCGTTGTTTTTTTTTTTTGATGCTTCGTTCTTTTATTGCTTTGTTTGTACGTTTTGTTTAATTCTTTGTACAAAGAGCCTAGACAGCATACAGCCAAGAGTTTCTATCTGGTAACATATTTTGGAGAGCCAGCCAGGAGGTAAGCCCTGTTGTCTGGGGTTTAGATTTCCTTTCCTTCTTCTTTTTTATCTTCTTTTGTCAAAGCCGCGATCTGCGGGCATGGGTTAGGCAGTTAAAAGCCAGTAGGGTGCCTGCCGCTTGAAGTCTCTAGTAACCGGATAACTCGGTCATGGAACAGGACACCTAGGTCCTGCCGAGAGCAAGACAAATCCGTGCAACAGTCGGGTTTGTGTATGTGCAGCAATAATGTCTTTGAGATGATTTAATTCTTCATCTTCTAATTTCTCCCCTCGCCTTGCTAATGCTTTGTCGGGACCAGGGATTGCTAAACTGTTGCATTTGAGCCCCCATCACCATCTCATGCCCCTTTTGTTTATGCACGGAAAGTGCAGAAAAGGACGAGCTTAGGGAAAACCCCACGTCTTGGTGGTTCCTGCTCAAACAGTATTTCTCCTGTTCAGACCGCAAAGTAAATTACCAGCCACAGGGATTCATATACCACCCTCTGGTGTCGCTGGCTACAAGAAATACCCCACCAGCCTTAATGTTATTAATATTAGGATTTTTGAGTTTCATCCTGGAACAAATGAAGAGCTGGAAGTAAAGGGCCTACCATAACCCTGTGAAGAATGCAGGAAGACATGGTCCATCTAAATTGGTGGGACGTGAAAAGCCAGGGATTATATCCAGGTACAAAGGGAATCACAGTGGGCCACTGGCTGTGGAGAGAAAACATCCAAAGCGGCACTGGTGCCCACCTGAGGTCAGAGACGCCTGACACTGTAAGAGTGGACCCTGAAGGGGGGGCCTTGGGATGCAAGGCTAAACCTGAGACTTCCCCAGGGGGACGCCCCAGGCGGAAATTTCGGGTCCACAGATAAGTCCTCCTTAGGGTCTCGTTTCTCTCCCAGACTGCTATGGGACCCACCCCATCTATTCCACCTGATTCCCTGCCTGGCTGCACCCTCAACCATTGAAATCAATTTGACCCTGACAATCTGAGAAGAAAATGCTTGAGTTTTTTATTTTAATACTACTTGGCCACAATATCAGCTAGACAGTCAGGTGCAATGGCCAGACCATTGAAGGCTACATCGTAATACTAACCTACAATTATACTTACTTTGCAAAAGGCAGGGTAAATGGTCAGAAATACCATACAGTGAAGCCTTTATGGCTTTGTATCAGAATGCTTCAATCTGTAAAGCTCCTAACACTGGCCCTCGGAAAGAAAGTCCTAAGACTGAGCCAGACCCTGGCAATGACCCCCTCGTCCAAGACCCCTTTTCTCTCAGAGGGAACTATGGCCACCCCCAAATGATCCTTTGCCACATGCTCCAACTATGCCAGGCCAGCCAGAGGAACAAACTACACGAAGCCCCTAACACACCAGCAGTGGAGCACCCGACTCAGCAGCTCCCCGCACTGTTGCCTCCCAGGGAAGCCGCGGGGGCAGGAGGGCCAGCTTCGCCTCCCAGGGAAGCCGCGGGGGCGGGAGGGCCACAGCTTGAATGCAAGTCCCATTTCCCATGACTGATAGGCAACAATGTAAAGAAAAGCTGGGAAGGGATTCTGAGGACGCTGGTAGCTTTGCAGGCTGTTTCCAAACCTTGGCTCTGGCTTTCGATTGATCGTGGAGAGAGGTCCAATTCATTCTGGCAACCGACTGCACCCCTATGGAAAAGGAAAGGGTTTTTGAGGCTGCCCGCCGCGAGGCAGACAATATGTTGGCCTGAAATCCCCAGGGCAATCACCTGGGCCCAGACATGGCGCCCACCACCAGCCCTAATTGGGATCCAGCAGTTTCTTGACACACTCCTTGGAGGAATGAAAAAGGAGATAATCAAGACTGTAAATTCCAATGAGGTTATAAAGTGTCTCTTAAAGGAAATAGTCCCCTGGTTCTGGTTACCCCAGAGCCTCCAAAGTGATAAGTAACTCAAGGCGGTTGCTAAGGCTCTCGGAATCAAATACTATTTACATTCAGCATGGAGGCCTCAATCCTTCAGGAAAGTAGAAAGGGCTAACCAAACTCTAAAACAAGCGTTAGCTTAGCTATGTCAGGAAACATCAGAAATTTGGGTCAGCTTACTGCCCGTAGCCCTCTTGAGACTCTGTAACTCCCTGAAAGCAAAAAAAAAATATGAGCCCATATGAAATGTTGTATGGGAGGCTGTTTTTAACTCATAATCTACTTAATGATCCAGAACGGCTGGGGGGTGGGAGTGGTTAATAAAAGACATCGTTACTCTGGGGCAATTTCAGCAGGGATTATGAAAGTTTGGAATTCAAAGGCTCCCCATGCCAGGAGCTAACCAACAACCCAAAATTAGGCCAGGAAATAAGGTACCTGTTAAAACATGGAAAGAGCCAGGTGCAGTGGCTCACACCTGTAATCCCATCTCTTTGAAGGCTGAGGCAGGCAGATCACCTGAGGTCAGGACTTTGAGACCAGCCTGGCCAACATAGCGAACCCCTGTCTCTACTAAAAATACAAAAATGAGCTGGGCATGGTGGTGCACGCCCACAATCCCAACTACTTGGGAGGCCGAAACAGGAGAATTGCTTAAACCTGGGAAGTGGAGGTTGCGGTGAGCTGAGATTGCTCCACTGCACTCCAGCCTGGGCGAGAGAGCAAGACTCTGTCTCAAGACAAACAAACAAACAAACAAACAAACAAACAGAAAAAAACAAAAGCAATCAATCAAACAAACAAAAAACACGGAAAGACGGGTCATCCACTCAACAACTACAATCCAAATGGAAGGGACCGTTTTCAGTGGTGTTAGCCATGCCTTCGGAGGTCAAAGTACTAGGATTAAGTAGCTGGATCCATCTTTCCAAGGTCAAGCCTGCGACACCTGGAGCTCTGGACCTGGAACCTGAGGCTCCCACCAGCCACTGCACCCGTGAACCTGTAGAAGACATGCGGTACCTGTTTAAAAGACAGACAAAAGATAAGTAAATGCCCACCAACACTCCCTGGTGCCTTTGTTGCATAGTTACTGTAAGCTGGATACTCGTAGTCATTTTTATGATTTTACAACTTAATTGCCTTCATCTGAATGGATGGAATAACTTCCTTTGTAATAATAAACCAAATGGTTTTTCTCTGTTTAAGAAAAGCCACAAAAGACCCCAAATGAAGCCAGTCTGGGAAATCAGTATCATATTAACTTTTTGGCATTTGCTTGCCATACCTTAATGGTTCTCAAGGACGCTGGCCTGTCAGCAAGTGTAGAAAATGATGTATATGGTGGTCCATTTTTAAAATAAAATGCCCCAGATAGGCTGGGGTCTGCAAACTACAGAAGAACAGGTACACTATGCCCCTAACTCCATAGCCAGTGCCTGCTGGTAGGGGCCCCTTAGCTGCCCTCACCCGAACCAAAGAGTTTAGTTTAGACTAGCTTGCAGAATAGCTAACTTTATTCTCATCAGCTTGCCTGACTACCTGGGTCATCATTCAGATACTTGAAGAGCCCCTGAGATGACTGCAATGCATTGTGGGCTGTAACAAAACGCAGCAACACAACCTTAAAGAAAACACCTAAAACCGCAACCCAATGACTAATAGGTGATGTCCGGGAAGATCGTGACCCCATAGTACTCAGCCTATGAAGAACCGGGGGAGGGACCTGAGCACTAGGGGACAAATTGCTTGTTGTAACTTTACTGAGTGTGCCTGTCTACCAGACACCTGATCTTGCAAGACTGCTTTTTTTTTTTTTTTTTGACGGAGTCTCGCTCTGTCGCCCAGGCCGAAGTGCAGTGGCGCGATCTCGGCTCACTGCAAGCTCCGCCTCCCGGGTTCATGCCATTCTCCTGCCTCAGCCTCCCGAGTAGCTGGGACTACAGGCGCCCGCCACCATGCCTGGCTAATTTTTTATATTTTTAGTAGAGACAGGGTTTCACCTTGTTAGCCAGGATGGTCTCGATCTCCTGACCTTGTGATCTGCCCGCCTCGGCCTCCCAAGGTGCTGGGATTACAGGCGTGAGGCACCGCGCCCGGCCAAAGCTGCTATTAAAAGTCTCACTTCCGCCGTTCTTGGTGCCTCTAAGTCCATTCTTTGGGTTTTGACAGGTAAGCATGTTTCTCACAGCAAGGGAAATAATTGGCCATACTGTTGGTTTATTAAACTTCACCTTGTTTGTTGGCTTTGCATGACTACCAAAAGCCTGGCATATGCCAGACCTGTGTCCTCCTTGTTGGGTTTACTGGGATCGCTGCAGGAGGAGGAGCCTTGGAATCCAGCATAAGGGGCCTCAGGAGACTGTGATATCCCTCTGACAGCAGAGGGCCTCACTAGGCTTCAGCAACAGCTGGACTCCCTGGCTGCCGTAGTCTTACAAAATCAAAGAGCCTTAGAGCTCTTTGGCAAAGAGGAACTTGCTTATATTTAAAGGAAGAATGTTGTTTTTGCATCAGCCAGTCTGGTTTAGCATAAGAAAATACTAAAAATGTAATTTCCCAGGCAAAGAAAATGGAGTCTTTGGGAACTCCCACGGAAACCTGGCAACACCGGTTGCTATCTGCATTACTTCCTTTGGTAGTACCAGTTATTGCCACATCTTTGGCCTTAACTTCTGGTCTAACTTTGTTTAAAATGTTAACTGATTTTTTTTGCTCTCTCATTTACAGCAATTCCATGTTTGTGTGATACTTGTGCAAGGGTTTCAGCCAGTTTGGGAACAAAATCCAAAATTGGGCCCAAATGCCCAACCATTGTGACTGGGTCAGGTCAGCTACACCCTTTACAAGCAAGCACAAGGCTGCTGGATCCACGGATACCCACCTAACTACCTAGGGACAGAGAGCCAGGACCCCCAGTAGGCAGGGACAGTCAAAAAAAAAAAAGATTTATGGGGATCATGTCTCTCAGTGGGAAATGAGGCAGGAGGATAGGGAATTAGGGTCGCCACGGGTTAAGGCATAAGTGAAAGAGGAGCAGGTGCAGCCAGTTCCAGGCAAGACGAGGCAGCACACGGGCCACATCCGCTCTTGGGATGACGAGACGGAAGTCTCCACTTCAGACTCTTGACTGATTGATCACAGCGCAGGCCAATCCTTCATGAGACGTAACCTGCTGGAGGTCTCCAAAGGGCACCTAGGGGTGTTACCAAATTCCTTCAGCTTCATAAGAACCCTAAAGAACACTGCAGTTGGGCTCGTGAGCCGCTTGCTCGAGCCGCTCCCAGCCGCGGAGTGCACTTGCGCGTCAATGAATCTGCGCTTTCGTTGCTTCTTTTGATGCTTTGTTCTTTCGTTGTTTTGTTTGTGCGTTTTGTTCAGTTCTTTGTTCAACACGCCAAGAACCGGGACAACTCACAGTCAAGACCTCCCCTCCAATAACAGAATGTCAGACTCCAGAGCAGGAAGTGTGTGGGATGGCCTGGGAGTGCTCAGGGCCGTTGCAGCTCAGCACCACGTGTCTGCGTGAGGTGCGCAGCTGGTCTGTGCACGTGCTGTGGGAGTATGAGGTGGGACAGCTGCTCTGGAAAAAGTCTGGCCATTTCTTTCTTTCTCTCTCTTCCCTCCCTCCATCCCTCCCCCCCTCTCTCTGTCTCTCTTTTCTTTTCTTTTCTTTTCCCTTCTTCCTTCCTTTCTTTCCTTCCTTCCTTCTTTCTTTCTTAGATGGAGTTTCACTCTCATCACCCAGGCTGGAGTGCAGTGGCACAATCTCGGCTCAAGTGATTCTCCTGCCCCAGCCGCCTGAGTAGTTGGGATTACAGGTGTGTCACCACGCCTGGCTAATTTTTGTATTTTTAGTAGAGACGAGGTTTTACCATGTTGGCCAGGCTGGTCTCGAACTCCTGACCTCAGGTGATCTGCCCACCTCGGCCTCCCAAAGTGCTGGGATTACGGGCGTGAGCCACCGCGCCTGGCCTGGCAATTTCTTAGAGAACGATTTACTTGACCTTTGGACACAGCAACTCTGGACACGGCAACTCTGTACCCCAATATTTACCCAAGAGAATGCGGGACTCAGGAATGTACCCGAGCCAAACACGGCACACAGCCCAGGGTCGGCCAACAAGGAAGTGGATAAGCAAACGTTGTAACGCTCATGCGTGGAACGCTCACGCGTGGGATGCCACTCAGCCATGCAAGGGAACAAACTGCCAGGACCCTGGCCGCACGCATCACAAGGAGCCTGCAGGAAAGGATATGGACCACATGGTTTGACTTATGTGACGTTCTAGAGCAGGCCAAAGTAACCTATGGTTTTAAAAGTTTCAGAACAGTTGTTGTCTTTGCAGAAGGGAGGAGATGGGGTTTCACTGGAGCTGGGCAGGGTAGGATGTGGGTTGGGGGATTAGTAATGTCTATATTTTGTTAGGGGTTTGGGTTACACGGGTGTATGCATTTGTCAGAACTATGGAATGGCACCCTCAAGGTGCATGCATTTCACTGAATGTGGTTTCACCTCTAAACGTAATTGATGATATGTTAGGTAGTTATGAAGTGTAAGCTAGAGTCTCTGTGGGAAGCGTGCAGGTGGCTACAGCTTACTTTGAAGTCCATCAAGAATAGGAGATGGGTTGGGGTGAATATATGATAAAGCAAATGTAACAACATATGAATTGTAGGATCCAGGTGCCAGGTATACGGGTGTTCATTGTAAACTTCTTTCCATTTGTCCTGTGTTCTTGAAATTGTTCATAATGTGTTGGGAGAAGCCACAGGGTCATGTCAGAGGACACAGGAGTCAGCCTGAAGAGGACCCAGTGCCAGAGGTGATGGCTGGGGCCCCTGGGGATGCTGTGAGAGCTCTCCACAAACTTTGTGGCTTAAAACATCAGAAATGTATTCTTTTTTTTTTTTTTGAGACGGAGTCTCGCTCTGTTATCCAGGCTGGAGTGCAGTGGCACGATCTCCGCTCACTGCAAGCTCCAACCTCCTGGGTTCACACCATTCTCCTGCCTCAGCCTCCCGAGTAGCTGGGACTACAGGCGCCCGCCACCACGCCCAGCTAATTTTTTTGTATTTTTAGTAGAGACGGGGTTTCACCGTGTTAGCCAGGATGGTCTCGATCTCCTGAGCTCGTGATCCACCCGCCTCGGCCTCCCAAAGTGCTGGGATTACAGGCGTGAGCCACCGCGCCCGGCCCAGAAATGTATTCTTTTGTGGTTTTGGAGGCCAGAAGTTTGAAGTCAAGGTTTCAGCAGGACTTCATTTGCTCTGAAGGGTCTCGGGCAGGATCCTCCTCTGACTTCCAGCTTCTGTGGCTTGAAGGGTTCCTTGGCCTGTGGCCATGACTCCAATCTGCTCTGGGGTCACGTGGCCTCCTCCTCTGTGCTCCTCTCCTCTTCTCTCTCTTGTAAGGACCCTTGTCACTGGATTTAGGACCCAGCCCAAATGCAGGATGATCTTGAGATCCTTAATTATATCTGCAAAGACCCCTTTTTCCGTAAGGCCGCATTCGCGGGTCCTGGGAGCTGGGCCATGAACGTCTCCGTGGGGCCCCACACTGCACACTGTCTCCCCCACTGTCCTGGAAGCCCTCGGGGATCAGGGGCTTCTCTCCTTATCTGAGCACCACAGCTCCTCAGCAAATGCTTATTGTGTGCATGAGAGTGTCTCTGTCCTACCCTAGCAGACCCTCTGGAGGGTAGGGCCTGTCTTTTGGGAAATGCCTTCTTCTCTGTAACTCAGGTGCAAGCCCTCGGGACAGGTGCATCTTCTCTGAGACTCGCCCGGGTCCCACCTCCAGCAGCTCGGAGGGTGCTGACAGTGGTGGCTAAAACTCAAGACAGGGAGCTGTGCGGCACCTCTCTGGTGGGCCCGCCCCCACGCCTCCACCACGGCCTGTCCCCTCTGCATCTGTCGGCCTCAGTGCTTCCAGATGCCTGAAGCAAAAGGCCCAAGAGCAGCGGCCTCTGACACTGCCCCTGGTTCTGGTCCTGCCTCGCCTCTGGGAGGTGGTTCTGCGGTGTGAACAGCTGGTGCGCCAATCACTGCCAGACCTTGAGCATAGAAAGGAGGCTTGGGCCACGGTTGCAGGATGCTTGTTGAAGTATCCCCAGACAGCGTGTCCAGGCAGCCCCATCACCCTGTCGCTGCCCTACGTCCCCGGAAACAGGCATCTGGGCCGGGTTAGACTGGGAGGAGGAAGGTGCGGCCCCTGTCCCCAGCTCCCTGCAGGGCTGTGCAAACTGAAAGGGCCAGGGCCACACCTTGACATTGGTTTGCTCTGTGTCATTAAAGACCTTTCTTCTGCTAATCATGACCACGGTTGTTATTCTTATTTGCAAAAATCCTGATAGGGTGAAACCGACCCACGTGCATGGGGAGGACGGCAGAGTAGCCTGGAAACCGGGTTAGGAATCTCCGTCTCCCTGGCAACCGAGCCCAGTGTGGGGAGAGCCGGGTCTCTGCTCCAAGAGCAGCCCAGAGCCAGGTCTCGCCTCTGGCATTTGTAGGCTCTGCCCCTGCTTAGACATGACTCTCTGGGTGTCCTGGCACCCCTTGCCCCATCCCAGGTTATGCACAAGCCAGGCCCTACCCACCTGTGCTGTCTTTTACTGTGTGGCAAATTGCCCCCAAACACAGGGACTTAAAACAACACAGTTTATTCTCTCAGTGTCTGTGGGGCGGGAATCCAGGCTCTGTGGTGGCTCTGGCTTACCGTCTCTCGTGGGTTGTACCGAGCCTTTGGGTTGGGGCTGCAGGCTCATCTGAAGGCTCAGCTTAGGGGATCTGCTCCCCAGCTCACTTGCACAGCTGTTGACTCAGCCCCTCATCGCTGTCACCTGGGCTTGTCCACAGGGCTTCCTCCCAGCACAGCAGCCAGCACCCCCCAGGATGCCAGAGAGCCAGAGAGCACAGCGAAGACAGAGCCACAGGCTTTGTAACCGGATCTCGGGAGCCACATCCCGTCACTCTGCTGTGCCAGCTTCATCAGAAGTAAGTTGGCAGGAGCAGCCTGTGTGAAAGGGGAGGGGAGTCCCTGAGGGTGAGAGCCGCAGGGGCGTGGAGCACTGGGGGCCCCTGGAGCCTGTCCACCATCCCACAGACCTAGGCACTGGAAGGTAGGGCCTGCCTTGCTCGAGGCCTGGCAGGGAACTTTCAAGTCTCTGAAGGGTAACTTGGCAGAGATTCCTATTCTAGGAGTAGACTGGCTGTGGTCAGCAGGGACCACCACTGAGTGCCACCCACAGCCCCTCCACTCTTGTACAGGGACACCTACTGAGTGCCACCCACAGTCCCCCACTCTTATACAGGGACTCTGGGTCCAGCTAAGAGACGCAGAGGCCAGCCTTGTGCCAGGGCACCTGTGCTTGTCCGCTGCCCCATGGCAAAGGCAGTGTGAAATTTGAAACGGACACATCAAACACAGGCGAGCACGGCTGGACCCAAATACCACCCCGCCTCAAACACTTCCCTGGCCCCTGTGGCCTTTAGTATAAAATCTTGCCCCTTTCCCAGCACACAGCCTGAGCCATCTCTGCCACTGCTGTGACCTCAGCTGCCCCCCGTCCTCCATCCCCCTTAGCCCGCCCTCACTCAGCTCCATCCCCTGCTCTCTCCTCCCTCCAGAACCCGCAGAGTCCTCAGGCCTGGCTCAGTGTCCCCCAGGAGGGGCCTTGTCTGACCACGTCTCTGACCAGGTCTCTCACTGCCTCACCCATCCCTGCAGCCCCTTTCCAGGGGACGGAGCCAGGTGCCTCGTGCTGGCTCATGGTCAGGTGGCAGGGAGAGGTCCACGGTTAGGCTGACTGTCCGTGTGTGAGGTTCTGAGAGGGATGGGACATTCGGGGAGGATGCAGGGGCCTGAGACCTGACCCTCACTGTGTGCCCAGGCCACCGGAGGGCATGCTGGGGACTGTTCAGTGCATAAGGACAGGCTGGGAGGAGCTCCCTGTGTCCTGGCTCTGGAGGGGAGGACGTTGCAGAGGGAGGAACTGCATGAGCCAGGGTTGAGAGGGAGGAAGGTGTGGGGTAGGGGGTGGTGGAGATACAGGAGGAAGTGGCAGGTGTGGGAGCAGGTGTGAGACTGTGGCTGGTCCTGGTAAAACTTCCTCTTCAGGCCTCTTCCTTTATGGCCTTGACCCTGGACCCAGGGAGGGTAAGCAGTAGGATGATGGGCAGGAATGGAACCGGGAGAGGCGTCAGTGCAGCCAGGGGCTCTGCGTCGGGACCTGCCCCGGCTGCCGGTGACAGCAACGTCCACAAGATACCCACCTGTAAGGAGCCGACGGTCCCTGGTGGGACAAGATCCACATGGAGGGGCTGCACCCCTGTGGCCTCCCAGAGCCCCGGTGTCCCCTCATGCTCCTGTGCTCCCCAGAGCCCCTGTGCCCTCCACACACCTGATCTGGGGGTCAGAGGGAACACTTAGGCCGAGAGGAGAAGCTGAGAAGGAGTTAGAGGGGTGCAGGGTGAGGTGGGGTTGGGGGAGGGAAGAGGGAGTGCTTTGGAAGCAGGAGGCTCAGTGGGATTTTGCTGGAGGATACCTGTGGGCCCTGCCTGGGAAGAGGTGGCTCTGGGACCCTTGGGAGTGGCTTGGCTAAAGGGGAGGGAGGTGGCTTGGCAGGAACAAGAGGAGTGGAGATGGGAAGGGCCCAGAGTGTGAACCCTTGCTGGGATTCCAGCCAACCTATGTGGATGACGGAGAGCACCCTAGCCTGAGGGCAGCCCTGAGACTCAGCCCTGCGTGGTCAGTGTCACATGGGGAGGCTCACAGTTGTGGTGGGCGTCAGGCACCGATCTCAGGGCCTGACTTGTGCTGTACCCTTGGCAAGAAGAGCCCTTGCCATCTGCTACTCAAGGCAGGACCCCATGGCCAGCGCCTCCAGGAGTGGGCCTGGGGACCTCTTTCTTTCCCTCTCCACTTCTTCCTTAGATGACCTTCCTTCCTTTCTCCACTTCCTCTCTAGACGACCTTCCTTCCCCTCTCCACTTCCTCCCTAGACGACCTTCCTTCCCCTCTCCACTTCCTCCCTAGACGACCTTCCTTCCCCTCCCCACTTTCTCCCTAGACGATCTTCCTTCCCCTCTCCACTTCCTCCCTAGACGACCTTCCTTCCCCTTCTCCACTTCCTCCCTAGACGACCTTCCTTCCCCTCCCCACGTCCTCCCTAGATGACCTTCCTTCCCCTCCCCACGTCCTCCCTAGACGACCTTCCTTCCCCTCCCCACTTCCTCCCTAGACGACCTTCCTTCCCCTCTCCACTTCCTCCCTAGACGATCTTCCTTCCCCTCCCCACTTCCTCCCTAGACGACCTTCCTTCCCCTCCCCACGTCCTCCCTAGATGACCTTCCTTCCCCTCCCCACTTCCTCCCTAGACGATCTTCCTTCCCCTCCCCACTTCCTCCCCAGACGATCTTCCTTCCCCTCCCCACTTCCTCCCTAGATGACCTTCCTTCCCCTCCCCACGTCCTCCCTAGATGACCTTCCTTCCCCTCCCCACTTCCTCCCTAGACGACCTTCCTTCCCCTCTCCACTTCCTCCCTAGACGATCTTCCTTCCCCTCCCCACTTCCTCCCTAGACGACCTTCCTTCCCCTCCCCACTTCCTCCCTAGACGACCTTCCTTCCCCTCTCCACTTCCTCCCTAGACGATCTTCCTTCCCCTCCCCACTTCCTCCCTAGACGATCTTCCTTCCCCTCCCCACTTCCTCCCTAGACGACCTTCCTTCCCCTCCCCACTTCCTCCCTAGACGATCTTCCTTCCCCTCCCCACTTCCTCCCTAGACGATCTTCCTTCCCCTCCCCACTTCCTCCCTAGACGACCTTCCTTCCCCTCCCCACGTCCTCCCTAGATGACCTTCCTTCCCCTCTCCACTTCCTCCCTAGACGATCTTCCTTCCCCTCCCCACTTCCTCCCTAGACGATCTTCCTTCCCCTCCCCACTTCCTCCCTAGACGACCTTCCTTCCCCTCCCCACTTCCTCCCTAGACGACCTTCCTTCCCCTCTCCACTTCCTCCCTAGACGATCTTCCTTCCCCTCCCCACTTCCTCCCTAGACGATCTTCCTTCCCCTCCCCACTTCCTCCCTAGATGACCTTCCTTCCCCTCCCCACGTCCTCCCTAGACGACCTTCCTTCCCCTCCCCACTTCCTCCCTAGATGACCTTCCTTCCCCTCCCCACTTCCTCCCTAGACGACCTTCCTTCCCCTCCCCACTTCCTCCCTAGACGACCTTCCTTCCCCTCCCCACTTCCTCCCTAGATGACCTTCCTTCCCCTCTCCACTTCCTCCCTAGACGACCTTCCTTCCCCTTCTCCACTTCCTCCCTAGACGACCTTCCTTCCCTCTCCACTTCCTCCCTAGACGACCTTCCTTCCCTCCCCACTTTCTCCCTAGACGACCTTCCTTCCCCTCTCCACTTCCTCCCTAGACGACCTTCCTTCCCCTCCCCACGTCCTCCCTAGATGACCTTCCTTCCCCTCCCCACTTTCTCCCTAGACGATCTTCCTTCCCCTCTCCACTTCCTCCCTAGACGACCTTCCTTCCCCTCCCCACGTCCTCCCTAGATGACCTTCCTTCCCCTCCCCACTTCCTCCCTAGACGACCTTCCTTCCCTCTCCACTTCCTCCCTAGACAACCTTCCTTCCCCTCTCCACTTCCTCCCTAGACGACCTTCCTTCCCCTCTCCACTTCCTCCCTAGACGACCTTCCTTCCCCTCCCCACGTCCTCCCTAGATGACCTTCCTTCCCCTCTCCACTTCCTCCCTAGATGACCTTCCTTCCCCTCTCCACTTCCTCCCTAGACGACCTTCCTTCCCTCTCCACTTCCTCCCTAGACGACCTTCCTTCCCCTCCCCACTTCCTCCCTAGATGACCTTCCTTCCCCTCCCCACGTCCTCCCTAGATGACCTTCCTTCCCCTCTCCACTTCCTAGACGACTGTGTCTGCTCTCTTCCTTGTGCTAGCAATGCCCACGTCTGTCTCCAGGCAAGGCTTCTCTTCTGCAACCCTGATGTCCTTGAGTTCTCTTGCTGGAGGCCTCCCAGGCATCTCTGACTTAAGAAAGTGCTTCACACACCTCTCTAGTGACCATTCCTCCCAGCCCCACACCCTCGGCCCATCTGCATCCCCAGCTCCCGGCCCAGGAGGCAGGCATCCTGCACAGAGACATCACCAAGCCTTGCAAGCCCACCCACTTCCATGGCCATTTCCACGGCCATTGCCCTGGTCCCAGCCACGTCCTCCTCACCAGCTTCCCTGTTCTGTTCTAGAACCTTCCAGTCCATTCTCCATAAGGCAGTCAGAGGATCTTCTGAGATGTCGATCAATAGCATCCATCCCTCTCTTCAACCCTTTGCGTTTCCCATTTCTGCAGACGTCTTTGATCGTGTACCTCAAAGCCATTCCCAAGCTTTTCTCTCTGGCCAGTCGTCTTTTGATATGGAGGGCAGGACCAGGAGGGTGGAAGGAAAGGGGCCCAGAGCCGCAACTCCCTGAGTGGCTGGCAAGCCCTCTGCTGTAGGGCCCTCCTTGCATTGATCAGAGAACAGAACCAATGGGATGCACACGTGCAGAGAGGTTTTTGAAAATTGGCTTCCAGGATGAAGGAGGCTGGCAAGTCTAAAACCTGCAGGGCCAGCAGGCTGGAAACCCAGGAAGAGCTGACGTGCCGTTCGAGTCCAAGGACTCTGCCGCAGGGAGGCCAGTCTTTCATTCTATCCAGGCCTTCTGCCGAATGGATGAAGCCCGCCATGGCGGAAAGCAGCCTGCCTTCTCAAAGGTCCACTCATGTAATTTTTTTTTTTTTTTTTTTGTGAGATGGAGTCTCGCTCTGTCACCCAGGCTGGAGGGCAGTGGTGCAATCTCGGCTCACTGTAACCTCCACCTCCCGGGTTCAAGCAATTCTCCTGCCTCAGCCTCCTGAGTAGCTGGGATTACAGGTGCACATCACCATGCCTGCCTAATTTTTTTTTTTTTTTTTTTGAGACAGAGGCTGGAGTGCAGCGGCGCGATCTCCGCTCACTGCAAGCTCTGCCTCCCGGGTTCATGCCATTCTCCTACCTCAGCCTCCCAAGTAGCTGGGACTACAAGCGCCCACGACAATGCCCGGCTATTTTTTTTTGTATTTTTAGTAGAGACAGGGTTTCACTGTGTTAGCCAGGATGGTCTCGATATCCTGACCTCGTGATCCGCTCACCTTAGCCTCCCAAAGTGCTGGGATTACAGGCATGAGCCACCGTGCATGCCCCGCTAATTTTTGTATTTTTAGTAGAGATGGGGTTTTGCCATGTTGGCCAGGCTGGTCTCAAACTCCTGACCTCAAGTGATCTCCCCCGCCTTGGCGTCTCAAAGTGCTGGGATTACAGGTGTGAGCCACCGCGCCTGGCCAGGTACTTTTTTTTTGAGACAGGGTCTTGCTCTGTTTCTCAGGCTGGAGTGCAGTGGTGCGATCACAGCTCACTGCATCCTCAACCTCCTAGGCTCAAGCAGTCTTCCCACCTCAGCCTCCTGAGTAGCTGAGACTACAGGTGTGCACCACCACACCCAGCTAATTTTAAAATTTTTAGTAGAGATGGAGTCTCCCTATGTTTCCCAGGCTGGTCTCAAACTCCTGGTCTCAAGTGATCCTTTCACCTAGGCCTCCCAAAGTGCTGGGATTGCAGGTGTGAGCCACCATACCTGGCCCTAACCTTCTCTCTGTGACAAATTTTCTCCTTGAAGTGCAGTCTTTAGGGAAGGACTGTTAGTGGTAAGCTCTCTCAATGTCTCTGATTTTTATTCATCTGAAAAAAATTATCTAAAGTTAAAAAAAGTTTGACACATAATAATTATACATATTTATGGGGTACAACGTGATGTTTTGATATATGTATACATTATATAATGATTAAATTAAGCTAATTAACATATTCATCACCTCGCACACGTATCATTTTTTTTTGTGGCCAGTGTTTGTTTAGCTGCTAGAGAAAAAGAAAAATCCTTATGGTTAGAACATAGTTTATTCTTTAAGTTTAGGGGTGTGTGACTTAATCCTTGCCTGCCACAGCCTTAGGTCTTATTTATAATTTGGAATATCATTGCCACAAAGAGTGCATCCCATCAGTTTCATAATCTTTATTTTAACACTTTATAGATCTACATCTATCTAATATTTTTATTTTTAAATTATTTATTTATTTATTTATTTTTGAGACAGTCTCACTCTGTCGCCCAGGCTGAAGTGCAGTGGCGTGATCTTGGCTCACTGCAACCTCTGCCTCCCGGGTTCAAGTGATTCTTCTACCTTAGCCTCCCTAGTAGCTGGGATTACAGGTGCACGTGCCACCACACCTGGCTAATTTTTGTATTTTTTGTAGAGACAGGGTTTCGCCATGTTGGCCAGGCTGTTCTTGAACTCCTGACCTCAGGTGATCCCCCCGCCTCAGCCCCACAAAGTACTGGGATTACAGGTGTGAGCCACCGAGCCTGGCTTATATCTATCTAATCTATCTCTCTTTCTCTCTGTCACTTTTTCTTTTTTCCATTCATCTGCTGATGGACACAAGTGGATTCCATGTCTTGGCTGTTAGGAATAATGCTGCAATGGATATGGGCATGCAGGCCTCTCTTCAAGATACTGATTTCTATTTATCTGGCTATATACCCAGAACTGGAAGTGCTGGGTGGCAAGGTAGCTCCATGTTCAATTGTTTCAGGAACTTCCATACTGCTTTTCCTAATGGCTGCACTAATTTACATTCCCACCAACAGTGCACAACGGTTCTCTTCTCCACATCCTCACCAAAAATTGTTATCTCTGTCTTTTTGATGGCAGGCATTCTAATAGGCAGGAGGTGATCTCTCCTTGTGATTTTAATTTGCATTTCCCTGATGATTATAATGCTGAACATTTTTCCATACACCTGATGGCATTGTATGCCCTCTTTTGAGAAAGGTTTATTCTGCTTCTGGCTCATTTTTTAATTGGCCTATTTGTTTTCCTGCTATTGAGTTGTTTTCTAAACTTTTAATTTTCTGAAAATTCTATTTTACACTTATTTTTGGAAAATATATCAAGTTCTTAGTGACAGTTATTTCCCTCTGAGCCCTTTACAGATCCGATTTTCCTCTCCTTTGGCTGTCACTGGGGCTCCTGGAATTCTGCTGGCAATCTTATTGCTGTTTCCTGGGAGCTGATCTTCCTTTTCTTTTTGGCTGGCTTAAAGGTCTTCTGCAATTTCACTCTGTCATCTAAACTTTATTTTTCTTTATTCTATTTAGTCCATGTTGTGCCTCTCTGTGCATACTTATTTTTTATCAGTTCTGAAATATTCTCAGGCATAACTTCTTCAATGATTGACTCTCTTTCCTTTGAGATTTCAACCAGACTTCCATAAGCTCTCTGCACACCATCTTTTTGTTTTATTTTATTTTAGTTTTTTCTTTTCTTCTTTTCTTGCTCAGACTTAAGTGGGCATCAGGAAAACACCATCTTTTATGTTTCTTATTTTCCCTATTTTCTATTTCCTTATCCTTTGTGCTACATTCTTGGTAATTTTTTAAAGATTTATCTTCTAGTTTATGAATTCCCTCTTCAGTTGTGTTTAATTTGCTGCGTAATCTGTTTGCTGAGTATTTTTTTAAACACCTTTATTGAGATATCATTCACATACCATAGCATTTACCCTTTTAAATATACAAGCCAGGGGTCTGTAGTATATTCATAGAGTTGTGTGACCATAATCACTATTTTTAGAACATTTTCATCACTCCTAAATGAGTGCTTTTATCACTTTATTTATTAGTAGTGCCTATTACCAGTCCCTAAGGAGGACTGATTCCCCTATCCCACCCTTCTAGCACAAGGCAACCACTAAGCTACCTTCTGTCTCTCTTGGATTGTTTATTCCGGACATTTCATAAAAAGAAAACCACACAATGTGTTTTCTTGTGACTGGCTTCTTTCAGTTACCGTAATTCTTTCAAGGTTTCTGCTGACCTTTTCATTTCAATGAAAAGTTTTTCATTTCTAGAGGTTCTATTTTTTTCTGATAAGCATGGTGATTGGTTTCATAGTGCTTTGTTCCTTATTTTAATATATCTTAAGCATAACAAATAGGTTAATTTTATATCCTATATTTGATATTTTCCATTTAGAAAGTTTGTGGTGATTTAAATCTGTTGCTCGTCACTGTCAGCTGAGTCTCACTTGGAGGCTTGCTTTCTTTAGACATGTGCTGATTTTTCATTTTGAACTCATATTTGATTCAGTTAAATCTGTGGGAACCTCAGTCCCTAAGTTGGGGCTTGCTTTCTCCAGAGTATTCATCGTTGGTTTTGCTTTTGCAAGCAGGGATGCTACTGACCTGGGACCACCCTGGCTCCCCGGAGGGCTCTGTGTGGGTGCCAAGTGGAGGGTGCAGGAGAAAGCATCCCTCGGGGCAGCCCTCAATCAATGACTCTTGGGTGTCGCTGTGAAATACCTGTTCCCTCATCCCTTGGGTGAGTTCACCTGAGGCTCACAGTTTACACCACTTCCCAGAGTACCTCTCTGGGGTCAGGCTCCATTTCCCCACTGCGGGGGGTTGCTGAGTACCACATGCTTGCCAGCCTCCTTCCCCACCCTGGACCACTTCCCCACTCCCCAGGGCTGCTATCCCCACCTCCAACCAAAGGGCTTGCTCTGGAATCCCTGCCTCAGGCTCTGCTTCCGGGACCTCAGACCCCGTGGGGGTCCAGGTCTGCCCAGGACCACTGTGAGTTTCACATCTGCCTCCTGCTCAGTGGGCAGACTTTGGGAGTCCATTATTCTATTTACTTCTTTCTTTATGGACTCAGATTTCTTTTACTTTCTTGCGAGCTCTGTATGTTTTGAAAAGAATTGTGTTTGAACCTTGATCTAGCTCTTGCCCTCTGCACCTTATGAATCTCAACTCCTCATTCAGTTCTCGGCTAAAGTATCAGGTCCTGGGAGAAGCTCTCCCTGACCCTGAGGCAAAGCACGCTCCTGTGGTGGTCTCTTGTCCATCTCGTCCTTGCCTCCACCCCTCTGGAGCCACAATGGAGCGGAGGTGTGCAGTCCCTGTAGCCCAAGCTGCTTGGGTTCCCACTTCAGCTGGGTCACCTGTCACCTGCGTCACTGTGTGACCCCGAGCAGGGAGCGCCGCCTTTCCGTGTGAGTCTCCTCATCTGTGAGATGGAAATGATACTATCTGCACAGCAGGGCTGTGGTGAGACTATAAGGAGATAATAAATATGAAGTGTCTAGAACAGGTGGAATCCATAGTACATGCTCAATAAATGTTAGCTCTGTCACATCCTGCAAAGATATGCTGCAGTAGGCATCACCATTTGTCCAAGGGGAGAGTCAGGAGGGCAGAAACCAGGTCTCTCTCCTCATGCCCTTTCCCAGGGCTCAGGGCAGGGCTAGGGCAGCAGGGAGCATGCAGTAAACATTTTCAGGTCAAATGAAAGGGAGCAGGACCAAAGGCACGATGGCAGATCGGGGCTTCCCCAGTGCCCCGGGGAGGCGGATTTCAGGCACAGGGACACGTGCAAAGGCACAGCTTTTAGGGAGCTGGAGGGCAGGGCGGGAAGGCCAAGGAAGCCGAGAAACGGGTCCAAGGCTCGGATGCTCTGGCCAGGATTTGTACCTTTACCTCCGAGTGTGGGAGTATTTGGCGACAGAAGCCCCTGGGGCTGCGGCTTCTGGTGGGGGTCTTCATGGATGCTCAGGGGAGGAGAACGGCCTGGAGCCACTGGAAACGGGGAAACGGGGAAACGGGTATGAGGTTGGGGAGGGGCGGGGAGGAGGGGGAGGGCGGGGCCCCAGGGCGGGAGTCTGACCCCAGGGGTCTGCGAACCCGGACCTGCGCGTGGCGCCGCGCCGGGTACCTCCCCCTCTCTGCGTCTTTGTGCATTTTGCTTCCTTTCGCAGTAAACGTTCTTCCGAGAAATTCCAAGGGGATCTCAGCCAAGCAGAGGGGGAAGGGATCCTGCCCACGCCTGGGTAGGGGGCCGCGGAGGCTGGGGAGGAGCAGGGGGCGCCGCGAGGGAGGGAGCGGGAACCCGAGGGAGCGCGCGCGCCAGCAAGGGGGCGCGGAGGGCCCGGGCCAGCTACCTGCGTGGGGGCCGCGAGCCCCGGGCGCCCCCCGCCCCGCGCGTCTCCCAGCCGCCCCCGCCCCCCGCGCGGCCCCCGCCCCGGCTCCGCCCCGCCCCTCGCGCGGGGTCCGCGTCTGCGGCTGCGTTCCCCGAAAGACGAGGCTGCGCCCGGATTCCGGTCCGCAGGGAGACCGAAGGGCACAGCTCCCCGCGCCGCGCACGCCGCCCGAGCCCGGAGTGCGGACACCCCCGGGATGTGAGTGAGCCCCCCGACCCCGAGGCCCGCGCTCCACGCCCCATCCGCGGTGAGCGCCGAGGCGCGCGCGGAAGGCCAAGGGAGGGGACTCGGCCCGGGGTTCCCGGCCCCCCAGCCCAGGGGTGGGGGTGGGGACCTGGCACGCGCCCCTCCCCCCAGTGGCAGGTCCCACCCGCTCCCGCCCCTGCCGCTCATTCCTGTCCGGACGCACCTGCAGCTCCCCGGGGAGAAGAGGACGCCCCCCATCCGCTCCCCCACACAGGTGCCGGCGCGGGGCGGAGGCGTCTCGAGCTGTCACCTCGCCCCAGAGGCCAGACGTCTCCCGGCGGGGATGCTGTGACGGCGGACGCTCTGGAGAAGGGGCTGGGGGTGGGGCTCTGCGAGCTCCGGGCGGACCCCGGCCTTGGATTCCGGGGAGAAGGTTGCATCCTGAGGCTGGGAAAGGAGAGGGTCTTTGGGGTCTCCTGACCGATGCTTCTCCCCTCCAGGCTTGCGCCCCAGAGGACCCGCGCCCCAAGCCCCCGCGCCGCCCCCAGGCCCACCCGGAGCATGCTGCCTGCAGCCATGAAGGGCCTCGGCCTGGCGCTGCTGGCCGTCCTGCTGTGCTCGGCGCCCGGTGAGTAGGGGGCCCGCGGGCTGGGTCAGGTGCCTGGGAGAGCCCGAGGCGCCGCGGGAGAGCCGGGTGTGGGGCTGCCACCCTCTGACGGTTCCCACCGCACTTCGCATAGAGCCCACGCCCCCTCCGGGACCCCTGCGACCCCAGCCCGGCCCTCGGCCCCTCTGCCCCGGCACTGGGCTCTCTCCAGCGCTCTTCCTCCAGGGCCTGGAACTGGTGGGCGGCTGGCCCCGCACGGAAGCCCTTGGTCATCCGTCACCTCTGAGAGCCTCCCGGGCCTCCTTTCAAATCCAGTTTGGTCCTTCACAGCTTGGAACCCACGGACCTCTGGGGGGGATATGTGAGGCGGGGCGGGAGTGTGAGGGGGGCACTGTCGGTGTGGGGTCTGTATAGCCCGTGTGTGTGTTTGTGTGTGTGTGTGCACGCACGTGCATGGGGGCCAGGGAGGGGCCATAGGGGCTCCCCTCAAACTGCCAGGATGGGGCACAGTTGTCCCAGGGCCTCTGCTCCCCCTCCAGGGGTCATGGGGGCCTGCTCCCTCCCGTGGGGTCGGGCTCTCCCAGGAGTGCCTGCAGCAGGGGGATGGGTGGGGGGCGCAGGGGGCTGCCTGGTTTGGACCCCAGTGCCTCTGGTCACCCTCCTCCCCATGCCCTGCCCAGCTCATGGCCTGTGGTGCCAGGACTGCACCCTGACCACCAACTCCAGCCATTGCACCCCAAAGCAGTGCCAGCCGTCCGACACGGTGTGTGCCAGTGTCCGAATCACCGATCCCAGCAGCAGTAAGTTGGGACTTAGGGTGGTGGGGAATGTGCTAAAAGCCAGGCTCTTGAGAGAGGTCAGAGGTGTCCTCGGAGCCCCTCTGGCCTGGGACGAGAGTGAGAGCGTGGGGCGGCAGGCAGGATACTGTCCTGCTGTCCCCCCCTGGCTCCTTGGTGGCCCTTTTCATCTAGTTGAGGCCAGCGTGGGAGGGTGGAGGGACTCGGCCCTGCCTACTGGGGCCCCGAGCTGACCCGGAGGGGCCTGGGCTGGGTCCTCGGGATGAGGCAGAGAGGGCCCAGGAGGAGCCCCCGTCCCAGGCCACGCTTTCTCTTCCCAGGCAGGAAGGATCACTCGGTGAACAAGATGTGTGCCTCCTCCTGTGACTTCGTTAAGCGACACTTTTTCTCAGACTATCTGATGGGGTTTATTAACTCTGGGATCTTAAAGGTCGACGTGGACTGCTGCGAGAAGGATTTGTGCAATGGGGCGGCAGGGGCAGGGCACAGCCCCTGGGCCCTGGCCGGGGGGCTCCTGCTCAGCCTGGGGCCTGCCCTCCTCTGGGCTGGGCCCTGATGTCTCCTCCTTCCCACGGGGCTTCTGAGCTTGCTCCCCTGAGCCTGTGGCTGCCCTCTCCCCAGCCTGGCGTGGCTGGGGCTGGGGGCAGCCTTGGCCCAGCTCCGTGGCTGTGGCCTGTGGCTCTCACTCCTCCCCCGACGTGAAGCCTCCCTGTCTCTCCGCCAGCTCTGAGTCCCAGGCAGCTGGACATCTCCAGGAAACCAGGCCATCTGGGCAGGAGGCCTGGGGATGAGGGTGGGGGGGGACCCCCAGGTCCCGGAGGGGAAGTGAAGCAACAGCCCAGCTGGAAGGGCGTCTTCTGCGGAGAAATAAAGTCACTTTTGAGTCCTGAGACCCGGGTCTGAGCCTGGGTGTCGGGGGCGGGAAAGGGTTCCTGGCAGAGAGCTGGGAATGAGGTGCTGAGGGAGCGGAGGGGCTGGGGGCAGGGCGGGCGCTCAGCCAGGATCTTGGGCTCTTGGGCTCAGGGCACTGGGGTGCTGGGTGGTTGTGCTGGGGCTGCTTGGTCCTGGTGAGGTTTAGGAGCACTTGGGGTGATGGGGTGAGAGCTGAGATGAGCAAGATCACAGGGTGGGCTTGGGGGGAGGTACCGGAATCCTGTGAGCACACCACAGACACCAGACACGCCCACAAACAGTGGTGCCCACGCAGCCAGCATGTGCACACACACTCATGCCCAGACAAGCATACAAACGGTGCCCACGCAGCCAGCATGTGCACACACACCCGTGCCCGCCCTGCTCCTTCACACACACACACCCCAGGTGCCCCGCGCACACGTGCTGGGGCATGCACATAACTGGCACAAACTGGCGTGTCCCAGTGCACGTGCCCACACCCACACGTGCATGCCCATGTCTGTGCACACCCACCCTTGTACACTCAGCGTGCAGTGCACACGGTGCCCTCACAGACTCACAGATGAGACCACGCGTGCTGGCCTCCTCTCGCCCCCACCCCAGCTGTCTCTGCCCCTGGGGGCTGCTTCAGGCCGAGTGGAGTCCTCCTGTTCCCTCACCCTGCCTCTTCACTGGACATCCACTCCGGCCACTCCTGGCCCTGAGTTGGGCTCCTGAGGCCACTCCCTGTGGCCAGGGGTTGAGGAAGCCCACACCTCTCTGTGGGCTGGCCCGGAGGGACTGGGTGCCGTGGGGTGAGGGGGCAGGGAAGACTTGGCCTGGGGAATGTTGGAGTGATGTCTTGATCCTTCCTGCTCCAGTTTCAGCCCTGCACCCCCGCATCCAGCCCAGCCTCCCACACCCACCGGCCACCACGCTAGATGCTCCACCAGCGGCTCGTCTCACGGCCCAGGCTCACCACACCGCTTGGCAGGCACCCCAGGGTTTCTCCGAGGCCTGGTCTCTGGCCACTGCTGCATCATGCCACCTGTGGCTGACCCAATCTCATGGCCACTGCTGGGTCCTGGGCTCCTTAGGGAAAGCAGTGGTTCCTGTAAAGGCTGGCCTTGCATGAGGGATGGCGAGGAATTGGGTCCAGGGCTGGTGAGCCAGGAAGAGAGAGGAGGCCTGCGGTCCTGGGCATTGGTGCCCATTCCCTGCTGGACACAGCCAAGGGGCTTTTCCATTGAAGGCCACCTGCTCTGTGATGCAGCCCCCGCCCCCACCCCACCCTTCAGTAAAGTGTGCTGCTCTTGCTTGTGCCTCCTGTTTTGGGGGCTGGGGTACTGCAGAGAAGCTGAGAATTCCCAGGAGGCAGGAAGCCCTGGAGCGATGGAACCCCCGAGGGAAGCCTTGGCCAGCTAGGGAGGCCGTGGACAGGCCATCCCACCGGGGTGAGGCTTGAGCCAATTGTCATATAAATCTTTGTATGCTGAATTTATTATCTGAAAGAGGTATTTAAAGACACAAAAAGGAGTGAAATTCTCCCACCTTCTTGAAAAATCATATACAATCAGAAGGGCACGCCCTCACCTCTCCATCACCTCCCACCCTGAGGGGCTGCCAGGGCCAGACAGGCAGGAAGCCGGCCAGCTCCCAAGCTGCCGCTGGCACTGGCTGAGTGGGTTTCCCCATCTCTGAAGGAGTTTAAGTGTGGTCCCCACCTGACAGGTTGTCTTTGAAGGGCTGAACTTCACCGTCCGCGTGAAGCCCTTGGTCCAGCGGGGCACATGGACGGTGCTGAGAAATTGATCTGCTATGCAACCCTTTCTACTGAGCAGTTCACCGGTGATGTCATCCCAGGGCCCCGTGTCCAGGTGGACCGGCTTTAACGTCTGCTTAGGGTTCCCCTGGATGAGGGAGCCGTGCATTTGTAACTGTCCCTTATCAGTGGGTGTAGGGTTTGTTCTCAAATGTCTATTGTCAGCAACACTGAAGTGACCCTCCTTGTCCTCATACCTCCATGGGCTCAAGTGGTGATGGGTGTAGGATGGATGCCAATGAATGAGCAGAAATCTGATGAAGTTGCTGCTTCTGAAGATTCTGGACACACTTGCTAGCAATGAGTGTTGTTCACCTTCAGCAACGTTTTGCCCGCCTCGTGGACAAAGAGAATCTCCACGCCTTCTGTGTCAGCCACGTGTGCTTCTCCTCTCTCGCCTGGTCACACCCTTTGCCCATGCCCCTATCGTGCTGCTTGTCTTTGTCCTACTGACTTGCACTGCCCTTTTGTATATTTTGGGGACATGAATCTTCCCTGTGTCATACGTTGTGTGGATATTTCCTTGCCGTCTGTTGCCTGTGTCTTGTTTGCGTTGTTTTCAGCGTGCATTTATGGATGTTCTAACGTTGGATGCAGTCAAATCTGACTAGTTGTTCTTTTATGGTGTGGGGGCTTCATGTCTTAGGAGAATTTCCTCTACCTTTATCTTAGGAAAAGAGTTCCGTATTTTCTTCTAATATTTTTACAGATTTGGTTACTGTATTCAGATAGCCAGTCCATCTGGAGTTTATTTACAATGTGGCAGGAGGTAGGAGGTTCTTCCAAATGACCACTTTTCCTCAATGTCATTTATTAAACAACCCGCCTTTCGCCCGTTGATCTGAGATGCCGCCTTTATAGTACAATGCCTTCCCACGTGTGGCAGGCTGTTTCTGAGCCGCTGCTCACTGGGATTGCACTGGTCGGTTCGTCACGGGTCATCTACATGTGATGCTGTTTCAACGATGGCAGCCGGGCGGCGTGTTTTACACTCGTTAAGGCAAGGGCCCCACGTTATTCTTTTTAAACACATACTGCTACTTCTCACAAT
The DNA here is from genome assembly GCF_000001405.40 of Homo sapiens. NCBI lineage: Eukaryota > Metazoa > Chordata > Mammalia > Primates > Hominidae > Homo > Homo sapiens. The sequence continues at coordinate 143,155,038 of NC_000008.11, read as the reverse complement.
TTATTCTTACAGATGGGTTTTGGGATCCATTTTTCCGGTTGCAGAAAATGCTAACGCTGTTAGCATTTCGGCGGGACTGTCTCTCTCTTGCATGTGAGGTTGGGGGAGCTGCGGTCTTGGCTGCTTCAAGTCTCCCGCTCAGCAGCTTGGTGTCTGGCCTCTTCACTCGGCCTCCTGAGCGATGTCCCACTGAGTCGGACTGAGTGATGGGCTGTGCTCCTTCCTTGATGTACTTATTACTGGGTAATTTATGGTTTTTTGGTGTTGCAAATTGGATTTCCCTTCTTACCTTCACATTTTTCTGGCCATTGTTGGTGCGATGAGTGGATGCTTTTTATTTTTTTGTGATTTCTTTTTGTAAGTCTCCCACTCTGTTGAAGCAGGTGGACTAGGCCTGCTTGCTGCCTGAGAGGAGGGGCTGATAGGGCAGAACACCAAGGTCCCCTGGAACCCTGTCCTGGTGCTTCCAGAAGCCTGACCCACCTGGCTGTGGGCCCCTCAGAGGCAGACAGTGAGACAGAGGGAGGAGTCTGAGGAGGAACCTCTCAGAACATCTCAAGACACTGCCAGGTCAAGAAAACTCAGGCTTTAAAGGATGGAAGTTAGTTTTATTCAGAAGCCTTGCTAAATATGACAACCGAGGGGTCTTTCCAAGAGTTTCTAGTAGGCTGCTCCAGAGCTGTTCCAGCCTACAACCTGCGTGTGGGCAGCGGCTCCGCACGTACCCAGGTGTGACAGTGGGGCAGAGCCTCAGGGCTGGGTGTGTGGCTGCATCTGGCCACGGATCCTAGGGGCATAATTGCAAATCCTGTCAGCATCATCATCTTTCATGCAGGAAGAAGCAAGAGTCAGGATCATTGAACTCATCTTTCTAAAAACCCAGTGACTCAGGCAGGAGAACGGGGACCTGGTCTGTAGCCCACTCATGGCCTCCGGGGCATCCTTCCACAAGCTGCACCCAGTCCTGAGTCAGGAGCTCAGGAAATCCTGCCTGCAGGCAGGATGAGCACACACAGCTTCCTACGTGTGCTACTTTGTCTCACGATACAGAGCGGGAGGGAGGCACTGCCCTCTAACCAGGATGAGAGACTCCCTAGCCCGGGCAGGGAAAGGGGAGCTGCTGAGGGCTGAGGCTGGGATGAGTCCCAGAGAGAGGTTGCACCTGGCGTCCTGGGCAGCAATCCCAGAGCACCAAGACCTCAGAGTGGCCCCGGGTGAAGGTGGTCAGGGCAGGTGGGCCCCTGGCAGCCTCAGAACCAACAGAGGATGGGGTTAGGACGCAGATAAAGGAGAAGCCATTTGGTGGCAGCCAGTGTGCACCGGGCACTGGCCAAGGGCTGAGGGTCCAGGGCCCAGTGGTGTCTCCACAAACACCCTGAGTGGACAGATATGCCATCCTGCTGCCCACAGCCCCGCACAGACACAGCCCTGGGCAAGAAGGCATGGAGGACCTGCAGTCACTACGACTATGTTCCTGCCAGCCGGTAGAGTGGAGAGGTCTAGGAATAGAAATTGTAGGAACAGTAAAGTCGTGTTTCTCGTTCAGCTGTTTCTGGGCTGTGCTCCTCTACCCAAGTGTCCCCTGCCCGCTCAGGCCAGCATCCACCAGAGTGAGTTTAAGTAGAGGGCTTCACAGGGGCTTTGCAGGGAGGGCTGGGGCCTCAGGCTGCAGGCGTGGCCTCCGGGAAAGACCCAGGGCTGGCCTGGCTGGCACGGCCGCTGCCCCTGCCCCTGTCCAGGGAAGGAGGCCTGCACCTCACCTCCGTAGCTTTCCTTAGGAGTTCTGCCTGGATGTGCCTCCCCGGCAGAGATGAAGTCACATAGCTACACCCTAGGGCCTGGGAGGTTGCACGATATAGTTCCTGAATTCTGCAACAGGAAGATGGGATTCACGATGCAGAACTTTCAGAAATGTTCAGAGCGTGTTCAGGTGACTTGAGGCAGCCACAGATGACACCACAGGTGCGGTAAGTGAAGGCTGCTTATTTCTGAATGCATATCTTCCTGAATTCCACGATTAGCAGAATCTCTTAGATGTTCAAGGGATATAACCATATAATTGGCAAATAAAGATAATTTGGTTGCTTCTTTCCCGGTACTTATATTGCCTGTTCAGCTTTTGTTTCTATTGCCTTAGCTGAGCCCTCCAAAGCATGGCTGAATAATAACAGTGACCAGGGTGTCTGTGCTAATGGGAGGTCTTTCATGTTACGCCACAAATTAGTGTTTGCTGTTGGATTTCAAAATCAGTCTTTACTGAGTCTAGACTCTTTACTTATTCATATTTCATTTAGCTTTTTATTAGGAATGAACTTAAAAGAAATGCCCTTTCATGATCTATGGCTCTAAGTCCATATTTTCCTATTTAATGAATAGTTAGTGCGGCGAGCTCCATTGCTAGATTTCCTTGTGGTGAGCTGCCCTGGCATTTGTGATGTATTACTCGTTTAAATCACTGCCAAATTCAGATAGCCAATATTTGGTTAGGATGTTTGCGTCGCAGACACCTGCATCACAGTCAGGCTGAGATGTGTCTGTAGCTTTTCTTTTGATATCTTTATCAGAGCTCAGACAGCCATTTCCCACCTCCCATGCTCTGGGGCAGTCTGGCTGCCTGGGGGTCCGTGGGGTTCACCTTCCCCAGTGGGGCCTCCAAAGCCCTCCTGCTTCCCCTCTCCGGGGGCTGGGGAGGTAGCTGGGCCAGGGAAGCTGCAAGATCAGTGGGTGCTGGGCCCCCTCGTGTGGGGCCGGGGCCTGTCTAGGCCGTCTCCTCCTTCCTTTGTGTTGGACCTCCAGCTGGATTGAGGCCTAACTGTGCCCACTTTATCTTGGGAAACAGCTAAGAAGTCAGACACTGACATACCAAAACCTTCAGTGGATTCGCAGAGGACATCAGGCTACCTGGATTCCAATTTCTCTTCTAGCACCTCCTGGCCGTGTGACCCTGGCCAAGTTCTGCAGCCTCTCGGGGCCTGGTCCTGTGTCTGTGAGGCAGGACACACCCAGCTCACGGGGGTGCTGTGGGTGTGGGGGCGGGGCTGATCCTGGAGCCCGCCTTTGGCCCTCTGCTCCAGGTTGGCAGAACGCTGGTCCAGGCAGGGTGGACGGAAGGTGGCGGGAAGTGGGAGAATGAACACTCCTCCCTCCTCAACTTTATTCCTGGGGCCTGTAGCTTTCTCCAAACTCCCCCAGGTTCTTCGTGCTCTACAAGACAGATGTTTACTTTTGTGGTTTTCAGATATCCCCAGGCCTCCCCGCGACATCCGCACACTGGAGACTGGAAGTTCCCTGAGTTTCGCGAAGTTGGGGAGGAAAGCGGCCCTTCCCCTTGAGGGAGACAGGGAGGCTGGGTGGGTGCAGGAAAGCCTCCTCCTCCCTGCATGCTCCCCTCGGGCCCTCCACTCCCAAACTCCAGGGACATCAGGATCTCCTCCCTGCACGCTCCCCTAGGGCCATCCACTCCCAAACTCCAGGGGCATCAGAATCTCCTCGGAGGCAGGTTCAAAGGCAGATGCACAGGGCCCGCGCCTAGAAGCCCTGATGTAAAGGGCCCAGCACTGGCTCCAGGAGTTGGTACCAGCCTTACTGGTAAGAAGCAGGGGGTGCAGCGTCGGAAGGGGAGGAGCACGCCCACAGTTTTATATGCGTACGGGCTCAGTTTTCTGCTTTCTGCGAGCTGAGTGCTGGGCTCTAGGTCCTGGGGACAGAGCAGTGGATGAGACAGAGGAGGTGGCTGTCCTCTAGTGAGCACGCGTGTGTGTGCGCAGGCCTGTGCTTGGAGGGGTGGTGCAGATGGTAAACAGGCACACAACCGCTTTGATGGGATAGTTTGGGAAAGCGATGGCTGCTGAGAAGAGCCCCGTCCAGGGAAGGGGAGAAGGCGAAAGGCAGAGCACACGAGCTCTGCAGGCAGCCTGAGCTGCTGTCCATGGCTCATGGGGAATTGAGCCCGTGGGCCTCATGGGGCTAAAGCAGTGGGTCTTTCAGGTCAGGCTGGGGCCCACTGCAGGGCCAGCTCCAGCACTTGCTGCCAAGGCCACCTGGAAGGGAGGCTAGTGCCTTCCTCACCCTACTTGGAGGGAGGCTGCTGGGGACAGGGGCGTGGAGCAGGAAGGGGCAAGGAGGTTCAAGGGCTCCTCTGTTTGGATTCTTTTAAAAAAACAGGTAAGAACGCTTGCATCAATTAAAAAAGAAGTCTACCTTGAGAAGTGTGTCTCCTGCCCTGTCATTATCTGACCGGTTTCCTGTGTACCCGTTCAGGATGTCTTTATACAAGGACAAGAAAGTCCTTTACAGCTGAGGTCGTTTACTCTTTCTGCCTCTCAGTGCAGCCTGGAGATCTTTCTGTGATGGCGCAGAGCCAGCTCCCCACTCCGTTCTTAACAGCAGCATCGCACAGCACACATACTCCTGTGTCTGCTTATTTATTTATTTAGAGACAGAGTCTTACTCTGTCGCCCAGGCTGGAGTGCAGTGGTGTCATCTTGGCTCATTGCAACCTCTGCCTCCTGGGTTCAAGAGATTCTTGTACCTCAGCCTCCCAAGTAGCTGGGATTACAGGTGTGTGCCACCATGCCTGGCTAATTTTTGTATCTTTAGTAGAGATGGGGTTTCACCATGTTGGTCAGGCTGATCTCCAACTCCCGACCTCAAGTGATCTGCTGGCCTTGGCCTCCCAAAGTGCTGGGATTACATGCGTGAACCACCGCGCCTGGCCTGTTTCTGCATATTTAGATGGTCTCACTCATGCTCCAGTTACAAGGCTGTAATGCATAGCCTCAGACATGTCAGCTAGCTGCTGCGTGTGGGGACACATCTCCAGAGTCAGTCTTGCTGGGCCTGTAACTGATGAGTGAGCATGGTTGTCCTGGGGCTGCACACTTTCACACTTCCAGTAGCGATGCCTGAGACCACAGCTTCTCTGTTGCCGTTGGACTTCCGTGAGTCTGGTCAGCAATGAAAGACGGCATTGCAGCTGTGTTCTGAATTTTGGAAGTTGGACCACAGGTATGGGGACCTGGAGGCGCCGTCACCCTTGGCTCCTGGCACGTGCCCCTTATTGGTTCGTGCATGCCCGTCTTCTCGTTCTGGGCATTTTGATTTCTTTGTCTTTTGTTGGGGGGTGTGTGGGGATGGTTTCCATTTCTCTGGCCTCTCTGCTCATAACCTCGGTCCCTTTGCTGTGGGATGGTTGGTCTCCTTACTCTTTTCTGGGAACTTTCTGCATAGCTGGGAAATAAGCCCTTCATTTATAATAAGAGTGACACACATTTCCCCCTTTATTTTGCTTATGGTGTTTTGTGAGTTTTTTTTTCTTTTTTCTTTTTTTTTGCCACATGGAAGCTTCTTTTCCTTGAATTTTTATGGAGACACTATTACCATTATTTCTTACAGCTTCAGGATTTGAGTCATAGAAAAATCTTCCCTCCTCCGATGCTTAAAGGGAACCTCTCCTGCTTTCTTCTCAGGCGGAGCAGGGCTGGCGATTACCCAGCGCCCGATGGAGGAACCCAGTTGGAAGCTGCGTGGTGCCCAGGCCTGGGGCTCACCCCTGCACTTCGAGGCCCCGTGTGTGCTGGGGCTGTGCTGGCACTGTGGGCTGGGGGATTCAGGGCCGGGCAGCATAGGGGTGCTGTTTTCCCACACCCAGCCTCCAGTGAGTCCTCCCTCCACTGAGGGCAGGAACCTGTGGCCCCTGCAGCCTAGGGGCCTGTGGACCACGCCTCACCCCCAGGGGGTCCCAGGCCCACCACCCCTGCTCCCTGTGTTTCCTGCAGGGATGCAGAACATGCTGACTCAGACCTAAGCTCACAGGTGCAGGGGACGTCTCCCATCCCCAGAAGGGCACACGAGGGTGGTTCCTGGAATCGCCTCTCCCTGGCGTCTGTCCCTCTGCCCTGGAGCATTTCTGAGGCCCTCCCTGTGCTGTCCCATCCTGGGTGCCCGGGAGTCCCAGGCCTGGTCTTCTGTCCCCTCACTGGGCAGGGAAGGCCTGCACACGTGGGTGGCCGGTGGCCCCTGCTCCTCCTGGGCTCTGCGGTCCCCCCTTATGCTCCGGCCCCCGTGAGCCCCTTCCCACTGTAAGGCTCTAGCCCCACCTGGTGGGTGTGGGTGAACTGGAGGGGAGGGGGCTAAATGTGTTCATTGATTGACTCCACCCGGTGGCTCATTCTCTCTTGTGTTGGTTTCTGCACCTGTCCATGCTTGCTGACGTGAGTTTGAAATGCATCTGTCCGTGCCCCCTCGGCACAGCTAAGACACGCAGAGAGGAGCAGATCAGAACCAAGAGGCCCAGAGCGGGAGACAGGGGCTGCAGAGCTGGGATGGGGGCACCTGCTGCTCCCTGCAGTCTTGATGCCTGAGCTGCGGGGCTCACTCCCCTCCCATGTGGGCTTTTACCAGCGAGGCCTGTGCCCCAGGTCCTGAGCGTGGGAGGGTGTGTCAGGTGGTCATTTCTAGCAGTGAACGTTATTAGGGGACAGAGAGGACAGTGACGAACAAAACCTGGTGGCCCAAGAAGCTTGAATCCAGGAGGACCAGGCCGGCCTTAATGCCTTTGAGCCCCAGCTATGGGCTCAGGTCTGGGATCCTAGAAAGGCTGGCCAGCTGTAGTCTGCAGCCCATGATGGGGGTGGGTGCCCATCTGGGAGGTCCTGGTGGGATGCAGGAGGTGAGGCCTGACGGGCATGGGGTGGATGGAGGCGCCCAGGAGGCCCAGGACCTGGCCTGGGGAGGGCGGGCCTGGGCCACCCAGCGAGGGCATAGGTGAGTTATGGGTGGGGCAGGGCCCCCCGATGCTGACTGGGCTGAGGTGGGCACCGCAGGATACTGGGGTGGGGGCGTCCTGGAGAACTGGAAGGTGGGAGTGGCTGAGAGTCAGGCCCTCAAGGAACAGGAGAGTCTGGGGCTGGGGGCCTCCCCCGGCCCCTCGCCTGACAGTGGCCCTCCTGGCTGAAGCTCCAGAATCCCCCGGCTAGAGCAGAGCCTCTCTGCCCTCCCCACCACTGTCCTCAAGTTCCCCTAATGTCACGGGGGCTCCTTCTCTCGGCACTGGGGGCTGGCTGGAAGCAGCCATGCATCACTGGCTCAGCAATGGAGAACCAGAGGCTCTGGGAAAACCGCTGAGTGTCCAGCTGGGAAATCTCTGGGTGGGTGAGAGAGGGTTTTGAGGCAGCGGTGAGGCCAGGTCCCAGACTTCCCTGGCCCATGGCGGTGCTCGGAGCAGCGTGGCTTGGCTGTGGGTGCTGGGGCTGGGTTCGCACTCTTCCTCCCCAGGCCACTGACCCTGGCCTTCCCTCCCCTGTCCCCACACTCCCAGGTGAGATGGGTGTGGCTCTTTGGAGCAGGGATCCCGGAATTCAGGTCTGTCCAGCCAGCCCCTCAGCAGATGATCGGTAATTTTGTTAAATGAATGAATAAAGTAAAAAGAAATGGTGAGGGATAAAGAATGATCATTGAATCTGCCATAAATCATGAATTCATGTGTTTGATGAGCGGGACTGGATAGCAGGGGGCACGTGCCCGGTGGGTGGTCCGTGAGCGGTGGATGGTGATGGCGGAAGAACCCCTCTCCCTGGCTGGACCCCCCTCCCTGTGTCAGCAGCTCCTATCCATCCCCCTTCTCTCCAAACACATCCATCCCCCTTCTCTCCAAACTCATCCATCCCCCTTCTCTCCAAACACATCCATCCTCCTTCTCTCCAAACTCATCCATCCCCCTTCTCTCCAAACTCATGCATCCCCCTTCTCTCCAAACACATTCATCCCCCTTCTCTCCAAACACCCATCTCCCCCAAGTCTACCTGGGGTCCCTGCTCCAATCCCTCCTGGGTGCTGGGCCTTGTCTGCTACCTGAGGGGTTGAGCACATGTGGCCACTGGGGGCATTGGAACCTCTGCACTGGGCCCCCCAGGACCACAGGACAAGTGACCTTGATCTGGGGGAGGTCTCAGAAGGGGTGGGCTGTGCATCGGAGGGTACGGCTGGGAAGCAGAGCTAAAATCAGAAAACCAAGTCGTCCTTTGTTAAATGTCCCTGATGTTCCCACAGTAGTCGCCATGGTTACCACGGCTTCAAGTCCCCTGTGTCTTCCAGAGCCCTCTGGAGGGGCCGCTCGCTGCTCTAGCTGGGCCTCCATCTCGGCTTGCTGGAGGTGGGGGGTCGTGCAGGTTTCACGGGGCCGGGGTGCATCCTCAGCCCCTCAACCCCCACCATGTCTCCAGAACTGTGGTCCAGGGCTCAGGCTAGAGGGGCCGCCATTGCCTGCCTCTCCTGGGCAGGCACCTTTCTCTGGGTGGCCCTCCGAGCTGTGTGTGTGGGGGCCAGGCTTACACCCTGTCCCAGCTGCTGGCCCGGCTCTGCCTGTGGGTTCCTTCCCTCACTCCTGGGGGGAGGGGCCTCCTTGTGAGGCATCCCAGAGTTCGAGGATGTTGGGGACAGCTTCCCTGCAGGCTGTCAGCTGCCAGCCTCTGTGCCTCAGTGTGTTTCTGGCAACGGAGACCTGGTGCCTTCAGACACTGGGCCTTCAGGGAGCTTGGTGTTTAACCCAGATGGCCAAACACTCTTGTGAGAGAAGGAATATTTAGGGACTGAACACACCAGAGGCATTTGCGGGGCCATCACCAAGCATGCGTTTCCTCTCCAGCTGCAGCTCAGCCCTGGGTGGAGGCCACCACGTGGTCCCCGTTTCAAAGTGGGGAGAGGGCTGAGTTGCTCCAGGTTCCGCAGTTGGAAAGGGGAGGGGGCTGAGAATCACAGCCAGGCAAAAGCTCATGGAGGAGGCAGACCTGGGCCAGCAGACACCACATGTCCTGCTGAAGCTGTGGCAGTTAAGAGAGTGCAGCGTCCTTACCGGGATCCACAGTTGCCCAGCGAGGCAGAACAACGCACCCAGAAATAGGCCTGCTCACCAGTGCGGGAGGGGCGGGCCAGATCAGGGTCGCGAGGCCCTCTTCAATACACAGAGCAGAGATGGGAGCTGTCTGCATGGGAAGTCCCATTGGGTACTCATCGCACACCACCCACACCCACAGAATAAATCCAGGCTCAATCAAGGGAGTGAATGTCAAGAGCAAAACTTGAAAACCTCTTTTTTTTTTTGAGATGGAGTCTCGCTCTGTCTCCCAGGCTGGAGTGCAGTGGCGCAACCATGACTCACTGCAGCCTTGACCTCCCAGGTTCAAGCAATCTTCCTGCCTCAGCTTCCTAAGTAGCTGGGACCATAGGTGCACACCACAGTGTCCAGCTAATTTAAAATTTTTTTTTTTTTTTTTTTTTTTTTTTTTTTTTTTGTAGATAGAGAGTCCCTATGTTGCCCAGGCTGGTCTTGAACTCCTGGGCTCAAGTGATCCTCCTGCCTCTCAGCCTTCCAAAGTGCTGAGATTACAAATGTGAGCCACCTTGTCCAGCTAATTGAAAAAAAAAAATCTTTCTGTAGAGATGGGGTCTGAACAGTTAGTTGCCCAGGCTGGTCTTGAACTCTTGACCTCAAGGGATCCTCCCACCTTGGCCTCCCAAAGTGCTGGGATTACAGGCGTGAGCCACCTCACCAGGTCCCTGAAAAACTTTTACAAGAAAATAAAAATGAATTTCTGTGTGATTTGGAGAATTTCTTAAGTAAGACACAAATAGAAAATCTCATAACAAAAAATCGATAAATTTGACAAGAAAATTAAAAACTTTCATTTGTTAAAACGTATCTTAAAACAAAAGGTTAAATCACAAACTGGAAAAAGAGACATGCAACAAACGTACCCGACAAAGGGTTGGTACAAGAATAGATTAATGACACCCAGAGTCACAAAGAAGACAGGCAATGTCGGGGCCGAGAGCACAGACCTGCATACAGGAGAAATGCTCTGTTTCAGAAGCTCCCAGGGAGCGACAGCCACAGATGCAGATGAGCAAACATTTAGAGTCTGGTGATGCCACGTGCGGCAGAGACTGTTCTCTGCTGGGATCTCGTGGACTCTGCAGTTTGGAGATAAATTGGCACAGCCATGTGGGGAGACAGTGGGGTGGATTCTGTGGAGGTGAATGTTTGTGTCCCTCATACCCGAGCAATCTCTTTCTGGCATATCACCCAGAAAAACGTCTTGCATGTGAATATCAGGAGACGTGGGTGTGAATGTTACTGTGAACAGTTGTACTGTTCACAAGACCAAAAGTCTTGAAACAGCCAAAATGGCCTTCAGCAGAGAATGGGTTAAGGAAGCGCTGTGACACGCAAAGGAACATTGCACACGGCGGTGAGCAAGCCACAGTACGGAGCAGCGTGGGCATGTGCGGGCAGCGCTGAGCCAAGTACACAAGGGGGTCCCAGAAGACCACATCGAGCCAATGCTCTGACATAAGTCACTTTACAATGCTTTATAGAAATGCGACAGGAAAAATACAGCTTTACGGACTTCATGAAACTCTTTAGTCATCTACTTATCTACCTCTCCATCATCTGTCACATCTCCATCTTTCTGTCTCTTTATCCCTCTTATTTATCTCTTCTATCTCTCTGTCATCTATTTATGTGTGTCTCTATCTATCTATTATCTATCATCTATCCATCTATTATCTATCTTTCTATCATCTTGTGGGAAACAAACTTACCCATCCCAACCCAAAGAATGGACTTAGAAACTTGGAGAACAGTGAAAGTGAGACTTGTAATGATGATCTTGCGAGGTTGGGTGTCTGATGGACAGGCACACCTAGCACGACTTCAACAAGCAATTTATCCCCTAGTGCGCAGGTCTCTCCCCCGGTTCCTCATAGGCTGAGTATGATGGGGGTCACAGTCTTCCTGGACGTCACCTATTGGTTGTTGGGCAGGGGCTGTAGGTGTTTTCTTTAGGGTTGTCTTGCTGCATTTTGTTGTGGCCCACAATGCATTGCAATCCTAGTCAGCTTGGGGGCCTTTCAAGTATTTGACCTATGACCTAAGTAGCTGGGCAGGCTGATAAGAACAGAAAAAACGAGCTATTTTGCAGGCTAGTAAACTTTCATCTTAGACTAAACTTCTTTGGTTTGGGTGAGGGCAACTAAGGGGGGTTGGGGGCAACAAGTAAGTGCTGGCTGTCCAAGCAGGGGCCTAGTATATCCTGTTTCTTCTGTAGTTTGCTGGCCTAAGGCGATTTAAGGCACATTGTCTTGGAAATGGACCACTGTATGCATTATTTCCTTCAATCTCTATCCAGCTCTATCTATCTATCTATCTATCTATCTATCTATCTATCTATCTATCTATCCATCCATCCATCCATCCATCCATCCATCTGCCCGCCTGCCCGCCCACCCACCTGCCTACCTACCTACCCATCAGAGGAGACCAAGAACGATCAACTCAAGATTCTGGAGTCTGGTGTTTGGACCCTAGGAGGGGAGGCTAGAGGCTTGGGGTCTGACACCCCACAGAGGGCAGCACATTCTAGTGAAAGCCTAGGGTTTATGTTGGTGAGAGTTCATGGATGGTTTTTACATGTTCTTCTAAGAAGGAAGAAACCCAGTGATGAGGGTGTCACAGACCAAAGATCATGACCTGAGCTGTGAGAAATACTCTCACATGAAGACAAAACAAAGCCAAGCCCTCAGTGTTGTGTTTGTGTCAGGCCCCTCAGCATTGTGGAAAACTGGGGCCTGGGAACAGAAGCTGACAGTCCCCTTCTCTGGCTCTGGGCACCGCTGCAGGACGGTCCTCAGGAGACCCCTTCGTCGAGAGCCCCTTCCGTGAGGCCTGTCCTCCCCACACACACGAGTCATCGTCCTGGGGGACCAGTGCTGTGTTCAGTGCTGAAAATGCCGTCTCCGGGGAGACATGCCCCCGCTTCCTAAGTGGCGTGGCTGACCTCCCACTCTAGGGCCTGTCAGTGTTAGCAGGATGAATGTATTTCTGCAAGGGGGAGATTTGGAATGTGAGAAGAAAGGACATTTCCCCAGGGAGGAGAGGAGCAGGGTTTTGAGGGCCCCTGGACCTGCAGAGCTGGAGATGGGAGAAGGGGCCCTTGGCAGCAGGGTCCCCGGTGTGAGGGCCTTCCAGGGAGGACGGACAGGGTCTCAGGTTCCCTCATGTGAGGACCTCTGGGGAGGGAGGGACAGGGTCTCAGGTGTCCCATGTGAGAACCTCCTGGGGAGGGAGGAGGGACAGGGTCTCAGGTCCCCCATGCAAGGGTGAGCTGGCCTCCTGCGGAGGGAGGGACAGGGTCTGAGGTCCCCCTGTGTGAGGGCGAGCTGGCCTCCTGCAGGCGGAAGGACAGGGTCTGAGATCCCTCTGTGTGAGGGTGAGCTGGCCTCCTGGGGAGGGAGGGACAGGGTCTGAGGTCCCCCTGTGCGAGGGCGAGCTGGCCTCCTGCGGAGGGAAGGACAGGGTTTGAGATCCCTCTGTGTGAGGGTGAGCTGGCCTCCTGGGGAGGGAGGGACAGGGTCTGAGGTCCCCCTGTGCGAGGGTGAGCTGGCCTCCTGGGGAGGGAGGGACAGGGTCTGAGGTCCCCCCTGTGCAAAGGTGAGCTGGCCTCCTGGGGAGGGAGGGACAGGGTCTGAGGTCCCCCTGTGTGAGGGCGAGCTGGCCTCCTGGGGAGGGAGGGACAGGGTCTCAGGTGTCCTGTGTGAGAACCTCCTGGGGAAGGAGGAGGGACAGGGTCTGAGGTCCCCCATGCGAGGGTGAGCTGGCCTCCTGGGGAGGGAAGGACAGGGTCTGAGGTCCAGCGGCAGGAGCTGCCCATTGTGTGGGTCCCCCGTGTCTGCCGTGGCACGTTGCCATCTGCCAGTGGCATTAAACAACAGAAACGTATTCTCCCACAGCCCTGGAGGCCAGCAGTGTGAAATCAAAGTGTCGGGGGTGGGAGGGTCATGCTTCCTGTGAAGGCTCCGGGGAGGCTCTTGCCGCCTCTTCCAGCCTCAGGGGTCCGGGCGTTCCTGTGGCCGTGTCTCTGCAGTCTCTGCCTCTGCCTCCACATGCCTTCCTCTTCTCCTCTTCTCCTCTACTGTCTCTCATAATGACACATGTCATCACATTTAGGGGCCCCTGGACCATCTGGCATGGTCTTATGTCCATTCTTACCTTAGTGGTGTCCTTCTGAGGCTCTGGGTGGACGTGAGCTTTGGGCACCCTGCTCACCCCAATGCTGTGTCCCCTCACGCCTGCCTTCCCTTCACCCTGGCCTCTCCCTGCTCAGTCTCCTGCAGAGCTTTACTCACCTTTGCACTGAGAATCAGGCAGCCCTAAGCCTATCCCTGACCCTGACCCTGACCCTGACCCTGAGAATTGGCCACACCAAGTGCTCTGCCCAGTGGGCCCAGGGAGGGCTGCGCGCTGTGTGGGGACCAGAGGGCGGGGCAGCAGGCAGAGGGCGGTGAGGACTGGGGCAGGCATTTGGAACCCAAGTGGACAGGCGGCCACTGGGAGAAGCGAAGTGTCCGTGGGAAGCTCCGCAGCATTCGAGGTCCCTGTGGCTGCAGAAGGTGGGGCTCGAGTTCATTTCTTTGGTCGCGTGAACGTTGTCGGATGCAAAATGGAGGCGGGGCGCAGTGCCTCACGCCTGTACTCCCAGCACTTTGGGAAGCTGAGGTGGGTGGATCGCCTGGAGTCAGGAGTTCCAGACCAGCCTGGCCAACATGGCAAAATCCCCGTCTCTACTAAAAACACAAAAATTAGCTGAGCGTGGCGGCGGGCACCTGTAGTCCCAGCTACTCAGGAGGCTGAGGCAGGAGAATTGCTTGAGCTTGGGACGCGGCGGTTGCAGTGAGCCGAGGTCGCACCACCCTACTCCAGCCTGGGTGACAGAGCAAGACTCCGTCTCAAAAAAAAAAAAAAAAAAATGGAGCTGCTCGTGTCAAACCCTGGCAAAGCTGGGAAGGCCATGAACGGGGGAGTCTCACCCACGATTTGGCTGATAACAGGAACTCTCTCCAGAAAAGTTCCCTCACCGCAGCTCACTCCAGGAGTCACACAGGACAGCCAGTGGCAGAGCAGCTAGCCGCTTCCACCCGGTCTCACGGCCCAGCGTGCGCCCGTCGGGGCAACGCACTCCAGGGTCACAAGTGGCACTCAGCAACCCCTGACGCTCGCCAGTCCGCTCCTGTAAGTTGCTGCTGGTGCCAATGAGCTTCCTTTTAAAACAACTTGCATCGCCTCCTCTTTCCTTCATAAAACCGGAAACCTCTCCTTTGTTCTCCGTCCACACCGGAGGGCACCCCCTGACCTGAATGTATGTCCCGATTGGCAACCCTACTTGTATATTACTCTCAAATAAAGCCGTTTTTCACTTCGATGTTTTGCTCTATGTTTTTATGTCGACAGTCACTAAAGGGGAAGGTGTTGCGGAGGCTGGAGAATGTGGACCCGCTGTGTTAGAACTGGCAGGCGGCGTTGCTGACTGTTGCTACGCTTCTGCTGGGCAGACAATGCAGTTTCCCGACAGTGCTGTGGAGCGGGGAACGGGGCACCTTCCCCGCTGAGTTGGGGAAAGTGTTACTTGAATGACGTGTTCGTTTTAGAGCTGGCCAGGAACCCTTGCCCCATCCTGGCCTCTCTGCCTCCCCGTGAGGTCCCGTGTGAGCGAGCTCACCAACGTTACTTATTGGTGAGAGTGAAGCAATAAACAGTCAGTTAAAAAAAATCTAGTTAATTGAATAGTTGAATTTTCATGGCCTGCAGAGGAAGTCCATGATGTGAATTACAGGCTTTCAAATCAAAGGATGCTGACAGGCACAGGCTGGCATCACATAAATAAAACCAAATCACTTACAATTGTGTTGTGTATGCTTTCCACTGTTTTAACCCTATTAGCCAAATCAAAGCTGCAGCTCCAAGTAAAAAGTGTGCTGTGAAATCACAAATTTATCCCATAAGGGAGCTGAACAACACTCAGTGCCCACCTGGAACCTGGCTTGCGGTCACCATGGGAGAGGCTCTGCTCTTCTCTCTCAACGCTACAACAACAGAGAGAAGAAATGGGCAATCAGAGGCTCAGGAGATATCAGGAAAATTCAGGAAAGTCGCCCTTGGGACCCACGGGCTCTGCCGTGCCAGCTGCACCTCCCCTGGCC
The DNA here is from genome assembly GCF_000001405.40 of Homo sapiens. Classification (NCBI taxonomy): domain Eukaryota; kingdom Metazoa; phylum Chordata; class Mammalia; order Primates; family Hominidae; genus Homo; species Homo sapiens. The sequence continues at coordinate 143,140,002 of NC_000008.11, read as the reverse complement.
TGTGGGGAGTGATGGTGATGGTGTTGTGTCTCTGTTTGCTGTGAACTTGTCCCATCCCAGGGATGGGGAAGGCCCTCCCCTCACTCCAAGGCCAGTGTCTCGAGATACCACCTTCCCATAAGAAGCTTTTGAAATACTCAGAGGCCATTGATGATCAACCTTGGTTTTTGTGGCTCGAGAAAGAAGTGACCAGAACCAGGTTTAGTTTTAGGGGTTTGGCAATGTTTTTGGCTTGGGTAAAACACTGATATGGATCAAGATTTTAGGGCCGGGTGCGGTGGCTCATGCCGGTAATCCCAGCACTCTAGGAGGATGAGGCAGGAGGATCCCTTGAGCCCCAGAGTTTGAGACCAGCCTGGGCAACATAGTGAGATCCCTGTCTCTACAAAAAAAATAAGTAAATTATCTGGGCGTGATGATGGGCTCCTGTGGTCCCAGCTACTTGGGAGGCCAAGGCAGGAGGATCCCTTAAGCCCAGAATTTCGAGACTAGCTTGGACAACATGGTGAGACCTGTTTCTGTGATAAATAAATAAATACATAAATAAGCCGGGCATGGTGGTGTGCACCTGTGGTCACAGCATATGGGAGGCTGAGGGAGGAGGATCGCTTGAGCCCTGGAGGTTGGGGCTGCAATGAGCTATGATTGTACCACTGCACCCCAGCCTGGGCAATACAGCGAGACTCTGTCTCAAAGAAGAAACAATTAAAAAATGTTTTTGTGAACCTGACTTCCCCGAGGCTGTGGGCGAGGCTTCCACTTGGCCGTAAGGGCTTCAGTTCAGTGGAACCAAAGAATGGTTCTGAATTAGCGACTGCAGGAGGGTTACGTTTACTCAACAGATATTTATTGATTGCCGTTTCAGATATGTATTTCTTGGTAACAAACCACTCTAAAGCTTGGTGACTTTAAAATGACTGTCTTATCATTTCTCACAATTCTGCAGGTTGATTGAGCTGGGCTCAGCCAGGGTGGCTCATTTCTGCTGCAGGTGGTACCAGCCAGGGTCACTCATGCAGGTGCAGTTTGGACTGGGGGCACCCTGGCTGGAGGGCTGGGCCTCTGTCTCCTCCGTGGCCCTTTATCTCAGGGCCTCTCTGTCCACTCAGTCTTTAGCGTGGGGCTTCTTAACTACGAGCTGTTGGTGCTGGGCCGGATTGTTCTCTGCTGTGGGCTGCCCTGTGCACTGAAGGGGGTTTAGTAGCACCCCTGGCCTCCACCTGCTGGACAGCAGTAGCATCCCCCCACCCAGTGTGACAACTAAATATGCCTCCAGATGTCCTCTGGGGACAAAATCTCTCCCTGTGGAGAACTGCAGGGCAGCCTGGACTTCTTTTGACCGAGCACTCCCAAGAGAGCAAGAGCAAAGCCTGCCAGGCCACTTAGAATTGGCCTGGAATCGGCATTGCATCCTTTCCTATTCAGTGGTCAAAGCCCACGGGGCTGGTTAATTTCATGGGGAAGAGGACAGAGGTTCCACCAAGGGTCAGGAGCACTGACTAAGTCACATCATGAAGGGATATGAGAGGAGCCGCTGAGCCACCTCTGAAAACAATATGGAGAATGCCCGCCATGGGACACATGTATCATATCAAGGGTCCTCATATCACAGGCTATCATATCATGGGCTATCATGTCATGTGCTCTCATATCACAGGCTATCATATCATGAGCTATCATGTCATGTGCTCTCATATCACAGGCTATCATATCATGGGCTATCATGTCATGTGCTGTCATATCACGGGCCATCATATGGGCTATCGTATCACAGGCTATCATGTCACATGATGTCACATCACGTGCATCATATCATGGGCAAACAGGAGACCAGGGCTTCACCCCCATTGATTTCACTCTGGGGGGTTGCTAGGAGATACATATAGAGTATTTAAACATATAAAGAGGTAATTTAAAAATTAATCCATGGGCCAGGTGCGGTGGCTGATGCCTGTCATCTCAACACTCTGGGAGGTAAGGTGGGAGGACCCCTTGAGCTCAGGAGTGTAAGACCAGCCTGGGCAAAACAGTGAGACCCCCATCTCCATAAAAAATAGAAAAATTAGCTGGGTGTGGTGGCGCCACCTGTAGTCCCAGCTACTCAGTGGGGAGGATTGCTTGAGCTGGGGAGGTCAAGGCTGCAGTGAGTCGAGATCACACTCCAGTCTGGAAAACAGAGTGAGACCCTGTCTTAAAAAAATAAGGCAATACATGCTTTTTGTACCTCCATGGTCATAGCAGCATTGTTCATAACAGCCAAGAGGTGGAAGGAAGCGACTCAGTGCCCACTGACAGATGAATGCATGAAACATGAAATATATATTCAATGGGACACTGTTTAGCCTTAACAAGGAAGGACATTCTGACACCTGCTACAACAGGGATGCACCTTAAGGAGTCTCTAGAGTAGTCAGATCTTTTTTTTTTTTTTTTGAGACAAGGTCTTGCCCAGTTGCCCAGGCTGGAGTGCAGTGGCGCAATCACAGCTCACTGCAGCCTCAACCTCCTGGGCTCAGGTGATCCTCCCACCTCAGCCACCTGAGTAGCTGGGACTACAGGCAGTTACCACCATGCCTGGATAATTTTTGTAGTTTTTGTAGGGACGGGGTCTGGCCATGTTGCCCAGGCTGGTCTGGGACTCCTGGACTCATGTGATCCTCTCGCCTTGGCCTCCCGAAGTGCAGGGATTACGAGCATGAGCCACCGCGCCCCAGCCAAGTAGTCAAATCGATAGAGATGGAAAGTAGAATGGTGTCTGCTGGGGCTGGGGAGTGAGACGTAGGGATGAGTGTTTGATGGGGACAGTTTCAGTGTGGGAAGGTGAAGAGAGCTGGAGATGATGGTGGTGATGGCCGCGCAACAGTGCGAAGGTGCTTAAGGCCACTGAACTGTACACTTAACAAATGGTTCAAATGGTAAATTCTATGTTATGTGTATTTTACCACAATTTTAAAAAGCAATACATGCTATAAAAGAAAGAATAGGCCGGGCGCAGTGGCTCACACCTGTAATCCCAGTACTTTGGGAGGCCAAGGCACGTGGATCACCTGAGGTCAGGAGTTTGAGATCAGCCTGGCAAACATGGTGAATCCCCATCGCTACTAAAAATAATAATAAAAAAATTAGCCGGGTGTGGTGGCAGGTGCCTGTGATCCCAGCTACTTGGGAGGCTGCGGCGCAAGAACTGCTTGAACCTGGGAGGCGGAGGTTGCAGTGAGCTGAGATCACACCACTACACTCCAGCCTGGGCAACAAGATTGAAACTCCATCTCAAAAAAAAAAAGAAAAAAGAAGAAAGAAAAGGACAGAAAGAATAGCCCTCATGGTAAGGACTGAGGCTACCCCTCTGGTGTGGTCAGCCACAGCCTCTCTGAGGGGTGCCGTGTGACTTTATGGACGAAGGCTAACAGAGCTGCGGGGTCAGAGGCAACTGCAGGGCAGGAAGCAGCAGTGCAGGGGCCGGGCAGGCGGTGCAGAGCTGGGGGCATCAGGCCTGTGCACACCCACCAGGGCTGGCCCAGGTAGGCGGGCGGTGCAGAGCCGGGGGCGTCAGGCCCGTGCACACCCACCAGGGCGAGCTCAGATTGGCCACAGGGGATGAGCCACCGTCAGCAAAGCAGGCAGCAACCACAAGTTTTTATTACAATCACACTTTCAAAAGACATTCTGTAATTTCAGTTTGGACTTCTCCTTTCACCCAAGAGTTGTTTTTAAACTTCCGGGTGGAAGGGCCCTTTACAATAGTACTGTTGATAAATTCTCATTATCTTTTCATCGTGACCAGAGTGCGCGGTTTCCAGTTTCTCGCTTATGGGGTTTCCTGGTGTCTTCTTTGTGACCTTCTGTGCCGATGCTGCCTGTGGGTGGCCGGGTCAGGTTCCCAACTTCGCTGCACAAAAGAATTTGAGATCGAGTCCACAGAAACAGCAGGCAAAGGAGGTTTTTTTCTTTCTTTTTTTTTTTTCTTTTTTTTGAGATGGAGCTTTGCTCTTGTTGCCCAGGCTGGAATGCAATGGCACGATCTTGGCTCACCACAACCTCCACCTCCTGGGTTCAAGTGATTCTCCTGCCTCAGCCTCCTGAGTAGCTGGGATTACAGGCATGCGCTACCACGTCTGGCTAATTTTGTATTTTTAATAGAGATGGGGTTTCTCCATGTTGGTCAGGCTGGTCTCGAACTCCCGACCTCAGGTCATCCGCCAGCCTCGGCCTCCCAAAGTGCTGGGATTACAGGCATGAGCCACCATGCCCAGCCAAGAGTTTATTGCAGAGCAAAAGTCCACCCTGAGAGACAGAGTGGCTGCTCAGTGAGAGAGCAGTCCCTGGTGTCTTGAGGGGGATATTCCCTTTGTGGGAGCTGTACATACAATCCTGGTGAGTCAGGTGTGCAAAGGTGGACCTGCGGCTGGTGAACGCATCACATGGATCACTAGCGTTTAACATCTCCATCCAGGGTGTGCTTTTTACTACAAAAACGAGAGAAGGGTTACTATGAGGTTGGTGCGAAAGTAATTGCTGTTTTGTCTATTACTTTCAATGGCAAAACCCACAGTTACTTTTGCATCAACCGAATACGAGGTACACCTTGAGCCTAGCTGTGCGTGCAGGACCCCTGAGGCAGGAATGTGTCGCTGATGGCTTCATGGGCTTCTGGTGCTGATTGGCTGGAGACTGGCGAAGCTACATCAGGAATAAGGGGCTTTTGTTCTCTTTCCTGCCATATCAGGTATCAGGAACTTGTAAGCATCTGGCCATCTGCTGGTGTCTGGCAGGGCTCTTGACCTTGCAAGAGAGCTGGGTGCTGAGCACAAGGGGTGAGGGACGGAGAGCCCAAGAGGCTTCACACAAGGGACAAGTCAATGTGGCCTCCTGACCTTACCTATCCCGCGTCAGCGACAGTCTGTGTTTTCTGTGCACGTGAGAAAGTGTGTTTTTGATGCATTTACCTTTTTTTTTTTTTTTTTTTGAGACTGAGTCTCTGTCTATCACCCAGGCTGGAGTGCAGTGGCCCGATCTCGGCTCACTGCAATCTCTGTCTCCCAGGTTCAAGCGATTCTCGTGCCTCAGCCTCCTGAGTAGCTGAGATTACAGGTGTGTGCCACCATGCCCGGCTAATTTTTGTATTTTTATTTTAGTAGAGATGGGGTTTCACCATGTTTGCCAGGCTGGTCTTGAACTCCTGACCTCAAGTGATCCACCCACCTCGGCCTCCCAAAGTGTTGGGATTACAGGCGTGAGCCACCGCGCCCGGCCTAGGATTGCATTTATCTTTGATGTCTGTATGATACACAGGTCTTCTAAGCCCTCAGCTACTCTTCGTCCGCTTGGCCTTACTGATAGAATGCTAACAGTGCTATGTTAAAGTCTCTCATGACTAGTGTTTTTGTATTTATTTCTCCTTCTGTCTCCGGAGTGTCTGCTTTATAAAAGTGGCTGCTTTATTATTTGGTGCATAGTCATAACTGTTATTTTTACATTATGAATTGCGGATTTTTGCATTAAAATATTTGTTGTCGCATTTAATGTTTTATTTTGTCATGACTCTGGCTTTCTTATTGTCCATTTGCCCACATTTTTAGTTTTGGCCTGTCAGAATCATTTTTTAGGTGTATATCTTTTATTTGGCATATAGTTGGTCTTGTTTTATGACCCAAACTAAAAATGTTTTTCTTTTTTTTTTTTTTTGAGACGGAGTCTCGCTCTGTTGCCCAGGCTGGAGTGCAGTGGCGCGATCTCGGCTCACTGCAAGCTCCGCCTCCCAGGTTCATGCCATTCTCCTGCCTCAGCCTCCTGAGTAGCTGGGACAACAGGCGCCCACCACCACGCCCGGCTAATTTTTTGTATTTTTAGTAAAGATGAGGTTTTACCATGTTAGCCAGGATGGTCTCAAACTCCTGACCTCGTGATCCGCCCGCCTCAGCCTCCCAAAGTTCTGGGATTACAGGCGTGAGCCACCGCACCTGGCCCTAAAAATGTTTTTAACAGGTGAGTGAAGCCCACTTATTTGTGTTAATGTGACTGACATTTTGGTCTGAACTCTACCATATTACCCACCGGAGCGGGACAGGGGCCCGTGTGGCTGGAGCCCAGACAGGCAGGACGTGTGGGAGGATGGAGACCAGACCGCACAGGGCTGTGCCTCCCTCAGGGTCACCAGGAGACAGAAATCACACAGCCAGCAGGCAGGGGAAGTTTACTGGGGTTATTAACAGGTAGTAGGGGCTGGATATTGGGAACAGCTGTGAAGGGGCACAGAGACCTCTAAGAGGCAGGAGGGGCGGGCCCAAAAGCAACCACAGCTTGAGGGCTGGGCGGAGCCAAATGTGTTTGGGGGAGGTCCCTCATCAAGGCTGAGCTTCAGACCCTACTGAAGCAGCAGCGCCTCAGCCAAGGCTGGCAGGAGAGCGCCCTTTGGGAGCTGCAGCAGGAGCCGTCCACACTGGCAAGGAACCGTCCCACTGGCAAGGAGCTGTCCACGCTGGCAAGGCCCTCAGAGGCCACTAGGAGCTGTTTGCTGGGCACCACTGAAACTGCGGGCTGGAAGCTCCTCTGGGTGTCCTGAGGGCCAGGCCAGTGAGTGCCGCAGGGGCAGGTAGGAGGCAAAGCAATAGTGCGGGATTGGGAGGTGGCTGCCCGAAGCGTCCTCCCCTCTGAGGAAGGGTCAGTGCAGGAGCAGCGCTGGAGGATACGGCTCTGCGGCTGCAGCTGGACTGGAGGCAGAGGGTGTTTGGAGCACAGAGCCACAGGGGTCCCCAGTGCTGGCTGCTTTGCAGGGCGGCTGGACTGTTTGGTGACTAATGGAAGCACTGGGGAAGCCATTGAAGGGTTTTAATCAGTGGCATGACCTGATCTGTATTTCAGAAAGGTCACTGCGGATCCAGTCTGAAGAGTGGAGTGGGCTGGAGACCCTGGGTGCTGATGCCAGGCGACGGTGGGGCTGGGGAGGGCTGCACAGGTGCGTTTTGTAAAATTATAATGGACACGAGATAGACGCTCGGCATCCTGATCCAGGAGAAGTCTCAACAAGGGACAGCTGGTGTGGCTGAGTGTGTCCGGAAAGAAGGGAGATGGGTTAAATAGTAAAAAATATTAAGACTAATGTTGGTAAATGCTCCTAATCATTTTCTAGATATTAATTATTCCAAATGTTAATTATCTTCGTGACCTTGGTGTGCAAGGACTGGCTGGTGTCCTGAAAAGCACTCTTGGAAGTGCCAGGGTTCCGCTGTGCTGTGCCCCACTGAGATTTCCTTAACAGTCCATCCTTGTCATTCCTGGAGTCTGTATGCGATTCTTCTACTTGCTAAAATGTAGCTGTAAGGCCAGGTGCGGTGGCTCACACCTGTAAATCCAGCACTTTGGGAGGCCGAGGTGGGCTGATCACGAGGTCAGGAGTTCAAGACCAGCCTGACCAATATGGTGAAACCCCGTGACTTTAAAAATACAAAATTAGCTGGGCGTGGTGGTTACTTGGGAGGCTGAAGCAGGAGAATCGCTCGAACATGGGAGGTGGAGGTTGCAGTGAGCCAAGACCACACGGCTGTACTCCAGCCTGGGCGACAGAGCTAGACTCCGTCTCAAAAAAAAAAAGAAGCTGTAATCCCCAAACACTTACTTGCACGGAGCGGCGACAATTCTGAGTCACCGGAGTGCGTTCTTGGCTGAGGTTGCGCAGGGCGGCCTTCTTGCTCCAGCTTGTGCTGCAATCAAGAGCCCTTTTCGTGGTCTATCTGGTGCCATTTTTTTTTTTTTTGCATTTTTGTGCTTTTTGTGGGTGACTTTGCTGTTTGCAATGTCCCCAAGCATTGTCCCGAGGTGCTGCCTCACGTCCTAGGCAAGGAATGCCTGGGTCAGAGAAGCTTTGTCCAGGCTTACGGTGCTTGGCACCGATTGCAATGTTAATGAAGCCACCACGTGCATTCAGTAAGGGATCTTTAAATAGAAACACAGAGAATGAGATGATATATTGATCGGCTGATGAAAACGGAGCCAGAGGCTTGCGGGACCCTAACCCTGTGTGTCTGCTAGCAGCAGGGGCTCAGCGTTCTCTAACTCAGCCTTCGCAGGGGCTCTGCAGACTGGAGCTAAGGTGGGTTGTGAGAAGTGGTGGCAGGTGCAGCCCAGGAGAGCCTTGCAAACAGCTGCCTTAGATGACCGGGTCTCGAGAGCTGTGTCAGACAGCGTGGGGTTGGTTTTCTGGGCCTCCATCGCCTGCTCTTTGGCTGGGGCATGAAGAAGCTAAACGGTGGTTTCTTCCTTGGCCAGGAAAGGAGGACACACTGTTAGGTTTTTCAGTTTCCTAACAGTTGTCCAAAGAGAATCAGAACTGCCAGTGGGAAGAGGAATATTTAAGGGGAATAATCCCGGCTCTGATTATCCACGCATAGGGAGGATAATCCAGTCCAGCCGGCTCAGGGGCTCAGGTGGGTTCCATCACGGTCTTTGTTCACCCATGAGAACGCGGCTGAGGGAGCAGGGGGCCTCATTCCGGGCACATGCGGCCCACACAGCTGTCCTTTTACATTGGTGGCACTCAGGCTGCGGGAGAACAGCGATGGGTTGAGGGGCCGTTGTCAGCACTGCTCCCTCAGGACTCAGGCTACTGCCCGGCCCCGACCTGGCCTCTGACCTCTACAGCATCAGATGCCAGGGATGAGAGTGTTCAGTAGCCCCTCCTGGGTGAGGAAGGATGCACACTGGCCCAGGGCTGGGGACGGGTGTCCGATTTCCATCGATTCCCGTATGAGTGGCCTTTACAGCCTCCCGGGCCTGTGTCTGGATCCTGGAAGAGGTCGCCCTCTGCTGTCCCTACTCAGGATAACAAGCCTCCTGCTCTTCATGATGAGCGTGCAGGGACACTGTTTCTGCCGCACTCAGGGCCCCAAGACCAAATTCTAAAATCTCCCCAAACCTTCAGCAGGGTGGGGCCAACCCTCATGAGACCAATGCATCTGTTTCTGCCTGGAGATCGCTGGGGCTGGTTCACACTTGGCACGTTCGGACTCGCAGATCAAGCTCTGAGGCAGGGAGGAGGCAGCAATGCCCCCTCCACATGCAGGCAGCGCCTGGCAGGTCCGGGGTCACCCCAGAGTGGAGGCCAGGCTCCTGGGCATTCCCCACCCTGGGATCCCTGCACTGTTCTCATCTGTCCTCCGAGAGGGGCAGACGGCAGCGACGGCTGGAGGCCGCACTCATGGGCACTGCAGACTTAGAGAAGCCAAAGTGCGTTTTATGCTGAGCCAAGAGTGAGTGGCAACCCGGAACACAGGTTCCATCGGCTGAGGAGGCAGGAGGGGTGGTTCCACAGCCTGAGAGGGGCAGTGCGCTCAGGGGGACCTCGCAGTCCTGCCTGGCCTCGGTGCCTTGTACACAGGTGGAGTGGACACGTGGCTGGCACACAGGGTGGAAAGCTGGCACCTACTGGAGCCTCAGGGTCTGCAGGGGCGACTGTTCTGTCCTGCCTCATCTGACAGGCACGGCAGTGACCAGGACACGTCAGTGAGACAATGCAGATTCCAGCCTCATAGGCCAGGCCTGCCTCCTACTACCCGTGTGGCCAAACTGCAGCCATCTTGGTCCACTTTTGAAAATGTTTCTTTCGGATCTTTCTGGCTGGTGCCTCTGCTGCGGAATAGCAGCTCCAGTGGGTTACCTGTCAGGAGCGCCCCTGGAGGTGCAGCTTCCCTCGTGCTCTGAATTACTCAGGTGAAGTCAGCAGGAATCCGATTCCCATCTCTGGGAAAAGCACCTCTGGCTTCTTTATCATCAGCCTTTACTTGGCCCCAGGTCTGGGAGAGGTGGCAAGAGTATTACCCTCTTGCTCTAGGGCCATCACGGAAGGAGCCACTTGCACCCCTGCAGGATCACGGGACCCTGTGGGTATCCCCCTGCCTGCAGGAGCCCCCCATTTCCACGGTTCCTGTTGGATCCCCCACTGCAGCTCTGCCTTCGAGCAGGCACCCGGCACAGCCCTGTGGTGCTGTGTCTCGGCCTGCTGCTGCCACAGGACTCGCCGGTGAGGAGCCACGGGGCAGCCCTCCTGCTGGCCACATTTGCAGGAAGTCCCGCCATGGGGTCCAGTCATGACCAGTCTAATGTCCCTTCTGGAGCCTGTGCCGCCCACTTTAGTGCTTGGGCATGGGGTCCTGGGACCACTGGCTCAGGCAGAAGAAGAGAAACCTTTGGGAGGTGGGGAAGGTACAGAGGGTCCAATTGCACCCCCCACACGCCCTCCTCCTTCCCCCAGCCCTGAAGCCTGTGAGCGGCCTGCCTGCCTTCCCCTCAGGCTCAGTCTGAAGACACCCCAGTTAAGCGACTCCACCAACTGGTCACGTTTCTCACACCTGCCTGAATAACCTGTCTTCCAGTGGCCCATTGCAATTTTCAGCATGGCCACAGCTGGACGGGACGAGCAGTGTGGTGCACACGTATGCTTGCCGTGTTTCCTGGACCGTCTCAGTGTCCTGGTGCCAGCAAGAGTGGGTACCTGGATCAGAAGAAGTAGGTCCAAGTCGGCTGAAATTGACAGAGGACTCACCATTCTAAACACCTCATGCTGTTCCCAAGGTTGCTTCTGTTACAAATAAGCCAAGTCCAGAATAGAGTGTCGTGAGAGCGTGAGATACAGCTTAGCTCCTTCCTGGAATCTCTGGAGTGACAAGAGTCTCTTTTGTAGTGAGTGTGATGAAGTTTGGGTTGATCATCAATAGCCAACGATGCAATCAATCATGTATATGTAATGAAGCTTCCATAAAAACCCAAAAGGAGCTTTCAACAGTTGGACGCACGCAGGTGCCTGGAGGACGGCGCCCAGGAGGGCACAGGAGCTCTGCCATTCTCCCCTGTGCCTTGCAAAACCCAAGGAACTTCCCATCTCCAATGCGCGGATGTTGGGTGGAGGCCTGGGGCTGTCTGGAAGCTGCACATGTACGTGCCTGTCTCCTCCACCCCCCGTGCCTCCGCACCTTCGTCACAGCCTGTGTCATAAATGGGTAAACGCAGGGCGGCGTGTCCCTGAGTCCTGTGAACCACTCCAGCAATTCATCAAACCGGAGGAGGGGGTTGTGGGAACCCTGATTCATGGCAGTTCCGTCAGAAGCCACACCCGGGGCTTGCAACTGGCATCAGAAGTGGGGCCCCTTGCACGGGACTGAGCCCTCGATCTGTGGGATCTGACGCTACCTCCAGGCGGATGCGGTGGGAAATGACTTAAACCGTAGGATGCTCAGACAGTGTCCTGCAGCACTGCTTGGTGTGCAGGAAACAAGGCCCTGCCCACATCTGGTGCAAGAGTGCCTGTGGCTGTGTTGGGATGGGAAGAGCTCCTTGGTGTGTCCTGTATTGCTTGGTGTGTCCTGAGTGCTCCCTTGGTTCCGGGCCTCCTGATAGGCCATAGGCACCCAGGGTCCCCCTTGCCTGCTGTGGCCAGGCCTTGTCCTTCGGGGGTGCCACCCAAAGCTATTTGCAAATGCTTTCTGGTCAGCGGTGGATGTGGTTTCTTCTCATGCTAGTTGTTGCGCTGGGCACAAGGGGACCCCATGCTCCCTCCTGCTGGCTCCTTCCCTAACCTGCTGGGCGCATTCTGGGATCTGACCAAGGCGCTACCATTCAACCCCTTCTGAGCTGGCAACAGGAGTTTTTGGCAGGAATTCCCATTCCTGAGGGCACCCTGGGGATTTTCCAATTGTCCAGTTCTCTGGGGTGCATTTGCCTGGCATCCTGCGGGGCCGTTGTCCAGCCCGAGTTGGCAAATCCCTAAACGCCCCCAGAGCAGGGGCCTGACTCCTTTTTCACTCCTTTTCAGCTCCCGCATTAGGGAGGTTGCCTGTCCTGCCTCCACCTGTGTGGCGTGGGGAAGCTGATTTACAAACAGCAGAAGGGCCCCCGGCATGGGAAGAGTCCGGGCCAGGCAGCCTGCTCTGCCGGCTGGGGGACCGCCTGATGCAGGGGCCAGGCCAGGAGGTCCGCGGGGGCTGCTTTACAGCCCTCTGGGCAGCAAAGCAAGCTGGTCTCTGTGCAGCCCACTCCCTGCCATTCCCCACCATGCCCCTCCTATGTCCCTCCCATGCCCTGCCATTCCCCGCCATGCCCCTCCCATTCCCCCGCCATTTGCCGCCATTCCTCACCATTCCCCTCTCGTTCCCTGCCATTCCCCGCCATGCCCCTCCTATGTCCCTCCCATGCCCCTCCTATGTCCCTCCCATGCCCCGCCATTCCCCGCCATGCCTCTCCCATTCCCTCCCATTCCCTTCCATGCCCCTCCCATTCCCCCGCCATTTTTCGCCATTCCCCACCATTCCCCTCTCATTCCCCGCCATTCTCTGCCATGCCCTACCATGCCCCGCCATGCCCCTCCTATGTCCCTCCTATGTCCCTCCCATGCCCCTCCCATGCCCCGCCATTCCCCGCCATTCCCCACCATACCCCTCACATGCCCTGCCATTCCCCGCCCAGACCCTTGGTAACCTGGTCCCTGTCACCCATGCCCCGCTGGGCCCCTCACTGTTGCCGCTGGACATTAAACCCGCCAAGGGGCTTTCATGGGTTGCCCCTCTTTCTCCAGTGCTTCTTCACGCCACCTGGGACGTGGCCAACTTTTCTGGTGTCGGGATCATCTAACGCTCTTCCATGCACAAGAGTTCCAATGACCCACCCACCCAAGCTTCCTTCCCCCATCCCCTACCACTCCTCCAATACCCGTGGGTGCTGCCGGGAAGGGGCGTTGCAGATGTGCCGTGTGTCCCAGGTCAGCCGACCTTAGGGTCCGTGGATGCAGGTGGGCCTGGTCGAATCACGCCAGCCCTTTAAAAGCAGAAGAAGAGTCAGAGGCCAGGGAAGAGTGCTGTGGGGCCGTGCGAGATGGCAGCCTGAACGGTGGAGACCAGGTCCTGCTGACCGCCAGCAAGGAGACGGAGAATGCAGCTCTACAGCCGGGAAAAGAGTCTGCCATCCATCCGAACAGCCCTGGGCCTCCACCCAGGAGCCCAGCTGTCACACCTCAACTGCAGTCTGTGAGACCCCGCCCAGCCGAGCCCTCGCACTCCTACCCCTCTGGAGCTGCCAGGCAGTCAACAGGCACTGACCCACACTGTGGGGTTGTGGTGGCTCGTAGTGCAGCGAGGGCCCCAGCACGGGCATCTTCCCAGCACGGCTGCCAGCTCACGGTGGTCTCCCAGGCAACATGAAAGAAATGCATCAGGTAGCCCCTGGGCCCCAAACGTGATTTGCATTTCTGCCAAAAGCCAATCTTTTCTGACCAAGACCTGGGCCCTCCCAGTAGCACCTGAGTGGCCCCGTGGGCTGCCTGGGCCATGTCCCAGCTTGTTTCTGGGCAGGGCCCTTTCACATCGAGGTCTTTCCCCCAGTGACACTGTGACTAGAATCACAGGATTTCTGGATGAGGAATGTAATTTTGCAAAAACCTATACAGTTTCAGTCTTAGGGGCTTCTGTTTAGTGGCAACATTGGTGTCAATGGCATTAAATTAGGCGTCCCCTTGTTCACCGTAAAGCCAGCCTAGGGTCACCTGCACTTGTAACTTCCCAACAGCTTTGGAAGCAAGATGCCATTTGTGGGTTGGTGGGGGGCAGTCACTCCTCTCAGGGTAAAACCCCCACCTTTGCCACCTGCAGCAAGTGACGTATGGACCCACCTGGAAGCATTTGATCACAAGAGCTTGCAGCGTCTTGGGGACTGGTTCTTGGCCCTGACCATCACTTCCATGCAGTGGTATCTAGAATCAGTGGTGTGCCCGCCCCTCGCACTGATAATTTAGGAAACTGTGCCCATCCTGAGCCATCGGGCTTTGCCTGCCGCTCTCCCCAAATGTCCTGGCTCTTCTCAGAGGACCCTCGGGTTTCCGCAGCCGCCTGCCATGCCCTTCCACCCGCAGCATGGGTTTGCAGCCAGTCAGGTTTCTCAGCTGAGTTACTTTTTGGATGAATGTCACATCTGTTTAATTGGCCACTGGAGAGAGGAGACTGCACTGACCCGAGGACCGGGTCTGGTTTCTTTCTTGTGCCCCAGCTGCTTCTTCCAGTGGCCTTGTTTCTGTCTGGGTGTCAGTGGCACCTGCCATGGAAGAGCTGTTTCTCTCGCCTCCCTTGTGCCGGTCTTTGGCCAGCTCCCCGCCCCAGGTCGGCTTCCTCTCCGTCCCCTCGGTAAGGTGTGCTCCCTGTGGCCAGCCCCAAGGCTGTCAGCGTTTTGTATCAGGGACAGGTTGACAGCCACCTGGAGCCTCGTCCTCAGCAAGCTTCTCCCGCGCCCCCTTATCTTGCCTCAGAGAACCTCAGCTTAGATAATAAACAGCCATGCTGCTCGTGGTGCCCACCGGAGACAGCACGCAGAGCGGGATGGTCTCGTTTGCCTGGGAGCCAGGGGAAGCCAGGGGACCACTGGGACTGCCCACTCGCCGACCCCCACCCCCGTCCCTGACACATGGAGGCACGCTGCATCAAGGTTTAGGGTAGGAAGCTCCCCGTGGTACAGGAGGGGCAGCTCTTACCCAAAGGGGGCTCTTTCCGTTATGAAACTTTTTCCCTTTAAACTCTAGAAATTGCCAGAGGCACTGACATTTTCCAGTGGGCCGTGTGCCATAAGCCCAGATGTGTTTAATCCTGAACAGAAGGCTCTTCTGTGCTCACAGTCGACACCTCCAGGAGCTCTCATTAGCGTGTTTACAAGGACATTCTTTTCTTTTGTCTGATTTCTTTCTCCAAGAGCATCCCCAGGGGAGGATGGATGGGTTGCAAATGGTAACACTTTCCATGTGTGTACACGTGTGTGCATGTGTGAGGGTGTGTGTATACATATGTGAGGGTGTGTGGTGTGTGTGTACATTTATCAGGGTGTGTGTGAGGGTGTATGTACATGTGTGAGGGTGTGTATGTGTGTACATGAGTGTGTGGGCATGTGTATGCATGTGTGCCGATGTGTGTGTGTACATGTTTGAGGGTGTGTCCTCGTGCATATATGAGGGCATGCGTGTGCATGTACATTTGTGAGGGTGTGCATGTGTATGAGGATGTGTGTACATGTTTGAGGGTGTGTACATGTGTGAGGGCTGTGTACATGTGAGGGTGCGTGTGTATACATGTGTGAGGATGTGTGTACATTTGAGGGTGTGTGTGTACATGTGAGGGCATGTGTATGTGTGCATGTACATATGTGAGGGTGTGTGTACGTGTGGGTATGCATATGTATACAGTGTGAGGGTCTGTGTGTACATGTGAAGGTGTGTGCACATGTATGTGAATGTACGTGTGGGTGTGTGCATACATGTGTGAGGGGTGTGTACCTGTATGTGTACGTGGGGGGGTGGGGGGTACATGTGGGAGTGCATGTGTGCACGTGTGAGGGTGTGTACATGTGTGAGGGTGTGTGTGTGAGGATGCATGTGTACGTGTGACGTGTTACATGTGAGGGTGTGTTACATGTGTGGGTGCATGTACATGTGTGAGGCTGTACATGTGAGGGTGCATGTGTGTACGTGTGAGGGTGTGTACATGTGTGAGGGTGTGTGTACATGTGTGTGAGGGTGTGTACATATGTGGGTGTGTGTACGTGTGTGAGTGTGTGTGTGGGGGTGTGTGTACGAGTGTGCATGTGTACATGTTTGATGGTGTGTGCATGTACATGTGAGGGCATGTGTGTGCGTGTATGTGTGCATGTTTGAGGGGGTGTGCGTACGTGTGAGGGTGTGCATATGTATACATGTGCGAGGGTGTGTGTACATGTGTGAGGATGTGTGTACGTTTGAGTGTGTAAATGTGAGGGTGTGTGTACGTGTGAGGGTTTGTGTGCGTACATGTGTGAGGATGTATTAGGGTGTGCCTGTACATGCGAGGGCATGCATGTGTGCATGTGTGTGCATGTACATGTGTGAGGGTGTGTACGTTTGAGGGGGTGTGCGTACGTATACATGTGTGAGGGTGTGTACATGTGTGAGGGTGTGTGTACATGTGTGAGGGTGTGTGTACATGTGTGAGGATCTGTACGTTTGAGGGTGCATGTGTGTACATGTGAGGGTGTGTGTACATGTGTGAAGATGTATATGTGTTCAAGGGTGTGTGTGCGCACGTGTACACACGAGGGCATGCATGTGTGCGTGTGCATGTACATGTGAGGATGCATACATGTTTGGGGGTGTGTGCACGTGTGAGGGTGTGCATGTGTACACGTGTAAGGGTGAGTGTGTATACATGTGAGTGTACATGGTGTATTTGTACGTGTGTGTACATATGTGAGGGTTGTGTACATGTGAGGGTGTGTGCACATGTATGTGGGTGTGTGCATGGGTGTGTACGTTTATGGGTGCACGTGTACATGTGTGAGGTTGTGTGTACATGTGTGAAGGTATGTGTGTACGTGTGAGGGTGCATGTGTATGTGTGAGTGTGTACATGTGTGGGTGTATGTGTGTTTACATGTGTCATGGTGTATGTGTGTGGGGGTTTGTGTACATGTGAGGGTGTGTGCGTACATGTGAGGATGTGTACATGTGTGAGGTGTGTACATGTGAGTGTATACATGTGTGAAGGTGTACGTTTAAGGGTATACATGTGTGGGGGTGTGTACATGTGTGTGAGGGTGCGTGTGTGTATGAGTGTACGTGTGAGGGTGTGTGCACACGTGTGTACATGTGTGAGGGTGTGTGCTACGTGTGGGGGTGTGTATACATGTGTGGGGGTGTGTATACATGTGTGGGGTGCATACATTTGAGGGTGCATGTATGCACGTGTGAGGGTGTGTGTACATGTGTGGAGGTATGTGTATGTGTGAGGGTGTGTGTACATGTGTGGGTGTATGTGTAATGTGTGGGTACATGTGTGGTGTGTACGTGTGGATGTGCATACATGCGTGGGTGTGTGCATGTGTGAGCGTGTTACATGTAAGGGCATGTTACATGTGTGAGGGTGTGTGTATATATGTGATGTGTGCACATGTGTGAGGGTGTTACGTGTGTGAGGGTGTGTGCACGTGCGTGGGGGTGTGCACGTGTGTGGGGGTGTTCATGTGTGAGGGTGTGTGTTACGTGTGTGAGGGTGTGTTACGTGTGTGAGGGTGTGTTACGTGTGAGGGTGTGTATGTGTGGGTGTGTGCACGTGTGGGGTGTGTGAAGGTGTGTTACATGTGTGAAGGTGTGTATACATATATGTGGGTGTGTGGGGTGTATACGTGTATGGGTGTATACACGTGTGAGGGTGTGTGTACACGTGTGAGGGCGTGCATGTGTACCTGTGTGAGGGTGCATTTGCGTGTTTGTGCACATGTATACGCTCACATACCATATTGTGTTTGTTGATATGGGCCATGGTCAGAAAAGCTGAATGGCCGCTGGCTGAAAGGGCTGAGCTCAGTCTGTTTTCCCAGAGTTACGTCTGGCTGAACCCCGGTCATCAGCAAGGTGCGTGCCGTGACCTCACTACCGTCAGCTGCAATAGAATCGTGTGAGAAAACGCCATGGAGCTCCTTTCACTGAGCTGCACTAGGGCGTGGCGTCCAGAGGCCTATCCGAGGACAGTCACAGGAGCCCATCTCTCTGTGGACCGCGTCTCGACATCCAGGGCATGTGCTCTGCTGGGCTCATGGGCAGGAGCAGGGGTTTCCTCTCGGCTCGGCTGCTGGGAGCTCAGATTCCCGTCCCGCTCCCGCCCCGTAACCTCCACTCCGCCCTCACGGGGCTGCGGGACTCAGCCTTGAGTCGGCTCCTTCCCCACTCTTCTCCCGGTCACACCTTTATTTCTTTCCCTCGACCTTTTCCTGGACTCTTGGAGCGTTTGTTGATTGGGCTCCGTGAGCCTTGATTCTATGGCTATAGAATGGGGTCAGTGCCTGGCACCCTGGCTCTCCGGTTTGCTGACTTGTGCACAGGACCGCGCTTACCCTCAGTTCTGACTGCGGACAGAGCTGTCTGGTCCAGACTCCTTTCAGCTGTGCGATGACACAGCCAGGAAGATAGAAGCAGCCGGGTCTCGGGGTGTGCAAGGCATCCTGGGCGGATGCAAGGCGGGGTACAGCTGCCTGAGCGCGGCAGCCATGCCCCAGGCCCTGTGCCAGGTTGCTGGGCTCTGGGACTGTCGGGTGGCTCCACTTGGCTCTTGAACACAACTTAGTGTTTCAACTTCACATCTGGCAAAAGGGAGAGGATCCAGGGGTTCCAGGGGTGCCTCTCAGGCGGGTTTTCTCCCCCTCCCCACCCTCAGGCGGTTTTTCTCCCCCTCCCCACCCATCTGCCACATTAATCATCTCACACCAAGCACAGGCAGGTGCTTGCTGCAGAAGCTTGAGTTGCGCGTTCAACACTTTCATCTCATTCTAATGGCCCAGATTCCTCCGAAATGCCACGTTTATCACATGACCACACTGTAATCGCCACCCCCAGTCAAACAGTAAGAAAAGCAGGTAAGACAGGCGCGATGGCTTATGTCTGTAATCCCAGCACTTTGGGAGGCTGAGGCGGGCGGATCACGAGGTCAGGAGATCAAGACCATCCTGGCTAACATGGTGAAACCCCGTCTGTACTAAAAATACAAAAATTAGCCCAGTGTGGTGGCACATGCCTATATTCCCAGCTACTCAGGAGGCTGAGGCAGGAGAATCACTTGAACCCGGGAGGTGGGGGTTGCAGTGAGCTGAGATAGTACCACTGCACTCCAGCCTGGGCGACAGAACAAGACCAAAAAAAAAAAAAAAAAAAAAAAACAACAGATAAGTAACCATGCATTTGTACTAGTAAATTATAAATATACTTCTGCGGTACTATGGATTAAAATGTAATCCCAGTGAGTTAGGCACTGCGTGCTGTATCCTCCCAGTTCCCCATGTTGAAATCCTGATGTGGTGATGTTCGGAGCTGGGTCTTTGGGAGGTGATGAGGTCATGAGGGTGTGAAACTCTCATTGGTGAGACTGGCGCCTTATTAGAAGAGGCTTGAGAGATTTGCTTCCTCTTTCTGTTCTCTGCCAAGTGAGGCTACAAGAAGGTGGCCGTTTGCAAACCAGGAAGGGGACCCTCACCAGACACGGGATCTGCCTGCACCGTGATCTTGAACTTCCAGTCCTAAGAACTGTGAAAAATAAATGTCTGTTGTTTAAGCCGCCCAGTCCACGGTATTTTTTGTCATAGCAGCCTGAGCTGCCTAAGGATCGGTGGAAATGTCACACTCTCTCTAACTGAACAACAATGAAAACACGCACCAAAAACACTGGGAGGCCCGTGGATGGTGATTTTTATGCCTAATTACTTACAGTAGAAAAGAAGAGAAGCTGAAAGTGTCCAACTTTAATTTAGAACCTGAGTAAGAGATTAAATGCAAGGAAAGAGATAATAAAGTAAAAGTAGAAATGGAGGCAAGGCACTCACAGGTAACGTAACAGAAGAACGTATCAGGACATAAAGCATACATGTTATGGCAAGCAAGCTGAAAAATTCGGTGAAGTGGAAAATTCATAGAAAAGAGTAACTTGAAAAATGGCCTTAATTAGATAACATAAATAGCTTTAAGACTATGAGATATAATGAGGCAGTTGTTAAAGGTCTCCCTAAAAGGAAGATATCAGGCCCAGGTGATTGTACAGTTGGGTTTTAGTAGCCTTTCCTATCATTCTGACCTCACACATTTTCCCAAGAATAGGAAGAGGGGATGCCCCAGCTCCTCCAAGAGGCCAGTACAACAGTGATATGAACAGCAGGCAAAGTCATCACAGGAAACATGACTGGCCCGTTCACTCAAAAATATGTTTAACAGCAAGATTACCAACAAAATTTTAGCAAACCAAATAAATAATGTATGAAAAGATAACACAAGATGACCAAAGCAGGCTTAACCCAGGAATGCAAGGAAGGCTTGAAATCTATAAATGAATATCACCTTGGAAGCAGATTAAATGAGAAAAGTCACCAGTTCAATTCAATGAAACCCCTTTTGAAAAAAAACTTAACACACATTTATGAAAAACTTCGTATACATTAGGACTGAAAGGACTTTACCTTAACTTAATAAAGGCTAGCTGTGTAAAACTTACCACCAATTATAGACAGGGACAGAGTGGAAGCATTCCCTCTTGCAATAGGAATGACACATTAGATTTTTTTTTTTTTAAGCTGAGGGCATGTGCAGCCTTTCTTTTTTTATTTTATTTTATTTTATTATACTTTAAGTTTTAGGGTACATGTGTACAATGTGCAGATTTGTTACATATGTATACATGTGCCATGTTGGTGTGCTGCACCCATTAACTCGTCATTTAGCATTAGGTATATTTCCTAATGCTATCCCTCCCCCATCCCCCCACCCCAACACATTAGATATTTATGTTTACCATTTCCATTCAACAATAGAATAAGACAGTATAATAAAGTAAGAAAAATAAAGGCACGAAGATTGGAAAGGAGGAAATTAAAATGTTATTATTTGTCGGTTATAGAAGGGGTTGGCAAACTGCCCGCTGTAGGCAAAATCTGACCCATCATGGGTGAAATCTGACTACACCTATTTGTTTCCATCTTGTCTCTGGCTGCTTTCATGTTACCAGGACAGAGCTGAGTTCTTGCAACAGCAAGCATATGGCTGGGAAAGTGGAAAACTTTTGCAGAAAAAGTTTGCTAACTCCTGGATTAGGGGATCATCTATATTGAAAAGATAAAACTACAGAGACATTATTAGAAGTAACAGTAGAGAAGAGTAAATTATAGAAGTCATTTGTATTTCACATACTAGAGAAAAATCATTAAAATATATAATTTTTAGGCTGGGTGTGGTGGCTCACATCTGTAATCCCAGCACTTTGGGAGGCCGAGGTGGGTGGATCACTTAAGGTCAGGAGTTTGAGACCAGCCTGGCCAACATGGTGAAACCCCATCTCTACTAAAAAATACAAAAATTAGCCAGGCGTGGTGGCGGGCGTCTGTAATCTCAGCTACTCTGGAGGCTGAGCCAGGAGAATCGCTTGAACCTGAGAAGCAGAGGTTGCAGTGAGCCAAGATCACAGTATTGCACTCCAGCCTGGGCAACAGAGTGAGACTCCATCTTAAAAAAAAAAAAATATATGTATATATATATATACACACACACACACACACACACACACACATATAATTACATATTTTTAAATATATATACATTTTTAAAGGCTCTATTATTATTATTAATTTTTTTTTTTTTTGAGACGGAGTCTCGCTTTTTTGCCCAGGCCGGACTGCAGGGGCACGATCTCGGCTCACTGCAAGCTCCGCCTCCTGGGTTCACGCCATTCTCCTGCCTCAGCCTCCCGAGTAGCTGGGATTATAGGCACCTGCCACCACGCCCGGCTAATTTTTTGTATTTTTAGTAGAGACAGGGTTTCACCCTGTTAGCCAGGATGGTCTCGATCTCCTGATCTCGTGATCCACCCGCCTCGGCCTCCCAAACTGCTGGGATTACAGGCGTGAGCCACCGCGCCCGGCCTAAAGTATCCTTTATTATAACTAGAGAATATTTATTAGCTAGAAAAAAATAGAGATTGCAGCAGTTCTCTTTGTGATAAGAATGTACTGTGTGTGGTGTGAGTGGAGCCACGCTAGTTTTTTCTTGGTTTACAGGGTTTGCTTTTCTCTGTGATTTTACTCTTGCTCTTTCTTGAGTTCTTACGTTTTCTCATAAGCAGCTTTGAAAATCTTATTCTTCTGCTTCCAGTACTTAATTTGTTTAGACTTAGTAAAATTACTGATAGTAGGGTAATATCTACCTTTGTTTTTTTTTTTTGGTATTTCATCTGTTTTATGTTTCTTTTCTCATCTTTCATTTTTTAGATTAATCAAATATTTTTATTCCACTTTTTCTGTTACTCAGTCACATGGCTTTTACTTTTAACTAGTTGCCTTAGAAATTACAGCATAAAATTTGACTTATTGGAAGTATATGCAATTACTTTTTTCGTATTTCTAGTACTTCTAGAATCTTAGAACTTTGAGCTATATTTACTGGAACTTACATCTGATCATGGCTGAAAAGCTCCTATTATACCAACCTTCCCTTAGATAACAACTCTAAATTCCAGACAAAAGATTAACAACTACCTGAGGGTAGTCACTGGAGTGTGACAGAAGCCGTCCAGGCCTGGGGGATAGTCAACACCTGGGACAGGAGAACCCCCCGGGGTGGGGGGTGGGTTCCTGTTGTCATGGATTTTAGCCTGAGGATGGATTCCAGTCTGCACCACGTGGAGAGGCTAAAACTCAGGTAGAAAACCCACAGCCTGATTGACTTGAAGAACCAGACAACAGAGTTCAGGGCAACAGCAGCAGCTGGAAAGTGAGGGAGAAAATCCAAGACAGAGACAGAGAGGGAGAAGGAGAGCCAACATTCTATGCACACAATGTCCTCCTATTTCTGGCTAACCTCTTGGATCCTAGTACCCCCATATTTCTAAGAGATAGTTAAACTTTTAGAAGTTGTTTTTCCTGTTCTTCTCCTCCCTGGCTCCCTGTTTCCTACTTAGCCCTTTAGAAAGGCAAACATAACCAGATATTCCCTACAGAGCAAGTTCATCTACCTGCGTGTTCCAAGACGGAACTCTCACCTCCAGAGGTTGCCTTGAAACTGGAACTCACACCCACTAAGAGGGCATGTCGAAAACATGCCCACTTGGCCACTTTTGTAACCCACTCTGCCCAGGAAGGCTCTGACTCTAGATAACAACTGCCTGGTAGATACCAACTTCCCAGTAGCAGGGGTACCCCTGCCCTTGCTCATTTCCTCCCTACCTTATAAAAATGCCTACATTCGGCTCCAAAGGGGAAGCGGCACATTTAAAGGCAGGATGCTGTGTGCCCCTTCCCCTGAGCTAGCTTCAGCGTAAGCTTGCTTCCCTGGTACCAGAACTTGCTTTGGTTAATTGGACTCTGCATGCGGTGAGCAACGAACCTGCTTTTCACTTACTCTCTGCACAGTATTCAGCAAGGGTGGACTCCAAGTAGCCCAGCTAAGGGTGAACTGAACCAAGTAGAACTGAGCTGAAATTTCAGCTACCATCCACGCTTGGATGACAGAGTGTACAGGCTGAGTTCAGCCAAGTTGAAAAGCCTGATTAAAAAAGGAATGCCCAGCCGGGCGTGGTGGCTCACCCCTGTAATCCCAGCACTTTGGGAGGCTGAGGCAGGCGGATCTGAGGTTGAGAGTTCGATGACAGCCTGATCAACATGGAGAAACCCCGTCTCTACTAAAAATACCAAAAATTAGCCGGGCGTGGTGGCACATGCCTGTAATCTCAGCTACTCAGGAGGCTGAGGCAGGAGAATCGATTGAAGCCAGGAGGCGGAGGTTGCAGTGAGCTGAGATGGCTCCACTGCACTCCAGCCTGGGCAATAAGAGCAAAACTCTGTCTCAAAAAAAAAAAAAAAAAAAGAATGTCCTTCAGAGGAACATAATGAGTGCAGAGTTTCCATGCACATCACGGTCAATGTCCAGAAGCGATTTAAAATTACCTGGCCGGGCGCGGTGGCTCACACCTGTAATCCCAGCACTTTGGGATGCCGAGGCGGGTGGATCACCTGAGGTCAGGACTTCCAGACCTGCCTGGCCAACATGGTGAAACCCCGTCTCTATTAAAAACAACAACAACAAAACAAACAAACAAAAAAATTAGCCAGGCGTGGTGGCTTGCACCTGTAATCCCAGCTACCTGGGAGGCTGAAGCAGGAGAGTTACTTGAACCTGGGAGGTAGAGGTTGCAGTGAGCTGAGCTCATGCCACTGCACTCCAGCCTGGGCGACAGGGCGAGACTCTGTTTCAAAAAAATAAAATTTCTTGACACAGAAGAAACAGTAAACTATGACCCATACATGAGAGAAAAGATAATGAATGGAGACAATCTCTGAGATAACTCAGATATTGTAATGATCACATCGAGGCTTTAAGCAGAAATTATATCTATGTTCAAGGATGTAAAGGAAAATAAGCTTTTAATGAATGAAAAGATAGAAAATCTCAACAGAGAAATAGAAACTATAAGAAGAATCAAGTGGAAATTCTAGACCAAAAAGTTAAAATATTTGAGGTAAAAATTTGCCAGTTGGACTTAAAAGAAGATTGAGGGTGACAGAAGAAAGAGGAGCTTGAAGGTAAATTAATAGAAATTAACCAATTTGAAGAATACAGAGGAAAAGGAAAATATGTACAGAGCGTCAGAGTGTCGTGGCACAATATTAAAAGGCCTAAGATAAATGTAATAGGAGCTCCTGAAGAGGAGAGAAAAAATTGCGCAGAAAAAAATTATCTAAAGAAACAATTGCCAAAAAACCTCCGTATTTCATGAAAGGCATAAAATT
The DNA here is from genome assembly GCF_000001405.40 of Homo sapiens. NCBI lineage: Eukaryota > Metazoa > Chordata > Mammalia > Primates > Hominidae > Homo > Homo sapiens. Next base: position 143,115,697 of record NC_000008.11, on the reverse strand, counting down.
ACAGATTTAAGAAACTCAACAAACCCCATAGAGTATAAATACAAAGAACACTACATTTAGGCACACCATAGTCAAACTGCTGGCGGCCAAAGACACATTTTGAAAGCAGTTGGAGGAAAACACACATTCCCACGAAGTATTAGAACATCAACCCCAACATGAGCTGACTTCTCATCAGAAATGATGGGGGCCACCCGGGCGCGGTGGCTCACGCCTGTAATCCCAGCACTTTGGGAGGCTGAGGCTGGCAGATCACCTGAGGTCGGGAGTTTGAGACCAGCCTAACCAACATGGAGAAACCCTGTCTCTACCAAAAATACAAAATTAGCTGGGCGTGGTGGCGCATGCCTGTAATCCCAGCTACTCGGGAGGCTGAAGCAGGAGAATCGCTTGAACCCGGGAGGCAGAGGTTGCGGTGAGCTGAGATTGCGCCATTGCACTCCAGCCTGGGCAACAAGAGTGAAACTCTGTCTAAAAAAAAAAAGAAAAAAGAAAAAAAAGAAAGAAATGAATGGGGCCAGAAGACAGTGGAACAATGTCTCTAAAGTGCTGAAGGAAAAATAAGGATCTACCCAGTATTCTATATCCAGTGAAAATATTATTCAAGAAGGAAGGTGAAGTAAATACTATTGTTTGTTTGTTTGTTTGAGACGGAGTCTCGCTCTGTCACCCAGGCTGGAGTGCAGTGGTGAGATCTCGGCTCCCTGCAAGCTCCGCCTCCTAATGGTTCTAGCGATTCTCCTGCCTCAGCCTCCAGAGTAGCTGGGATTACAGGCACCCGCCACCACACTCGGCTAATTTTTGTATTTTTAGTAGAAACGAGGTTTCACCATGTTGGCCAGGCTGGTCTTGAACTTCTGACCTCAGGTGATCCACCTGCCTTGGCCTCCCAAAGTGCTGGGATTACAGGTGTGAGCCACTGAGCCCGGCAGTAAATACATTTTTAAATAAAATAAAACCACAAGAATTTATTATCAGCACATACGCGCTATGAGAAATGCTAAAGAAATCTATTCAGGCTGAATAAATGAGATCAGACCGCAACCTCGGTGTGATATTTGGATTTCCTAAGGCCGGATCCTGAACTTCTTTAACCCATTTCCTGTTTGCCCCAAGAATACTTGCCGGTGGCACTTGTGGCTGCAGCATTTACTTCGAGAAAACTTTGCCACGAAATATCTCACTTTTATAACTATTTTTGCATTGCTCTAGTAGATTGACTTTGGCAACAAAAGACATTATTCTATTTATACATTCTGTTTGCAGTAGTGGCATTTCCAGTTACAACATATAGTAATTAGCAACCACTGAAAATGTCAAATCTTAGAAAATGTAGCGTTTCTGTGACATGAGCACCGTTTTCGAACAGTTGTTGGCTGAAGATCATTTGATGAATCTGATTTTTCAGAAATAGATGATTCTGATGCTTCAGATGACTCTGATGTTCTGTTTAGAAATAACTCCAACAACAGTTTTTATATTTTATTTTCACATTGAAAAGCAGTCAGATTTGCTTCACCCTCAAAGAGCGTGTTTATGTAAAATTAAATGAGCGCTGGCACCTTCTTTTTTCTCAATGGGAACAGGGTTAGGTAGAAGGCATGGTGAGATCGTGAAGGAGGAGCCACGTCCCGCTCCTATTCTATCTCATATATGTTTACATGGGTCATGCGTATGTGACCGGTCACTACCAGATTGTATGAAAGAACTCTAATGGGCTTAAAGGAAATTTAAACACTTAAATATCTTATCAGGATAATAGAAGCTAGCTCAAATGCCTTTTAGTTCATGTGACTTTGGTAATCTTTGGTAAGTAAAACTAGTTTCAAAATTCTCTTTATAAAATCTAAAAGTCATGCTAAATTAAGACTAGGATTTTCTAGAAATAAGGGGTTACTAAGTTACAGTAATAGTTTATATATGTAATTAAAACTGCTAGATATAGGCAAAACTATTCTACATACAGAGTGTATGAAAAGTAAGATGTGGGTTTTTCTTTTTTCCTTTTCTTTTTTTTTTTTGAGACTGAGTCTCGTTCTCTCCCCCAGGCTGGAGTGCAATGGCACGATCTTGGCTCACTGCAACCTCTGTCTCCCGGGTTCAAGTGATTCTCCTGCCTCAGCCTCCTGAGTAGCTGGGATTACAGTCGCCCGCCACCACACCCGGCTAATTTTTATATTTTAGTAGAGATGGGTTTCACCACGTTGGCCAGGCTGGTCTCAAACTCTTGACCTTGAGTTATGTGCCCGTCTCGCCTCCCAAAGTGCTGGGATTGTAGGCGTGAGCCACTGCGCCCGGCCATAATGTAAGATGTGTTTTTAGCAAAGGTTATAAAAATCATAAAGATATGGTTTCTGCTTAAAGGAAAAGTACTCTTGTCTAGTTTGGAAGCTATTTACAGGTTGTTTTGGAATCAAGGAAAGATGACATGGATGAGAGTAAATGGATAGAAAGAGGAAGAATAAAGGGCTGGGCAACAAGAAGCCCTTGATTCCTTAGCGGCCACACGTCATCCCTGGTCTGGAGCTGCAGCTGTGCCATCCTCAGCTGCTAAAGGGGAAAGCTACTGGTAGAATTAGAGATGGCACAAACCCTTGGGGAGTTGGTTCAGTGGATGCATAAGAAGATGCAGACTAATAAGCAAAAAGCAAAACATTCAATCCCTTGGTTACTGCTATCTGCAGTAGCTAAAATGAAAGTGTAAGAGAGTGCTGGGTTGGGCCTGGACCATGCTCAGTTGTGGGTCTGTCTGAGCTCAGGCCATTAGCCTCAAAACTACCCACAAAGGGGAAATGATGCCAGGGATGAAAGAAAGCACCCTGAGACCTGTGGTTACCAAGATGGTAGTAAGGGCAAAATCAAGTAGCACTGAAGCCAGAGGACGTGATGTGGGGCAATTGCTTCGTTTTGTAGATTCGCTTCCTGAGGAACTTCTACCAAAATAAATTATGAGAATGACTAATTTGGGAACAGTGTTTTTGGTTTTAAATGTGTAACTGAGCAGCTTGGCTTCAAACCATGTTTTAAAACTTTGTTTTTTCTCCTTTCTTCCCAATCTCAAGATATAACTTTGAGTCAAGCTGCATACGGGTTTCCTTTCATCTTGAAACATAGCCTGGGAATGTGCTGTGGCCTCCCCTCCCCTTCTTTTTCTATTCCATGCTGTCACACCTTACACACACTTATTTACCTGGATGCTTGTTAAGCTCACACCATGCTCACTTCTCTGGTGATGTATTTCCTTAGAAGTTTCAGGGGCCGGATCCTGCTATGGACCAGACACTTCCAGCCACGATGGCCCTGGCCCCTTCACCAGATGGAACAATAATTCGAGATGAGCCATGGGACTGGTTCCTGCCACCCGACACCTCCTCATCACCTGCCTCTTCTGCATTCCAAACCCTCTCTTTAAAATCCCCTGCGTTCCCTCCACAAATGGAAGAGTGGAATTGCTTTGTGCTCATCCCTTTGCTGGTACGGATAATAAAGTCTCACTCTCTTTCTATCACACCTCATTATTATTTTGGCTTCTTTCTACAAGTGGTGAGCAGCCTCACCCTTCTGCTGGTCACAAGTGCAGCAGAATGGAAGAGCACGTGTGGGCTGATGTGAGACCCACAGCTCACTGCTGAACAATGGCAGATGAGTGTGTGTGATCCAGACGCACAGATTATTCCTGAGGGAACGGCCAGCCTGGTGGGCTGGATAAAAGGCACTGTAAGAGAAGGGGACCACCCAACTTTCCCCATAAACGCCAAGTGGAGCACCCCCGATGAAGCAGCTGATGTGCTTCGTAAGCAAGCCATGTGGGACTGACTTTATGATGACCGGGATATTCACGGCTGAGTATGCCCAGATCATGGTAAATGCTGTGGTTAAGGGGGCCCATTGGCCTGGGCACCTCATTGGGTCTCAACTTCCCCTCATGGGTCATCCAGATGCTTATAAAAACTTTAGGCTAATTAATAAAATTATTGGGAAAGGCAAAAGGGAGTCCAAGGACTCATCCTAGGAAGGGGAAAATTTTTAAACGATTAGTTTTAAATAGGTAAAAAATGGGCCAGGCCTGGTGGCTCACGCCTGTAATCTCAGCACTTTGAGGGGCAGAGGTGGGCAGACCACCTGAGATCAGGAGTTCGAGACTGGCCTGGCCAACATGGCGAAACCTCATCTCTACTAAAAATACAAAAATTAGCCAGGTGTGGTGGCGCGCACCTGTAATCCCAGCTACTCAGGAGACTGAGGGAGGAGAATTGCAGTGAGTCAAGACTGCCACTGCACTCCAGCCTGGGTGGCAGAGTAAGACTCCATCTCAAAAAAAAGGTAAAAAGTGGATGGGGTGAAACCAAGAGGAAAAAGGAAAGGAGAGAGTCATGGGGTGCATCCTAGCGGGGTGGAATCTGTACATGGTTGTTAAGCAATGGAATGAATAATGGGGGGTTATTCACAAAGGTCTTAATACAACACTATCGAAAGTTGGGTGAACAAAGGGAGCCCCCGCTGGTCCCTCAACAGTAAAGAGCTCCAAAACAGTTTTTGCCAGATTGGAGAAGGCACTCTAACTATAAAAATTGGAAGGCAAAAGTTACACTGAGCAAACTGACCAACAATTGCGGGGGCCAATGTTGAGGTGGGTTAATCAAGATAAGATTGACAGAAGGGCCAGGGTCCCTTGGATCAAGCCCCTGTGGGGCACCCACATCCTTTTTCACAAGAGAGGGTAAAATGGTCTGGAGGTGGGAAAAAGAAGTTCCTGGGAGCAGAACAGAAAGACGTCGAGTTATGAAAGTCGACTTGTGTGATAGAGTTATGAAAGCCGAGATGTTTAAACAGGCTTTATGTAAGGCATTACATATCCTTTACCTAAATGCTTTATGAAAATGGATATTGAAGCTGGTACAGTGGTTCACACCTGTAATCCTAGCACTTTGGGAGGCCGAGGTGGGCGGATCACTTGGGGTTAGGAGTTCAAGACCACCCTGACCAACATGATGAAACCCCATCTATACTAAAAATACAAAAATTAGCCGGGCATGGTGGCATGCACCTGTAGTCCCAGCTATTGGGGAGGCTGAGGCAGGAGAATTGCTTGAACCCAAGAGGCAGAGGCTGCAGTGAGCCGAGATTGTGCCATTGCACTCCAGCCTGGGCAATAGAGACTCAGGAAAAAAAAAAAAAAGGAAAATGGAAAATGGATATTGTACGTGGACTGGGGAAACCCCTACCTACTACTGCAAAAGTAAAGGCATGAAAAAATCAACGAAAAGAGTCAAACTGTAAAATATTGGAAGAGATTTATTCTGAGCCAAATATGAGAGACTGTGGCCCATGACACGGCCTCAGGAGACCGTGAGAACAAGTGCCCAAGGTGTTTGGGCCACAACTTGGTTTTATAAATTTTAGGGAGCCATGAGACACCAATCAATACAGGGAAGACATACATTTGTTCGATCAGGAAAGGTGGGACAACTTGAAACAGGGACTTCCAGGTCATAGGTAGATTCAAAGATTTACTGATTGGCAATTGGTTGAAGGAGTTACTATCTAAAGACCTGGAATCAAAAGAAGGAATGTCTGGGTTAATGAGGGATTGTGGTGACCAAGTTCCTATTACACAGAGAAAGCCTCCAGGTAGCTTCAGAGAGAACAGATTGTAAATGTTTCTTACCAGAGTTGATTCTCTCTTGAATCAGGGAAAAGTCCTGAAAAAGGAAAAGGATTCTCTTCAGAATGCAGCTTTTCCCCACAAGAGAAAGCTTTGCAAGGCTATTTCAAGACATGGCAAAGAAACACAATTTGCGGTAAAATACTTCAATTTCATTCAGTGAATCCTTCGCTTGGCTTCCTACCCTTGAGGCTTTTAATAAGTTGAGTCCAAAATTCCCTAAAAAAGTTCCAGCAAAGCCAACTTAAAAAGAGCCGACCAGCTTAGGCAACATGCTGAGACCCTGTCTCTACAAAACATAAAAAATGAGCTGGGTGTGGTGGGGTGTGCCAAGGGTCCCAGCTACTCGGGAGGCTGAGGCAGGAGGAGTGTTTGAGCCTGAGAGGCTGAGGCTGCAGTGAGCTCTGATTGCACCATTGTACTCCAGCATGGCTGACAGAGCAAGCCCCTGTCACAGGGAAAAAAAAAAAAAAAAAAAGCCTCTAGGGCTGGTAACTATTCTTGCCACGCTTCATGCAAATAGGCCAAGTATAATGAGACCGAAATTTATTTTGCAAATAAACTGGTCCTACTATGATTTATCCTTGGTAGAAATGGGGAAACTAGAGAGAGAAAAATTTAGATCCTAGCTCTGACCGTTGTTTTTGAGTTATTATTTGCTTACAATTTGGGCTAATCCTGAATCATTCACTGGCTACAAGTCTCTAAAGAAAAACCGGGTTTTAGTTTCCTTCACGATGCTTTTAGTCGGCTTCTTAATGAAATAGGTTCTTTTTTGTTACTGTTCTGAAATACAAATTCCCTTTTGATTGTCATCCTTGTGTGCAAATTATTAATGTTATGTATCTCTTGTTGTTTTATTTTCTCTGAGAAAACAGAAGTCGTGGTATCCTGAAGACTAGAGATGATTCAACAGCCGGTGACCCTCCCTCACTGGGACTCTCACCGGGCCCGACCTGTTTTCCGACGCCAAGGCACCGCTGCTGAAGCCAGACAACCCCAAGCACCCTCCCTAAGGCTCAGGGACCATCGCGGAAGAGGAGGGCAGGTGAGACGGTCAGAGCTGGATTAGTGGGGCGGCGCGGGCGGATCATGGAGGCCGAAGCCGCTCCATCTTGGACGCTAGTTTGTCGTGTTGGCTTCTGATTAACCTCAGTTCCGGGAATGCCTCTGAGAGTTCCCGTTCATCTGTTGTTCCTTGTGTAAGAGCACATCCTTATCACAAGTCCTGGCCTTAGGGAAATTCCTGCCCACCCCCTCTGAGGCATGTCCCCTGCACTATGGCAATAGAAGCCCTGGGCCTGGGTGGTGACGGCGCAGGGAGCCGCCATCTTGACTCACCGTAGCCTGAGACTGACATGGCTTCTGTTTCTAAGTCCCTATTAAATGTTTCTTTTTAAGAACTGAATTTGTGGGCCAGGCGCGGTGGCTCACGCCTGTAATCTCAGCACTTTGGGAGACCGAGGTGGGCATTTCACGAGGTCAGGAGATCGAGACCATCCTGGCTAACCCGGTGAAACCCCGTCTCTACTAAAAATACAAAAAATTAGCCGGGCGTGGTGGCGGGCGCCTGTAGTTCCAGCTACTCGGGAGGCTGAGGCAGGAGAATGGCGTGAACCCGGGAAGCGGAGCTTGCAGTGAGCCGAGATGGCGCCACTGCACTCCAGCCTGGGCGACAGAGCAAGACTCTGCCTCAAAAGAAAAAAAAAAAAAAAGATGTGAATTTGTCAGCCTCTTTCTTTGGCCTGTCAGCTTCCTTGGACTTTGAGGTAGATGTGTTTGGACTTGTTCACTGTGAGACAGTGGCTGAATAGTGTTCTTCTGTATACACTTAAACATTCTGTTTATCCGTCATTTGTTGAGGGATATTTGGGTTGCTTCTACCATTTGGTACTTGTGAATATTGCTGCATATATTAGGCTGTTCTTTTGTTGCTGTAAAGAAATACCTGAGACTGGTATTTGTGTTTGTCTCGCAGTTCTGCAGGCTGGACAGTAAGCATGGCACTGGCATTGGCTTGCGGAGGCTTCTCAGGAGGCCTCGGAGAGCTTTTATTGATGGTGGAAGTGAGAGATGGCGCGTCCCATGATGGGAGCAGGAGGAACATAGTGGGGGGAGACGCCGCACACTTTTAAACAGCCACATCTCCCGGGAGCTCACTGTGAGAAAGCACTCATTAGCAAGGGGTGGCAGCAAGGCATCCGTGAAGGGTCCACCCCCATGATCCAGTCACTTCCCACCCCCTCCAACACTGGGGATCATTTCCACATGATATTTAGAGGAAAAAACATCCAAACCATATCAGCTGCTATGAACATTCATGGACAAGTTTTTGTTTGAATGCCTGTTTTCAGTCCCGTTGGGTATATACCTAGGAGTGCCCTTGCTGTGTTGCACAGGACTTGCACGTTTACTTTTATAAGAAACTGTTTCCAGTGGCTGCGGCATTTTATATTCCCACCAGCAGGGTCTGAGAGTTCCAATCTCCTCATCTTCTCACCAGCACTTGTTATTTTCTGTAGTTTTGACGATGACCATCCTAGTGGGTGTGAAGAGGTATCTATCTCATTGTGGTTTTGGTTTTCATTTTCCTCATGACTAGGACTTACAGCATTTGATACATGACACGTGCAGATGCACCTGATACGTGACACGCGTGGATGGACCTGACACGTGCAGATGCACCTGATATGTGACACGTGCAGATAGATGCACCTGATACATGACACGTGTGGATGCATCTGATATGTGACACGCGTGGATGCACCTCGGAAGCCTGGCACCAAAGGCCGCATGCTGTATGGTTCCATTCATATGAAATGTCCAGAACAGACAAGTCCAAGAGACAGAAAGTGGTTGCTTAGGGGCTGGGGGAGGAAAAAATGGGGAGTGACTGCTTAGTGGGGCATGGGGTTTCCATCTGGAGTGATGAGAAGGTTCTGGAACAAGATGGTGGTCATGGTCACACATTATAAGTGTACTTAATGCCACTGAATTGTACACTTTAAAATGATAAAAATGGTAAATTTTTAAAAATAATTTTACTTTAAGTTCAGGGATACAAGTGCAGAATGTGCAGGTTTGCTACATAGGTACACACATGCCATGGTGGTTTGCTGTTGGTTACATAGGAACGCGTGTGCCATGGCGGTTTGCTGGTTTGTTACATAGGTACATGTGTGCCGGGTGGTTTGCTGGTTTGTTACGTAGGTATACATGTGCCATGGTGGTTTGCTGGTTGGTTACATAGGTATACGTGTGCCATGGTGGTTTGCTGGTTGGTTACATAGGTATACGTGTGCCGGGTGGTTTGCTGGTTTGTTACGTAGGTATACATGTGCCATGGTGGTTTGCTGGTTGGTTACATAGGTACATGTGTGCCGGGTGGTTTGCTGGTTTGTTACGTAGGTATACATATGCCATGGTGGTTTGCTGGTTGGTTACATAGGTATGCGTGTGCCATGGTGGTTTGCTGGTTGGTTACATAGGTACACGTGTGCCATGGTGGTTTGCTGGTTGGTTACATAGGTATATGTGTGCCATGGTGGTTTACTGGTTGGTTACATAGGTACATGCGTGCCATGGTAGTTTACTGGTTTGTTACATAGGTACACATGTGCCATGGTCGTTTGCTGGTTGGTTACATAGGTACATGCGTGCCATGGTGGTTTGCTGGTTGGTTACCTAGGTACATGCGTGCCGTGGTGGTTTGCTGGTTTGTTACATAGGTACGCGTGTGCCATGGTGGTTTGCTGGTTGGTTACATAGGTACGCGTGTGCCATGGTGGTTCGCTGGTTGGTTACTTAGGTACGTGTGTGCCATGGTGGTTCGCTGGTTGGTTACATAGGTACATGTGTGCCATGGTGGTTCGCTGGTTGGTTACATAGGTATACATGTGCCATGGTGGTTTGCTGCACCTATTGACCCATCCTCTAAGTTCCCTCCTGTTGCTCCCCACCCCCCAACAGGCCCTGGTGTGGGTTGTTCCCCTCCCTGTGTCCTTGTGTTCTCACTGTTCAACTCCCACTTATGAGAGAGATTTGGCGTTTGGTTTTCTGTGTTATGTGCATTTTACCACAAAAAAAAAATGACAAAGGAAAAAACGTTTTTTGTGTGTCAGTACCTTTGTACTTTGACAAATAAAAAGTGCGGCCGGGCACAGTGGCTCATGCCTATAATCCCAGCACTTCTGTAGATCGAGGCAGGTGGATCACCTGAGGTCAAGAGTTCCAGACCAGCCTGGCCAACATGGGGAAATCCTGTCTCTACTGAAAATACAAAAGTTAGTCAGGCATGGTGGCATGCACCTGTAGTCCCAGCTACTCAGGAGGCTGAGGCAGGAGAATCACTTGAACCTGGGAGGCAGATGTTGCAGTGAGCCGAGATCATGCCACTGCACTCCAGCCTGGGCAACAGAGCGAGACTCTGTCTCCAAAAAAAAAAAAAAAAAAAAAAAAAAAAAAAAGTGCAACAGAAGAATATTCCAGAACTGCAAAAACGTTGCTTCCCTTGGCTTCCTGAATTCAGTGGGAGACAGTCTAACCTGATTTGTATAAGCAATGATTAAAACAAAATCCTGGCCTGGCCAGGCATGGTGGCTCATGTCTATAATCCCAGCACTTTGGAAGGCCATGGCAGGCAGATCACCTGAGGTCAGGAGTTGGAGACCAGCCTGGCCAACGTGGTGAAGCACATCTGTACAAAAAATACAAAAATTAGCCAGGTATCATGGCAGGCACCTGTAGTCCCAGCTATTTCATAGGCTGAGGCAGGAGAAATGCTTGAACCCAGGAGGCAGAGATTGTAGTGAGCCGAGATTGAGCCACTGCACTCCAGCCTGGGCGACAGAGCAAGACTCCATCTCAAAAAAAAAAAAAAAAAAAAAAATCCTGGATCCTGGCCTGGGCAGCTTATGTCACAAGTGAAAGACTCAAATGAGAACCCACCGTCCACCCCTGATTCCCGTATTTTAGCCAGAGCGCCCTAAGTCAAGCATAGGCAGGGTTCCACTGAAGGAGAACACTGTTGCATGCACGGATTCAGGGTGTAAATCTTCCTAGCCGTCTTCTTGCCAGGATGACTGTGTGTTGGAGGAGGAGAAATGACCATATTTTTCAGGATTTTCAGGATGACTGGACACCGATAATTCCTGGAGACTTAATATGACACTGTTCCTTCATTCCGGGGAGTGGGGGTGAGGGTAAGCCGGTCAGATGGCAAAGAATGTTTGAGATCAGCTCCAGCTTATAGTGGAACTATTAATAGCAAGCCCAGGAACCACCATGTGGCAAATATTCCATTTCAGAATCCATGCTTAGAACAGAAATGTTTGCCAGAAGCTTGGAAAATAAGGCACACAAAATCCAGGCGTCTTCCATCTCGGTGGGATCTCCGGGGTCCAGCGCCTGGGAGCATCTCCCGATTTCCCCCCAAGGGAAAGAGAATTGCTGTCCTGGTACCTCCCATCACTAAGAGAGGGGCACAGTGCCAGGCAGGGCGTTCTGGATTTTGGAGGCAGAATAGTCTTCAGCAGATAACTGTTCTCCTTTCAAGAAAAAAAAAGTCTGGCTTTCGACTGGGCTCAAGTGAAGGTTCACTACTTCCTAGAGGTGAAACTAGTAAGCCAGTGAACACTATGAATGTTCCATTTCAGAACACATGCTTAGAACAGACAACCTATACCATAAAGTACAGGTTGTCAAGGGACCTGGGCCTCCTGCCATGAGTGAGTGTCACCCAGCACTCATGCCCCAGATGTACATGGCTGCGCCCTGCTAGCCAGGAGGGGTGAGGCATGTGGCTCAGGCTTGTGCACGGCTGACACAGCTGCGCCCTGCTAGCCAGTAGGGGTGAGGCATGTGGCTCAGGCTCACGCACGGCTGACATGGTTGCACCCCACTAGCCAGGAGGGGTGAGGTATGTGGCTCAGACTCACACACGGCTGATACGGCTGACCCCTGTTGCACTCCTTGGTCTCTGTCCCCACACTGATGTCCTCACAGGTTGTTCCCTCTGACCAGCCCTATAGAGAAGAAAATATTTCGGCCTCATTTCTGGATGTTTTTTAATGAAATACTGGCATTACCCAAAAGTACATGGCCACACCCTTCCCCCTTTGAAGGGTGGCCCTAAATGATGCAGAGGGTGAAACTGTCTTTGCAAAAATGATAACAGTGAGAAAATTATGATGGTGAAAGAGATCTGACCTGACCAATCTCATCTTGCCTTTAACTCCAAACTGCCCTTGGTTATTCCTGGGCTTGGACCAAGCTAACTTTGGGAAAAATTTAGTTTATAGTTGAAATTATTAGGTTGGTGGGTTGGTGAAAATGTCATTGTGCTTTTTGCCATTAAAAGTAATGCAATTACTTTTGCACTAACCTTTTCCCCAGACTAAATCACCTTTGAAAAACGAATGAAAGACTGCCAGGTTAGGAGGATGAGAGGGACCTGAATTCTGCTAAGATGTGGGCATAGTTATACGATTACCAGCCATTGCTCTGGAGGCCACAAGATTTGCAACTTCCCCAATTCCTCCTGCAGATAACTTCACTATTGTAGAACCTAAGGTGGCCTTTCGAGATGTCTTTTCAGGCTTTTGCATTTCTGACAACCGGATGGCCCCACCGGGACCGTCAACTCTTGGCTCAACTGGTCCTGTGGTCCTCACCCAGAGGCAGACTATCATTGCATCCCCAACCAATCAGCAGCACCCATTCCCCTAGTCCCCCTGCCCACCAAACTATCCTGGAAATATATGGAGAAAACCTTGAAAAACCCTAGCTATCAAACTGTCCTTGATCAGGTGATTACGAGGGGAGAGGGGAAAGTCCACCTTATGAGCAGAACCTGTGGGACTCACCTGGTATGGTTTTGCCTGGAAGGAGAAAGGGACAGAGCTGTAGCTCTATGTTGATTCAGCACCCAAAGGGGCTGGCCTGGACAACCAGGGTCTGGGAGGGAACCCTGTGGGCTGGAAGGTCTCAGGGAATAGCTAGTGGGTAGACGTCTCTAAATGAGCCCAAATGTGGAGATATTTGTGTCCTAGCTACATGCTTAGTAAGTGCAGCCCCAGCAGAGGTCTCTCCCGCCAGTCAAGTGCACAAGGTACCCCCAGAGTGGCCTATCCTAGTCTCTGATGGTGCAGGCGGCCTCGACAGCGGAGTGGGGGATGTGTGGCTCCACATCGTGGAGCCTGTGCTGACACGGCTGCTGCACTGTGAGGTCTAGCTCTTCCCTGGCGTCTGCTGCAGCAGAGCCCAAGGGGCTCCTTGGGGCCAGACCCAAGTCTGGTTGCCCAGAACAGGAACCTGGAACTCCGCTGCACACACACACCTCTCTGGGCTGGCAAGTCTCCCTAACCAGGGGAATAACACCTTCACCACCTTGGGTCCAGCCCCAGGCCATTGAGATCCTGGACTAGCTGGGTGGTCTTTGGGTTCCAGAGTTCCTTGATGGACATGAGGGAGCTTCAAGTGTTCATAGCAGGACCTCAAGAGGGCAGAGCTGACACCACTAAGAGAAATGCCTTTCACCCCTTTGGGACCTCTCTGCCTCACGCCTCCAGCATGTGCTTGGTCCACAGGCAAACCACTCTCCAGACTGAGCCCCAGCTCACCCCGGCAGACACTTTCTGCTGACGAGTGGGATTGTAAATGGTCAGAGAGACCCCAATTCGGAGTCATCACCTCCTCACACAGTGGACTGTAGGATTAACGTGTGTCAGCAAAAGAGGGTGACAGGACAGGACCCACAGGCACCCCAGGGGGCCCCTCAGGCAGTGGAGGTGCTCGTCAGGCCCCGTCTGCCTTGAGGAGCTCACGGTCCCACGGAGACAGAGAAACAAAACGTTAGCGCCTGTCTACATGAGCACTTGCTTCCATAAACTTGCTGTGCCTCTGGGGAGGTTCTGACGCAGCCTGAGCCCTGCCTGGTCCTGGTCTGCCTGGCGCTGGGGGTCCTGGGTGAGCACCTAGAGCATTGCAGTCATTGTGGGTCCTAAGCCTGTCGCCACCAAGTCCAGGGGCTCAAGAGGGGCCTGCGTCGTCTGCTCAGCACCTTGGACAGGGGCACGGGATGTTGTTCCCGCCATCGCCACCGACTCCCGGCACAAGCCTGGTGGTGCCTGGGACCAAAGGGATGAGCAGAGCAGAAGCCAGCTCAGGTGGCTCTGACTCCAAAGCACGGGGCCCAGAGCCCTAGGACTTCTTTCTCCGTGAGGAGCTCAGAGCACAGCATCAGGCCTCTTGCATTGTTGTTCTCTGACCTGGGATGTTGGGAAGTCAAGTTATCATCACACTCTTCTCTGCATATTTCTCAGACTTGTTTTTGTTTTTAGCAGCTTTATTGAGATATAATTGACATACAATAAACTGTAAAGTTTAGAGTGTACAGCCTGATAATTGTTGACACTTGCATGGTGAACCAGCACACTGATGGAGGTAAGGAATGGATCCACCACTCTCAAAACCTCCTCCTGCCCCTCTGTAATTCCTCCTCCCTTCCCTCCCTACCCCACAAGGCAATCACTGACTCACTTTCTTTAACCGTAGACTAGTTTGCATTTTCGGGAATTTTATCCAACTGGAATCATTCAGTTAAGACACGTGTTTTTCTCTGACTTACTTATTCTGAGCTTCATCTGCATGGCCGCGTGTATCAGCAGTTAATTCCTTTCTATTGCTGGGCAGTCTTCCATTCTTGGATGGAGCACACTTTGTTTACTCATTTGCATGTTGGTGGGTGTTTCGAGTCTTTCCAGCTTCTGTCCGTTACAAGTAAGCCTGCTACGAACATTCGCATACAGGTCTTTTTAAGGATGTGGGCTTTCATTGCTTTTTGCTAAATACCCACAAGTGGAATGGCTGCACCATATGCAGGCATATATTTAACTTTTTAAGAAACTGCCAAACTATTTTCAAAGGTGGTTGTAGCATTTTCCATGTTCACCAGCAGAGCAGGAATGGTCTGGTCACTCCACCTTTTCACCAAGACTCGTATGGTTGGAAAGTAAGGAATAGTTCAGAGGATGGCAGCAATATCTCAAAAGCACACAGAACCCCACTCGATCGGGCTCCTAGGGACCAAGTCTGGGATACTTTTTAAAAATACAACTTTTAATTATGAGATCATTGTAGATCCACATGTAGTTGTGAGGAATAACACAGAGAGGTCCTGTGTGCCCTTCACCCAGTTTCCCTCAATAGTAACATCTTGTAAAGCTGAAAAGTACAACGGCACAACCAGGACATGAGCATCGATGCGGCAAGGCACAGACGTTTCTGGCACCACGTGGGTCCCTCCTGTTGTCCTTGATAGCCACACCCCCTCCGCCTCCTACCCCTATTTCCAAGACCTCCCTCACTCTTGGGGAACACTAATCTATTCTTGGGGAATACTAATCTCCACTAACTCTTGGGGAACACTCCTCTCCATTTCTATAATTGTGTCATTTCAAGCATGAAATAGAAATAGAGCCCTACAGAATGTAACCTCTTGGGGCTGGGCACAGTGGCCCATGCCTGTAATCCCAGCACTTTGGGAGGCTGAGGTGGGGAGATCACTTGAGGTCAGGAGTTCAAGACCAGCTTGGCCAACACTGTGAAACCTCATCTCTACTAAAAATAAAAAAATTAACCGGGTGTGGTGGTACACACCTGTAATCCCAGCTACTCAGAAGTCTGAGGCAGGGGAATTGTCTGAACCTGGGAGGCGGAGGTTGCAGTGAGCTGAGATCGCACCACTGCATTCTAGCCTGGGTGACAGAGCCAGACTCCATCTCAAAAAAGAAAGAATGTCACTTCTTTGGACTGGTGTTTTCCCCTCAGCATAGCTCTCTTAAGATCTGTCCATCTTTGGGGTGTGTCAAGAGCTCATTCATTTTTATTGCTCAGTAGTGTTTCACGGTACGGATGTGTTACACTTTGTTTAACCATTTGCCCACTGAGGGACACCTGGGTTGCTTCTAGTGTTGGGGTATTTGGTATCAAGCTGTGCTAAACATTCATGTTTAGGTCATATGGTTTGGCTGTGTCCCCACCCAAATCTCACCTTGAATTTCCATGTGTTGTGGGAGGGACTTGGTGGGAGGTAATTGAAGCAGGGGGCAGGTCTTTCCTGTGCTGTTCTCATGATAGTGAATAAGTCTAATGAGATCTGATGGTTTTGAAAAACGGGAGTCTCCCTGCACAAGCTCTCTCTTTGCCTGCCGCCATCCACGTAAAACGTGACTTGCTTCTCCTTGCCTTCTGCCATGGTTGTGAGGCCTCCCCAGCCACATGGAACTGTAAGTACAGTAAGCCTCTTTCTTTTGTAAATTGCCCAGTTTCGGGTATGTCTTAATCAGCTGTGTGAAAACAGACTAACACAGCAGGTTTGGGAGTGAACATAAGTCTCCATTTCTCTAGGTAAATGGCCGGGAGTGCAATTATTGGGTGGTATGGTAGTTGTATGTTTATTTATTATTATTATTATTTTTCACAATGGAGTCTTGCTCTGTCACCCAGGCTGGAGTGCAGTGGTGCGATCTCGGCTCACTGCAACCTCCACATCCCAGGTTCAAGCGATTCTCCTGCCTCAGCCTCCTGAGTAGCTGGGACTATAGAGGTGCACCACCATGCCCAGCTAATTTTTGTGTTTTTAGTAGAGATGAGGTTTCACCATGTTGGCCAGGATGGCCTCAATCTCTTGACCTCGTGATCTGCCTGACTTAGCCTCCCAAACTGCTGGAATTACAGGTGTGAGCCACAGTGCCTGGCCATATGTTTAGTTTTTTAAGAAACAGCTGAAATGCTTTCCAGGGGGTTTTTACTACTGTATGTTCACATCAATAATGTGTGACGGATCCAGTGTTCCACATCCTCACCAGTGGCATTTTTTTATTTTAGCCTTTCCAATAGGTGTGTATAATATCTTGTTGCATTTTAATTTTCATTTCTTTCACTTACAAAGTTGTTGAACATCTTTTTATGTACATATTTTGTTATCTATATATTCGTTTTTCATGAGGAAAGCCCTCCTTTGAATAAATATTCTCTTCAGTGAAGTGCCTTTTCATGTCTTTTGCCCATTTTCTAATTGGTTGATTTGTAACTGTTGAATTTTGAGAGTTCTTTATACAGTCTAGACACTAGTTCTTTGCTGGATAAATGGTTTGCAAATATTTTCTCCCAGACTGTAGCTTGTCTTTACATCCTCTTAACAGTTTTTTTTTTTTTAGTGCAAAAGTCTTAAATTTGAAGAGGTCAAGTTTATCAGTTTTTCTTTTTATGGATCATGCTTCTGGTGTCAAGTCTGAAAACCTTTTTGTCTTGTCCCAGATCTCAAAGATGTTCTCCTGTGGTTTTGTTTTCCCTAATTTTTTTTTTTCTGATTTCATGTTTGTGATCTGTTTTGAGGTCACTTTTGTGCAAGGTCTAGGTTGAGTTTTGTTGTTGTCTGTTGTTGCTTTTTGCCTACGGATTTTCCATTGCTGTGGCGCCGCACTTTGAAAGCAATGCGTCTTCCACTGAGTCGCACTTGCATCTTTGTAGGAATCCCCAGGGCGTATTTGTGTGGGTCTATTTCTGGGCAGTTCGTTGTGCCACATCAATCTGAGTATCTGTCCCTCTGCCAACCCCACACTCTCTAGGTCATTATAACTACTATATATAAGAAGTCTTGCAATCAGGTACATGGATTAGCCCCATTTTTCTCTTTTTCCAAATTAAGCCTCTTCTTTTTTTTTTTTTTTTTTTTTGCGACAGAGTCTCGCTCTATCACCCAGGCTGGAGTGCAGTGGTGCGGTCTCGGCTCACTGCAAGCCCCGCCTCCCAGGTTCACGCCATTCTCCTGCCTCAGCCTCCCGAGTAGCTGGGACTACAGGCACCCACCACCATGCCCAGCTAATTTTTTGTATTTTTAGTAGAGACAGGGTTTCACTGTGTTAGCCAGGATGGTCTCGATCTCCTGACCTCGTGATCCACCCACCTTGGACTCCTGAAGTGCTGGAATTACAGGCATTAAATTTCTTTCCTTTAAAAATTACCCAATTTTAGCTATTCTAGCTCCATCACTTTCCATCTATCCTTTGGAATAATCTTGTACTTATTCATGACATATCTTTTTGGAATTTTGTTAGACGCAATAAGAATTGTGTTAAACCCATAAATCAGTCTGGGGAGAGAATTCACCACTTCACGATGTTGAGTCTTCCACTCTATGAGCAAGGCACGCCTTTTCACTTACTTTCTTCGTCTTCTTTCTTTCATCAGAATTCTGTGTACAAAACACATATACAAAGTCCAGCACATTATTTGTTAGACTTACACCTAAGTACTTCATTTTTTGAGTGGTTAAAAATAGAAGTATATTTTTCATTGTGATGCCCATGTGTTTACTGCTACTACATAGAAATACAATTGATTTTTCAAACGTTTATCTTCTTTCTTGTGACCTTTCTGAACTCACTGATTAGTTCTAGGACGCTCTTATTTATTTCAGATTCCTTACGATTTTTTAAGTGGGCTACAAAGTCATCTGCTTATGGGACAAGGGCGTGTCTTCCTTTTTGATGTGTATGCCTTTGGTTTCCTTGTCTCTCTGTGTGCACCGGCCAGAGCTTCCAGCACTGTGTTGTGTTGAACGCGAGGGTTTCCTTGTCTTGCTGTGCACCAGCCAGAGCTTCCAGCACTGTGTTGAACGCGAGGGTTTCCTTGTCTTGCTGTGTGCACCGGCCAGAGCTTCCAGCACTGTGTTGTGTTGAACGCGAGGGTTTCTTCGTCTTGCTCTGTGCACCGGCCAGAGCTTCCAGCACTGTGTTGTGTTGAACGCGAGGGTTTCCTTGTCTCTCTGTGTGCACCGGCCAGAGCTTCCAGCACTGTGTTGTGTTGAACGCGAGGGTTTCTTTGTCTCTCTTTGTGCACCGGCCAGAGCTTCCAGCACTGTGTTGTGTTGAACGCGAGGGTTTCTTTGTCTCTCTGTGTGCACCGGCCAGAGCTTCCAGCACTGTGTTGTGTTGAACGCGAGGGTTTCCTTGTCTTGCTGTGTGCACCGGCCAGAGCTTCCAGCACTGTGTTGTGTTGAACGCTAGTGGTGAGAGCTGATGCTCTTCATTTGTTTCTGATCTTAGGGGAAAGCATCTAGTCTTTCATTAGCAAGCGTGTGAGCTGAGGGTGTTTTGTAGATGATCTTTATCAAGTTGATGAAGTTCCCCTTGATTCCTCTTCTTCTGAGAGTTGTTTTTTTTTTTTTTTTTTTTTTAAATCATGAGTGATGTTGAATTTTGCCAGGTGCTTTTTCTGCATTTTGACGTGGTCATGTGATTTTTCTTCTTTAGCCTATTTATTTTATTTTATTTTATTTTATTACTATTATACGTTAAGTTTTAGGGTGCATGTGCACCATGTGCAGGTTTGTTACATATGTATACCTGTGCCTTAGCCTACTAATAGGATGAACTACATTGATTACTTTTGGATATTGAACCAGACTTGCATCCCTGGAATAAAGCTCCACTTGGTCATGGTCTTTAATTATTTGTATATATTGCTGAACTCTATTTTCAAGTATTTTGTGAAGGATTTTTATGTGTTCATAAAGAACATTGTGTGCAGTTTTCTCTTTATATAATGTCTGTGTTAGGCTGTTCTCACATCGTTATAAATACCTGGCTGGGTGCGGTGGCTTGCACCTGTAATCTGTAATCCCAGCACTTTGGGAGGCCAAGCTGGGTGAATCACCTGAGGTCACGAGTTCGAGACCAGCCTGGCCAACATGGTGAAACCCTGTCTCTACTAAAAATACAAAAAATTAGCCGTGTGTGGTGGCAGACACCTGTAATTCCAGCTACTTGGGAGGCTGAGACAGGAGAATCGCTTAAACCCAGGAGGCAGAGGTTGCAGTGAGCCAAGATCGCACCACCACACTCCAGCCTGGGCAACAAGAGTGAAACTTCATCTCAAAAAAAAAAAAAAAAAAAAGAAGAAGAAGAAGAAGAAATACCTGGCTGGGTGCGGTGGCTCACACCTGTAATCTGTAATCCCAGCACTTTGGGGGGCCGAGGTGGGTGGATCATTTGAGGTCAGGAGTTTGAGACCAGCCTGGCCAACATGGTGAAAACCCATCTCTACTAAAAATACAAAAATTAGTTGGGCATGGTGGTGGGTGCCTGTAATGCCAGCTACTGGGGAGGCTGAGGCAGGAGAATCGCCTGAATCCAGGAGGCAGAGGTTGCAGTGAGCCGAGATCATGCCACTGCACTCCAGCCTGGGCGACAGAGCAAGCCTCTGTCTCAAAAAACAAAACAAAACAAAACAAAACCTAATATTGGGAAATTTATAAAGAAAAGAGGCTTAGAGGCCTCAGGAAGCTTGCAACCATGGCGGAAGGCAATGGGGGAGCAGGTGCGTCACAGGCCGTAGCAGGAGAAAGCTGGGGGCGAGGGGTGGGGGGAGGAGGGAGAGGGGGAAGGTGCTACACACTTTTAAATGCCCAGATCTCGTGAGAACTCTGTCATGAGAACAGCACTGGGGTGCTCATGATCCAGCCATCGGCGTCCACACTGCCACTGAGTCCTGGCTGCCTTCCTCGCTTTCCTCACCCTCCTCGTTGCTCACTGTTTGCTGGGGCACATTCCCAGTGCTGGTGCCTTTGCCGGGCTTCCCCGATGGGCGTGGAATCTGGGGCCGGTAGACAGGCAGAGGCTCCTCCCACCTCACAGCACAGAGGGGCGGCTTTGTCAGGGGACGCCCTCCTGGGCTGGAACAGAAAGCACACACCGGGGCACTGGCCACCCCTTGGCCCTGGGGGAGGGGACGGGGGCTGGACCTGCCCAGACTTACAGGCTCAAGAGGAAGCTTCTCCCTCCACTGTTAGGGGGAGGCAGCGAGTCAAGGCAGCCTCACCTGCGAGGGCAGGCCCCATGACCAGTCCAAACAGAGATGGGGGATGAGACGTGGAGATGGTCATCAAAGGACCATGCAGATGAGGGGGGCGGGCATCAGGGAGGGAGGGTGCTAACCACTGGGTGAGCTGCAGCCCCCTTGCAGGGCCTGGGCAGCGCTGCCTGCCATGGCTTCCCGGTTACCCAGGGTCTCCAAACAGCACAAGACGCTGGCACAGAGGATGCTGTCCCAGGTGAACTCCTCCCAGCCGGGACGGGCCGAGACGATGCGGTTGTTGGTGCAGCCCCTGGTGACCTCTGTCACTTGTTCTGACCCTGGGGAGAGAGAAGGCCGGGCTCACAGCCCTGAGCCTCCAGGGACAGCACAGAAGCCGGCTTTCCCGGAGGAGGTGAGGACCAGGGAGGACAGATTTCCCAGACCTCCCTGGACCTGGGGGCAGAATTCAGAGCAGCAGGTGGTCTCCCAGTGCCTGCGGGCATCCGACCCAGGCTTGGCTGGGTCCTGCTTGCGTGCACAGATGTGACAGAGATGTCTGGAGAGGCCTCTGCCACTGTGTCTGTTTATAGGGGACCCTCCTGACAAGGCACAAAGGAAAACCTGGAACGGCCCTGAAAGAGAAGGAAGGCTCATGCGGGCACAGCAGGAGGTGCCAACATCACATCCTACACTCAAGAAGAACGTTTTCCAGCTGAAGGAGGCCTGGGGATCTGCTGTCCCTATCCGCAGGAAGCACCGCACAGCTGGATAGGGAAGAAACAGGATCTTTAAAGTCCTAGTCAGTCCCAAGGGCTGAGCCACCCCTGCAGCCCACCTCCCTCCCGACCTGCCCAGGGCTCACCCAGGTGGGGGCTTTGCTGCCACTAAACCTGGACCCAGAAGGACAGAGGGGAGGGGTAGAAACCAGCACGAGCTGCATCCAGGGAAGCTGCAGTCTCCGTTTATACAAAACTTCCTTCAAAACAGGAGGAAGGAGGAGCAGATGCCGAAGGAGCGGTGAGGTGGTTGTCTGAGAAGATGACCACAGCAGATGGCAGACAGGAACAGCCCGCCCAAGAGGGCTGGAGTTCAATGCTTGTCAAAGCCCCAGCTGGCTGGCCGGGTGCAGTGGCTCATGCCTGTAATCCTGGCACTCTGGGAGGCCAAGGTGGGAGGATCCCCTGAGGCCAGGAGTTGGAGATCAGCCTGGGCAACATAGTAGACCCCCATTCTATAAATAAATAAATAAATAAATAAATAAATAAATAAGTTGGGTGTGGTGGCACGTGCCTGTTGTCCCAGCTACTTGGGAGGCTGAGGTGGGAGGATCACTTGAGTCTGAGAGGGCAAGGCTTCAGTGAGCCATGATCGTGCCACTGCACTCTATCCTGGGTGACAGAACAAGACCCTATCTCAAAGATAAATGAATAAATATAAGACCACCAGCCATCACCCCAAACCACTGGGAGAAGAGGACATGGTGCCGGGAGGGCCACGGGCGTGCCGAGGGCTGCATGCCCATCAGCACATCAGCGAGGGAGTTTTTGAGGGAAGGTGGCTTGCAGCCAAAATTCAAAATGTGCCTCTCTTATCTAGACGGGTGACAGAGGATGCAAAACCACGTACAGCAGGGTGGCGGCCTGGCCAGGTGGGGCTTTGAGGCCTTTGAAAGTAACAAGCCAGCTCTGCACCTGCTAGCCCCCAAAATACTCAGAAATTATCACAAAGAAAGAGGAGGGTGACGGTGCGGCAGCTCATGCCTGTAATCCCAGCAGTTTGGGAAGCTGAGGCAGAGGATTACTTGAGCCCAGGAGTTTGAGACCAGCCAGAGCAACATAGTGAGACCCCATGTCTACAAAATAAAAATAATAAACAAATAAATAAGAATGAAAGAAGACAGAGACACATGGCTGGCATGTCCTGGGGATGCCCACTGGTGCCTGTGTCCCGGGGATGCCCGCTGGTGCCTGCTGTAGAGTGGAGAGTTGAACTGCACTGTGGCTTATGCCCTTTGGAACCAGAGCAGGGAGAGGACTTCCTGTTACCCAGGGTCCTCCCATGGAATTGGAATGTACATCAATTCTCTATCTGGTCACCCCAAAAGAGATGGGTGTCATTGGCTCTCTGGACTCCTGGCTGCTCCCCTCCCCTCCAGGCGTATGTGGCATCCCACGGCCTGCTTTTCCTAAGGGATCCAGAGGCCCAGCATGGAGTCCCCAGCTGAGTCCACGAGGAGGATGAAGGGAGGGGAGGCTGCCCAGGCCGGAACTCAAAGTCTAGGTCCCCTAACCCTGGACCCCCAGGCCCTGCTCACAGCTGGGCAGGAGCCCGTGGAGGGAACCACGGAGCTCAGAAGCCCACCCCCACCCTCTCCAGGGACTGTCCCGGCTGGCCCTGCCCTGTGTGGACCACCGCAAGCTGGAAGAAACCCAGGCTTTCCTGGGCACTGCAGGAGACTGGCTTGTAGGCCTGCTGGCATTGGTGTGGAGGCAGTGGTAGCATGACAGGCTTCAGTTTGCAGGAGGAGGGGTGAGGGCAGAGCCATGGGCTCCGAGCACACCTGGGTCTGGGCCCAGCCACTACCATGTGAAGATGCCCAAAGACCCCAAGCTCATAGCACCTCAGGTGACACCCTCAACCCTGAGCACACATTCTCCACCCTGGGGCCGGTGTTCACAGCCGTGGGTGTGAAGCCACATAGCATCCCACTCCGCTGCAGGGTCACAGGGCAAAATGCACTCAGCACAGCAGGCCTGCGTTGTCCTCAAGGAAACATGCGCCTTACACCACAGAGACACAGCTGGCCTTTCCTTCCACCCCGTCCTGGTGTCTTCACCTTTCTCTGCATACACCAGCATGGGCCCCAGGATCAGGAGAACCCTGTCCATTACGCAGGCAGCAGGTCTACACTGGGAGCAGAGGCAGAACCTCGCCAGGGCCCCGACCCCTGCTCTCTCCCCTCAACCATTGGTCCTGCCCCTGGACGCCTCCTCTGTGCCCACTGGGATGTGTCCTCCTGGCCCCTCCAGCCCTATCCTCACAGGGGTCTGCATCCCAGGGACCCTCGCCTGAATCCCCCTCCTGCCCCTTCCCTCAGACCTGGGCTGGGCCTGACAGAGGACAGAGGTACTGGGGAGGATTCCTGGGGTTCTTACGCAGCAACCTTGGAGGCCCAAGGAGGAGGATGCAGCCATCACAGCCCGGGGTGAGATGCAGGTCCACCCCCTTCCAGACTCAGCCCCAGCCTCAGCTCTGATGCATCCCCTCTTTGTCTAACAGTCCCCAAAAGTAGGGCAAGGGGCTCCACACTGTGGGGACACCAGGGACCATGAAGACTGGGAGCAGACCCAGAAGTCTCTGAGCTCCTGAAAGGACAGTGACCAAGGCTGAGAAAATGTGGGGAGGACAGTTTGTTTTCTCAAGTTAATGTTCAGTGAAACAAACTGCTTCCTCGGCTCTCACCCTGTGAGCGTGATGGACGCCACATGCCCCCGGCACTCAGGCACTCAGGCACTCAACCCTGGAAGCTTGAACAAGGACATCCAGGGCTTTGATTTCATCTAGCATGTCCAGATCTTATCATTCTCAAAAGTTTTCTGTATCTCTTAAGACCATATTCTCTGACACAGTGAAGTCATACATTCATAACAAAAAGGATAAATACATATTTTCACAAGTAAAAATGCAAAAAGTACATTCCAAATGAACAGATTCTTTAAAAAGAGAAGATCTTAAATATTTTTTTAAAAACCTAGAACAGATGAATGAAGAAAATACCACTTCTCAAAATGGGATGCAGTGAAGGGTGGTAGCTGAGCAAAATGCATATCCTGCGTCCTTACATGAAAGAAAAATAAAGGGGAACATTCTGTTGGGGGTTCATTTTTAACTTTTCAATTTTCTTTTGTTGTTGTTGTTTTAACTTCTACTCAAGACAGCTTGGATTAACTTTTCATTTTGAAATAGTTTCAGGTTTATTAAAAAGTTGCAAAAAAAGTACAAGAATTATGCCGTCTGCTTTATATAGATTTTCCAAGTCTTAACATTTTTCATAACTATAGTACAATGATCAAAACCACAGAATCAGCACTGATACAACTTATAATCTAATCTATAGACCTCATTCACATTTCAGCCATTGTCCCCCTCACAGCCTTCTCTAGTCCAGCATCTAATCCAAGCTCACACGTTTCACTTGGTTGTCCAGCCCCTTTAGTCTGCTTTAACCTGGAACGGGTCCTCAGCATGGATTTATTTCGTGACCTGACACTTTTGAAGAGTAAAGGCCAACTGTTTTGTAGAAAGCCCCATCATTTGGGATTGTTGCTTAAGTGTGCTGTTCTATGTATTCACACTGACACCTCTTTCCCATGGCCATAATATTCTGTATTTCCTTCCTTCCTTGTGTACTTTTGATCTCTTTTCTCCCACAGTGACAATGCTGGCTTGTGACAAAACCAATTTATTTCAACAGTTTAATGATAATATATCTGCATCTGTATTTATCCTATTTGAATTCACTGGGCTTTTGAATCTATAATCTTTAGGTTTATGTCCTTTTTCAAAATTGAAACATTATCAGTCATTAGTTCTTCAGATCTCATTTCTGTACTCCACTCTTTCTCCTCTCCTTCTGGGCCACCAATTATACAGCTGTTGGACTTTTTGGTATTGTTCCTGAGGTGCTGTTCATTTTTTGTTTTGTTTTGTTTTGAGACAGAGTCTCCCTCTGTCACCCAGGCTGGAATGCAGAGGTGCGATTTTGGCTCACTGCACCCTCTACCTCCCGAGTTCAAGTGATTCTCCTGCCTCAGCCTCCTGAGTAGCTGGGATTGCAGGCACCTGCCACCATGCCCAGCTAATTCTTGTATTTTCAGTAGAGATGGGATTTTGCCATGTTGGCCAGGGTAGTCTTGAACTCCTGACCTCAGGTGATACATCTGCCTCGGCCTCCCAAAGTATTGGGATTATAGGTGTGAGCCACTGAGCCCTGCCTCATTTTTTTTTAAATCAGTGTCTTTTGTGTTGTTCAAATTGGACAACTGCCATAACAACTCTTTCCCTTTTCATTTCCATTCTCCTGTTGGCCCAGCCAGAGACTGCTTTATCCTGGTGATTATGTTTCCAGTGGTGCAATTCCCACTTGGTCATTCTTTGTACATTCCACTTTCTCCCTGAGCCTTCTTATCTTTCCATTTATCTCAAGAGTGTTTGCCATTACTTGCTAGAGAATGCTTATGATAATTACTTTAAAGATGTTGGTGATTCCAACCCTCATGTCATCTCAGCACTGGCAGCTACTGATTGCCATTTTCCTTGCTCATTGAGATTTTCCTGATTTTTTGTAGAAGTAATTTTGGATTGTGTCCTGGGCGTTTTGAATGTTGTGAGACTCTGTGTCTTATTTAAGTGGTATGGAGAATGCTGCTAGTTTTGTTTTAGCAGCAATTGATGTGGTTGGGCTTATGTTGCAAGTGCAGAGCAACCTGCAGAGGCTGTGGCTTCCACATCAGCTCAGTCTTTAAAGCCTCATGGTGTTTGGGTATGCAGGTCACTCTCACGTCTCGGTGGAGGTAGATCCCCTCACCTGGTTCTCATAGTCTATTCCATCGAGGGTCACATCCATGCATGCCCAGCTCGGGAGTGAGCCAGAGGTTTTACTGACAACACGATGGATTGCTTTCCAAAGTTCCTCATTACCTGCAGTTTCTCTGATGCTGTGTGGTCACCTGGGATTCTTCTTTGGGGCATCTAGTCAGAAGGCTGCGGCTCATTATGTCACGGTGCTCACACTTTCTCCCTCTTCGACCCCCTCTGGGGTCATGACGTGGGAAGATGTGGAGAGAAAAAGACCCGTGGCCTTTACCCCACCCTCTCGGAATCACAGCTTATCTGATTAGAGGCAAGATCCCTGCCCTCAGTGTTGTGGGTCCCTGCAGGCTCCATGGTGGCTCCTGTGGCTGCTGCTAACCCATTCACTGAGTAAGCCCTGGAGGGGTCCCCCAGAGCTCCCCACCTGTGCCCTGGTGTCTGCTCCTAGAGTGTGGGCTGCCTTGAGTCAAGGCCAGGGAATGCCAGAGGAATGAAAAGGGAAAACTTTCCACTGGTTTGGTGGCACCTCACATTTTTGTCTTATTTCTCAATCTTCCTGATAATTTTATGATCAGAGTGTCCATTTGCATGTGTCCTGGAGGCAGCTCAGATAGCTTCTCCACGTGTTTCAGGCAGGGTTTAGAGCTGCACTCAGCAGAAGAGATGGGAGAGACTACCTCCTCCACCTGACCTTGAGCTCAAACCAGCCTTGGCAGTGCTGCCCTCGACATGCTGCACGTTACCCTCTGCAGCAGGTGCCACCCCAACGTCAACATCCCTAGGGCTGTTTTCATTTGCATTTCTTCCACAAGTGAAGGGCAACATTTTTCCTTATGTTTAAGTGGTATTTTATATCATTGTTGCTAATGTTTGTGTATGTTGCTCATATTTTCTATTAAGCTTTTGGCGTTTGCCTACCTCCCCCAATTAAGAGTTCTTTATAACTCCCTGGTATGTGTTTGTTTGTGTGTGTGTGTGCCCATGTGCACCTCATACAAAATATCTATATTTTTATAGAGTCAAATTAGTCAATCTTTTCTTTTTTGCATTTCGATTGAATTAAATTTAGGAAGTCTTTCTCCACACTGAGGTTGTAAAGATATTCACAGCCGGGCATGGTGTCTCATGCCTGTAATCCCAGCACTTTGGGAGGCTGAGGTGGGCGAATCACAAGGTCAGGAGTTCGAGACCAGCCTGGCCAACATGGTGAAACACCGTCTCTACTAAAAATACAAAAAATTAGCTGGGCATGGTGGCGGGTGCCTGTAATCCCAGCTACGCGGGAGGCTGAGGCAGGAGAATCGCTTGAACCCAGGAGGCGGAGGTTGCAGTGAGCCGAGATTGCGCCACTGCACTCCAGCCTGGGTGACAGTGCAGGACTCCATCTTGAAAAAAAAAAAAGATATTCACGTATCATTTCTTTTGGTATTTCTACACTTTGGTTGTTTAACATTAATTCTTATGTCTGCTATGTGGATGCATGGGTAGAGATCCTATTTGACTTCTTCCAAGAATCCATTCATTTGTTCACACATCAATTATTTTAACAAGTTTATCTTTGATCCAGAGATTTGAGATTCTCCCCGTATTGTACACAGAGTTTCCATGCATTCTTGGGTATATTTCTGGTCTTTCTAGTCTACTTCACTTGATTATTCATTAGCATGAAGACACCACATCGTTTTAATTTTTGAGGGTTTTTTTGGTGTGTTTTAATCTCTGGTAGTACTAACCCATTAATAACTCAACTTTTTTTCAGAATTTTCCTAACCAATCTTGAATGTTTTTGTTTGCATATCTTTCAACATGTCTTGTTCAATAAAAAGAAATCATGATTTTTATAGCAATCACATTAAATGAAAACATTTCATAAATTAGGGAGGACTGATGTCTAATGGCATTGGTGCCGTTAGAGAACAAGGAACAGCTTTACAATGGCTCAAGGCTCCAGGTGCATCTCGCAGGAGTGCATTGAATTTTACTCCCTTAGATTTTGCACGTTTTGAAATCCAATTTATTTTTAAGCATTGGATTTTCTCCCCAATTGTAAATGAGGTTTTCTCTTCCATTATATCTTGTAGTTAGTTCTTGCTTCTATATAAAAAGGCTGTTGGTTTTCACTTTAATTTCATATTCTACTACCTCATTGAATGATTTTATTGAATTTTCTAGTCTTAGCATTGCTCCATTAGGGCTTTTTTCCTTTTTTTTTTTTTTTTTTTTTTTTGACGGAGTCTCACTCTGTCATACAGGCTGGAATACAGTGGCACAATCTTGGCTCACTGCAACCTCCGCCTCCTGGGTTCAAGTGATTCTCCCACTTCAGCCTCCTGAGTAGCTGGGATTATAGGCGCCTGTAGCTGGGATTATAGGTGCCCGCCACCACACCCAGCTAATTTTTTGTATTTTTATTAGAGACAGGGTTTCGCCATGTTGGCCAGGCTGGTCTTGATCTCTTGACCTCGTGATCTGCCCGCCTCAGCCTCCCAAAGTGCTGGGATTACAAGTGTGAGCCACCGTGCCCAGCCAGGGCTTTCTTTAGAAAGAGTTTTTGAGGTAGATGGGTCAGCAGCAAATAGATTGTATTTTCCTCAAATCTTTTGCCTCCAATTGCTTTCTCCTCTATTTTTCTTTGCTTTTGTCTCCACTGCAATGTTTAAAAAATGACAGTGTCTGTCCTGGTCTTAGTGCATTAGTGGAACCGCAGCCAGTACTTTCCCATACAGTGAGTTTCTGGCTTCAGGGTTCACACACACACACATGCACACACACGCATGCACACGTGTGTGCACACAATCATGTTATTGTCCAATGTGCTACTGAATTTGTCTTGCTAATATTTTATTTAAGATTATTGCACTGATATATAAAAGTGCTATATTTTCCTTTTTGGTATCATCTTTATCATGTTTGGCTATCAGTGTGATGCTTGCCTTGTAAAAGGAACTTGGAAACTTTACTTCTTGGGCCCAATTTGGCAAATTATGTTTTTACTAGAAACACTTCATTTCATCTAAATTTTCAAACTTATTCCATACAGGTATGCAAAATGTCTGTTGTGATCATTTATTTTATTTTTATTTATTTTTCTGAGACAGGGTCTCATTCTGCTGTCTGGGCTGGAGTGCAGTGGTGCGATCTCGGCTCACTGCAGCCTTCACCTCCTGGGCTCAGGCAATCCTCCCACCTCAGCCTCCCCAGTAGCTGGGACCACAGGCATGCACCACCCAACCTGGCTTCTTGTGACAGTTCGATCAATTTTACTGAAGTGTGATTTACACACAACAAAAAGCACCCATTTTAAGTGGTCAGCTCAATGAATGTTGGTAAATTTACACACCACATACCCACCACCATGCTCATCACACTTGCCTCTCCCAACAGGCGCCCGCCATGAGTGACACGGCCCCCCATCCACATCCGGCTCCAGGCAACCACTGATCCACTTCCCACCACTTGAATTCAATTTCCACTTCCTGGGATTTTGCATGAATGGGTGGCTGGAACGGTTCAGCCTCTTTAACCACTCAAGCCATTTATCTGTGTTTCCCCTTCCATCTCATTCTCAGTCTTGCCAGCAATGTCACCATTTTGCGCATCTGTTGACTTTGTGGATCTTCTCTATTTTAGTTTATTTTGGTTTCTGATTTCTTTAATAACACCTTTTGGGGGGACATTTTCCTTCAGAACTCCCTGGGTTTAATTTGTTGTTCTTCTCAAGGTTCTAGACCTGAATACAAGGTTTCTTAATTTTCAGCCCCTCTTCCTTTCTAACACAAGGCCTTAAGTCTATACGTTTTCCTCAAAGCACCACTCTCATTTAAAACAAAAGCTGGTTCTGATTTTTGTTACCACGCAGCTCAAGGAATTTTTAAGAAGCCTATTATAGTTTCTTCTTTAACAGACGAACTAACTGAAATGTTAATTAAATTTCCCATATTTGAAATGTTAAAGTTTATCTTCATCATAAACATTCAATTTAAATACACATGGTCAGAGAACATGGTGCATGGGAAGTGTGTTACCCTGGGATGTTGAACACGTCAGGTCTACACCATGGGCTGGTGCGTTACCCTGGGACGTTGAACACGTCAGGTCTACACCATGGGCTGGTGTGTTACCCTGGGACACTGAACACGTCAGGTCTACACCATGGGCTGGTGTGTTACAATGGGACATTGAACACGTCAGGTCTACACCATGGGCTGGTGCGTTACCCTGGGACGTCGAACACATCAGGTCTACACCACTGGGCTGGTGCGTTACCCTGGGACGTCGAACGTGGCAGGTCTACACCACTGGGCTGGTGCGTTACCCTGGGACATCGAACGTGGCAGGTCTACACCACTGGGCTGGTGCGTTACCCTGGGACGTCGAACGTGGCAGGTCTACACCACTGGGCTGGTGCGTTACCCTGGGACGTCGAACGTGGCAGGTCTACACCACTGGGCTGGTGCGTTACCCTGGGACGTCGAACGTGGCAGGTCTACACCACTGGGCTGGTGCGTTACCCTGGGACGTCGAACGTGGCAGGTCTACACCACTGGGCTGGTGTGTTACCCTGAGACGTTGAATGTGTCAGGTCTACACCACTGGGCTGGTGTGCTACCCTGGGACATTGAATGTGTCAGGTCTGCCCCGCTGGGGACAGCATCGCCATTTCTGGCTGTAGGGGGTCTGATAAAAGGTCTTGATTTTCCTTTGTTACTCAACTATATAGAAGGTTTTTTTCTCTATCAGTAGGGGGAGTATGGGTGATTGATTATCAATGTTGCTGCAATTGTTATTTTTTAAAATAAATTTATATATAAAAAATGATGTGTTAAAATTGAAAATCCACATGAAAAAAACAAACAAAAAACAACAACAACAAAAAAAACTAATCCAGACACAAATCTTATACCTTTCACAAAAACTAACTAAAAAGGACCATAGGCCTGAATGCAAAATGCAAAACTATAAACCTCCTAGAAGAAAATGCAGGAGAAAATTGATCTGACCCTGGGTTTGGTGATGAGTTTTTAGATACAAAACTGAAAACATAATCCCTAAAATTAAAAAAAAATTGATTAAAAAAATCGACAGATTGGGCTTGGTGGCTCAACCTGTTTCTTTTGGGCTCAAAGGATCTGCCAGCCTCAGGCTCCCAAAGTGTAATCCCAGCACTTTGGGAGCCTGAGGCAGGCAGATTCCTTGAGTCCAAGGGTTTGAGATGAGCCTGGGCAACATAGGAAGACCCTGTCTGTATTTAAAAACAAACAAACAAACAAACTCAAGAAGAACATAAAAAATGAAGAAAGCATCTGACCAGACACCTCACCAAAGATCCGCTGCTGGCAAGTAAGCAGACAGAACGAGGCTCTGGGAACAGGGAATTGCAAATGAACACACCTACGAGACACCAGCACCACTTTTTAAGTGACTGAAATCCAGAACACTGACAATATCAGTTTCTGGCTGGGATGCAGAGCGACGGGCACTCCCCGTCATTGCCGGTGAGGGTGCAAAATGGTGCGGCTGCCGTGGAAGACAGGTGTGAAGTTTCTTACACAGCTACACAGAGGCTTCTTGGCAGCTCCGGCAATTGTGTTCCGTGGCATTTAAACAGAGGGGTTGAAGGCTGATGTCCACATAAGAACCTGAACGTGGACGTTTACCGTAGCTTCATTCATAATTGCCAATGCTTGGAAGCAACAAGATGTCTTTTGATAGGTGAGTGGTTAAACAAATAGTGCTGCATGAAGATGGTGGAATATTGTTCAGGGATAAAAAGAGATAAGGTAACAAGCCATGAGAAGACATGAGATGGAGTCTCACTGTGTCACCCAGGCTAGAGTGAGGTGGCGTGATCTTGGCCCACTGCAACTTCCGCCTCCCAGGTTCAAGCGATTCTCCTGCCTCAGCCTCCCAAGTAGCTAGCTGGGATTACAGGTGCCCGACAGGCTGCAGGGACAGTCCTTATCCTCAACCTCCCAGCTGGAAGGTTTTTTGCAGATCTGGCTGCTCCAGTGGTCACCGGTACCCACCCTCAGAGCCCTTTGTTGAGGGCTGGGCAGGGCGGGTGGACGGGGAGGAGAAGGAAGGAATGAGCACCATGGGGGCATGAGAGTTTATTGTCTCCAAGAGGGTGAAGGTCGTGGTCCCAATGCACAGGTGGGGGCACCCACAGTGTTATCCTTCCTGGGTTTCCCTTGGGCAGAGGGGGCTGGAAATGGGAAGGCAGAGTGGGAGCCCCAGCTGTGGCCGCACCCAGGTTCTTCTGCCCCTCGAAGGGTCCTGGACAGCATTCAGGGCAAGGGGCCTCATGCAAGGGGCCATCGCCCACCAGAGACACTGTCTTTCCCACCACCAACACCAGAGGCACCGTCCTTCCCCATCACCCAACACCGGAGGCACCATCCTTCCCCATTGCCCATCAGAGGCACCATCCTTCCCATCACCCACACTGGAGGCACCATTCTTCCCGTCACCCACACCGGAGGTACCGTCCTTCCCATCACCCACACCGGAGGCACCGTCCTTCTCATCACCCACACCAGAGGCACCGTCCTTCCCATCACCCACACCAGAGGCACCGTCCATCCCATCACCCACACCAGAGGCACCGTCCTTCCCATCACCCACACCAGAGGCACCGTCCTTCCCATCACCCACATCAGAGGCACCGTCCTTCCCATCACCCACATCAGAGGCACTGTCCTTCCCCAGGAGGAGCAGTTGCTGAATCCTTGGGGTTCTCCAGCAAAGGGGCCCCCGGTGGGGAGGAGTGAGGTGGCTAGATCCGGGATGGAGGCAATGGCACCCTCCCCACCACCTCAGAGAGGGAGGGTCCCCCCCCAGTGTCCTGGAAGGGGCGGAGGCAGGATGGCAGTTGGAGGCAGGAGACGGGATGGGCCAGCAGGGCCAGGAGGGGGCGTAAAGGGAGGGCCCTCACAACAGGGCCCTGAGGAGGCTGAGGCCCACCTGGAGCAGGAGCCCCCCTCGCAGGGCCCAGCGCCCCTCCTGTGGGGTCAGTGCCCTGTTGCAGAGAGCCCAGGAACAGCAGCGCCTGGTGATCACGCCTTGCACCATGGGGGCCGGCGACCATTCGAACTTCATGTTGTCGTTGGGACATCTGGGAGCACAGCGTTTGCTGAGCAGGACGCGTACACTCCATTCTGCAGAAAAGAGGAGAGGCAGGTGGCCCCAGAGCCCCAGCAAGGAGGTATCCACAGTTATGCGGAAAGTGCAAGGATGCTTTCCAAAGGAGCAGCCGGGACCAGAAAGAGCTAGAGCACGTAACCTGGCCCTGCGAGGACAGCCAAGAGACCACCTTCTCCTGTCCTTTACTGGGTGAGGCGCTGCAGAGCTGGGGATCCTGGCTGCCCAGGCCACCTCCGCCCGCGGCACAGCAAATACAGACTCCAGGGCAACTGGCTGTAAGGGGCCTTCTCCCGAAGCCATGCACAGCCTGGACCACCCCTGCCGGCCCCGGGGCATGTGCGTCGTCGGGAGATGGGGTGACTCAGAGCAGTGGAAAGGGGCTGCCCATCACGGAGAACCTGCTGGGCTGGGTGCCCAGCCCTGGGCTCGTTTCTCTGTACTGCTCACTTAAAGACATGGCAGAGACTTTCTGACGGACGTGTCTGTCAACAACCATGGAACCCCTGAAGAGATGCACAGCATCAAAACCCAAACTGTTGAGAAAAGAGCTTGGGTGGAATCAATCGCCCTTATGTGTCATAGAGTGTTACGGTGTGTTGTGTTGCATTCTATTTTATTATATTATGTTGTATTATGTAGCATTATATTACATCGTATTATATTAAGTTGCAATATACACGTTATATTCATTATGTTGTGTTATACTATATGACATTGTCATACACTGTATCGATTCCAGTGCAGCCTGCCTGATGCTGGGTTGTATGGCAGGTGTACTGTGCTGTGCCAGGAAGGGCAGATAACCCATCGCCTCGAACAGCTGCCCATCCCCACCCGTGTGTTCCTGCTGTCTTTGTAAATTCAGTGACATCAGAGCCTTTGTCCTGCTGACAGTTCCTAGTGACACTTCAAATGGAGGAGAAAAAAGTCAAAATTCACACTCTGGGATGCTCGCCCGAGCCCAGCGCGGGAGAGACAGCAGGAGGCACTTTCGGACCCACAGGGCCCCAGGCCCTGGAGCGCCGAGGACTCATAGCTAAGTCGCTGAGAGGCGGGGGCACCGGCCCTTCCCCGGCACCTGGCACCTGCCCTCTGCCCGGGGGGGACTCACTAAAAGAGACGACCACCTCGTTGGAGATGCAGACTTGGTCCAGCGGGCTGCACCAGGTGGGCGGGCACTCCGTCCAGCTGCTGACCTTGAAGCACTGGTAGCAGCTCAGGTTGCGAGCTGTGGGCAGCAAGCGGGGCGCTGTGGACCAGCGTCCGCAGCTCCAGCCCCGACGCCCCCAGCCCAGCCCGGGCCGCGCCTTACCTGGCGTCGTGGCGCAGCCAGCAGACGCCACAGCCAGCGGGAGGGTGCACAGGGTTAGGACGAGCCTCTCCATGACGCCAGAAGGCTCAGCCTGAGTGGGGTGAGGTGGGTGTTGCGGGAGGCTTCACCCAGAGAGCCCCCTCCCCAGCTTCCTGCTCCCGGACGGGGCTTTACTCAGGGCGCACCCCCCATCCCACACTAGCCTCCTGCGCTCCCGGACGCGGCTTCACCCAGGACGTCCCCCACCTCCAGCCTCCTGCGCTCCTGGACTGGGCTTCACCGAGGGCAACCCCCACCCCCAGGCTCCTGCTCCCGACGCTCGCTCTCCTCCCTTCCCCGCATTCCCTCTCCCTGGGCCCTCTGCCTTTGGTCCCCCTTCCAATCTCTCTTTCTAAACCCTCGGAGCCCGTTCTCGCCCGACCCTCATCCCAGCCCCCGGCCCACAGTCCGGACCCCTCTCCCAGCACCTTCTCTCCTGCCGGGCTGCAGGGATCTGCGTCCTGGAGGAGGAGTCAGCCCTGGGACCGAGGGGGCGGGACCGGCCAGCCCCTCCTCGGGGCTCTTGTACTGGGGCGGCTCCGGGGTCCCCGAGGGCCTCAGCGTCTGCCTGCAGCGGCCTCCTGCGGAAAATAGCCCGAGGCCGGGGAGGAGGGGGTCAACCCCAATCACGGATCCCAGCCTCCGCGCCTTGGGGAACGTGGGGCCAGATTTGGTTCCTGACTCAGGGACCCACGGAGGCTGAAGGAGACCCAGAGGGCCCTGAGCACCTCAAAGGGCGCGGAGGGCGGGACGACCCTTTCCCTGGGGTGGGGCAGGAGTGGTCTGGATTTGGAAGCAGACGGGGGAGGGAAGAGGCTTCAAAGCGGAGGAGGAGGGAGAGGGAGGAGGCGGAGTAGGGACCCTGGGGCGCAGGTGAGGTTTGGACAACCTGAGATGGAACAGGAGCCGGCCAGGCAGATCCAGGAAGGAGCATAGTTAAGGGCAAATGAGGTTGGCGGGGATGGTTAGGCCACAGGCACATAATCTTCGTTCTTTCTAGAGTGCTTGGAGCGCTTTCCCCTGGCAGGGGTGGCCTGGGAGGAGGGGAGAAGGGAGGAGAAGGGCAGGCGCCTCCAGGGGCCCCTCAGGCTGGCTCAGTTGCCCAGAGGAAAGCAGGGCGTGCTCCCATAGCCTTACAGGAGCCTGGAGCTGCCGCAGGGGTTGGGAGCTGCAGCTCCAGGACTCCTGCCAAATTTCTGGGACCTGCAGGGGGCTGAGTCCCGGCCTTTGAAGACTGGTGCCCTGGAAAAACGGCTCCTGTGCAGGCTGCCTCCCAGCTCTGTCCTCCCACACTTCGTCCTCCCACAGGTGAGGCTGGGGCCCAGCCGGGTCTGTCGAGTGCTAAAGCGTCCCTGGGCCCGTTGGAGGCTGTGGTTCCAATTTCTTTTGCAGCATCTGCTCGGCCCCATGTAGGTCCTGGATGCAGAGTGTGAGGCCGCCCCCGTCATAGCATAGACCTGCGCCCTCCTCACTAGACTCATCTGCCTCCTACACTGAGTCTTCCCTTGGTCCTATTCTTTATTCTGTTTT
Source organism: Homo sapiens (assembly GCF_000001405.40). NCBI lineage: Eukaryota > Metazoa > Chordata > Mammalia > Primates > Hominidae > Homo > Homo sapiens. The sequence continues at coordinate 143,079,557 of NC_000008.11, read as the reverse complement.
TTCCCCGGGAGCCAAGGGAGTTGACCCGTGTTCTCACTGGGCCGCTGGAACCCAACAGCATGGACATCCCGGTTGGTGGGCACCCAGCTCTCCCCTCCGGAGGTACTGTCACACCCTCTCCCGCCTCACCGGGGGCACAGGGCCCTGCCAGACCCAGGTGATGTCAGGAAATGCTGTCCTCAGTCTGGAGGACCACCGAGCCACTTTCCTCCTCGGAGCCCTTCCCTCCAGCCCAGGTGGTCACACAGCTTTCACCCCGTGTCAGGTTTGCTCTTTTCTGCTTCCTGCCTTCATTTCCTGAATGACATCCTTTTGAGCATGTATGATGACAAGCAGGGCTGGACCCTGGGTCTGCAGCAGTGAACCGGCCCAGTCACCTGCCCTCAGGGGTCTTGCAGGAGGTAGGTCTCGGAAAGAAGAAAGGGGTAACTGCTACCCATAAGGTGGTTGGGAAGGGCTGCCCCTGGCCCCAGCGTGACTGCTGCCCACCACCTCCAGGGCCTCCGCATCCTCTCCCGCACTGCAGACCAGCAAGCCCCTCCCCTGCTGTGGCCTTTCCAGTAACGGCTGCTGGGAGAGAAAGTGCCAGTCGGAGAGTGAGTGTGCAGCCAGGTGGGGCCATTTCCCCTGCGTCCACATAGTGGCCCACCCAGCAGGACTGTCCCGTTCCTGTTTCCCCTGGTGCATGCTCTAGGGATGCCCCAGACGGGCCCTGCCCTCTGACCCCTGCCTGTCCGGGCTCAGCGTCCTCTGCTCCCTTTGTCCTCTGATGCTCCAGCCCTTTCTGCCGCCCAGCCTGTGTGTGGATCAGGGCTGTTTTGGGGGTGGGCTTAGAGGGCACGGGATGGAAGTTGTTTGGAGGGGAGGGGCCATATGCAATTTGTTTATCATGTGCATTTTTTCATTTGCCATTCTCACTGTGATTGATTTGAATGAATTTGGCACTGTGAAATCTGCAGAGTCAAAAATCAAAAAGAAAAATCAAAAGAACATCGGCATTGGAGGCACATGCAATAAAGGAGTCCAGGTGGTAGTTGGAGGTTGGAGGCTGGAAGGAACACACAGGTCTCAAAGGAAGTGGCTGAGGGATCTGCAGAGACTCATCTGAGCCTGTGGCTGATGACAGGGTGTTGGGGCAGCCACGGCCGAGAGGGCCGTGCTCGGAGCCACACAGCTTTCAGTGCTCACGAGAAGGGACTGGCCCTCCCCAGGGCTGACCAAGTTCCTCAGTACTGCATCCAGCTGTGCTCCTGGCCTCATTTCTTCTCTCCTTCATGAATTAACTCCCAGACACAGCAGCCCCTGGAGGTGGTGGGGACTAACCAGGGACGGGAAAGGGTCAGTCAGCCTGTGGTCAGCAGGGTGGGCGGGTGCAGGCCTGGTGTTCCCAGGATACTTTGCTGGGTCATGCAGTTATCCCCATCACGTATCACTCCAGCTCCCTGGCGGGCACAGCCTGTGGCTGTTCCTGGAGGCACCCCTGGAATGAGTACAGTTCATGGACAGGCTTCAAAACAGCCCAGAGCAAAGATTTGGGTCTGAGGGCGGGGGCATGGCTCTGCGGTCTTCGCCTCCACGGTTCCCTGACTTGGTCCTGCAGTTGCCCAGGAGAGGCAAGGCCACCTCCTTGTTAAGGGCTTGCTTGTTCCTGGTGGTCTCTGTCAGGAGCCCCCACCCCGCTGGCCCCAGACTCCAACACCTGTCCAGGTGTGTGAGCCAGTGTACATCTGGCAGCAGAGAGGCCTGTACGAGCACAGCCCACAGGCCCCAGTGACGTTTGTCAAGTGTTTATTCTATCAACATTCTTCATTTCTGGCCTGATTTCAATCCTAGGAGGTGGGTACAATAAGTCCAATTCTAAAAATAATAAAATGGAACAGAGACCTGAGGAGTTGGCTTCATGATGGGGGATCAATGTCCCAATTTTAGCACCAAAGTCCTGCGACCTGGGAAGCCCTCGGTGCTGGGCAAACCAGGATGGTTGTTGCCCTGATTCAGGATCACCCAGGTAATAGGTAGAGGGCTGAATTCAAGCCCGGCTCAGCCGCATGGAGCCTCGGCCTGCACTCTGCACTGCTTCTGAGCGGTGCTGGGAGCAGCGCTGTCCAAGGAGCCCGGGTCATAAAACCCAGCTGGTGAATAGGAACCATGTTTGTATGTTCTAGAAGATGAAAGAATAGAATTGAATTGAATAATAAAGATCAGAGTACATTATGCACAATTAGGACACATATATTTTAATGAAGAAAGTAATTTAAATAAAAATGTGTTTTATTTATGCTTATATATTTTTGCTTGTGTATATATGTGTGTATATAATGTTTTAGATATACAAATATATGTGTTATAAGTATGTTTGGTATTTTATTTCATATTTTATATTTATGTTTTATGTTGTAAATATGTTTATCGGTTATAAATCTATGTGAATATGTTACGTAAATGTTATGTGTGTCAGTGTTTTGGGTGTGGATATATTTATTAACTTTTTAAAGTGTAGATCTCAATCAGGAAAATGTGCAAGCTTCCTGTTTAGATGAAGTGGATGACCTTCCTTCCTGCCCTTATTGTATTCACTGTCAGAGAGCTGGGTGCCAGCAAGCTGCTGTGTGGGTATGTGCGCCAACCCCGGTGTAGGCACGGACGGAAACACACTGTGGAATTTTTCCAGTGAAGGGGATCTTGGCGTGATGTCCAGAGGCCTCCCCGAGTGGTGTCCTGAATGAGTCCCACAGTCTCCATCCCTGTGCTCTTGCTATGGACTGCCAGGCTGAATTGTTGACACTGAAGATCATCGTGCTCCCGCTACACTTATACCTCTGACCCTTTTTCCTTCTCACCTTGGCTGTTGGGAAGCTCAGATCGTAACCATTTGCCCCAGGCACACGTGTAGGGCCTGGCCAGTTTCTTGCTCGCCCCTCCTGGCTCTGCCCAGGTCATAACTTGCTTGCCTTTCTCCTCCCCTTGCCATGTGGAACCCTGGTTTGAGTGTCTGATTCTTAGGGCTGTGGAGCTTTAGCCCTTTTGACTCTACATAGTTTTGGTGACTTGGCTTCTTTCACACTCCAGTTCCTGGCCCTGCCTTGGGGGCTCCATGCACAGCTCTCCCTGGGAACAGGTCTTCTCCTTGCCCTGTCTTAATCTGGGGATAGGTGTCTGGGCGTCCCCAGCGAGACCCCTCTCTGCTGCTGACAGGGCTCCCAGGAGGAACAACAGTGGCACCCCAGAGAGGTGTGGGGGTGCTGAGAGAATTGGGTCAGCAGTGGGGGCCTCACACTCTGGCCCCTCACTCCCTGTGCCTGAGCAATTCATCAGGTGCTGTCTTTCTTAGACGGACAGCTGTGTGCAATTGTGTTCTGTTTCTGACTTTGGGTTTAGTGACATCAGTAAGCCTGAATGGTCTCCCCGGCGCACAATCCTTCTGGTTCACAAAATCAGTCAAACACACAGGCACCAGGGAGCTCTTGAACCAGAGAGTCCGGTACTTTCATTTTGTCCTAAAGGTACAGATTGTTATCATTTTCATTTTTTTTCAAGGCAACAGTGAGCAAGGATTTTGTTATCATTTTCAAACTGACACATTTACCACACTGACAATATTCTCTGACCCAGCACAGACGTTCATAACAAAAGCATCAGTGACATAGTTACACATGTTAAAACATTGAAAACCACTATTCTAATAAACCACAGTTAAAGAAGAAGTCATATTGGAAATTAAAATACCTAGAAATGATTAAAACTAAGATACTACTATCAAAACTATTGGGCTGCAGTAAAAGCTGTACCTGAGAAAAATCTAACCCTATATATTTGCATTGGGAAATAAGAAAGGTTAAATTCTTTTTTTCTCTGAGATTGAGTCTTGTTCTGTTGCCCAGGCTGGAGTGCAGTGACGTGATCTTGGCTCACTGCAACTTCTGTCTCCCGGGCTCAAGTGATTCTCCTGTCTCAGCTTCCTAAGTAGCTGGGAGTACAGTTGTGCACCACCACGCCTGGCTACTTTTTGTATTTTTAGTAGAGATGGGGTTTCATCATGTTGCCCAGGCTCGTCTTGAACCCCTGACCTCAGATGATCCACCCTCCTCGGCCTCCCAAGGTGCTGGGATTACAGGCGTGAGCCACCGTGCCTGGCCTTATTTTTGAATTAATAATGTTCTCAGCCATTAGAGTGATATTTGGTGAGTAGGAGGGAGACTTTTTTCTTAGGTGATCAATGCTGGAGTTATTAGGGGGAAACTGGTGGGAAGCCTGAAGTTAGCAAGCTCAGGGTCCAACCTCCACATTTCAAAACTCAACTGAAGAAAAGAGACAGGACTGAGAATGCCTATTAACAAAACAGAAAAATCAGCACAGCCATGGCTGTGTGTTTGAAGGAACAAAAATTAGACAAATATCTGGCAAGACTGAATAAGGAAAAAAGATCCACAGATGAATAATGTAAATGAAAAAAATGAGTCATAATGACAAATAACTCCCAGATTTTGTAATGCAAAAAGACAAGATTTTCACGTCCAGTTAGCATGAGGAAAGAGTGTGAAGCCAACCTTTCTATTTCAACAATGAGAAAAAATGGAATTATGTACAAAAATTATCATTTCTTTCAAATGCATTGGAAAATGGTGGGTGCAAATCTGAAGGAACTGCCAGTCTTGGGGGGCCCCTTTCTCGCAGTGGAGCTGAATGGTGCTGAGGGCGGGTTAGTCATCGGCAGAGCTCTACCTGCGGGGAGAGACTGATGTTTCTTGGTTCTTTTGCATATAATTTCTAGCACACTACCAAAAATTATAAGAATTACAGGAGAGTGTGATTTTCAACCAAGAGATAAGCTATTCAATAGAAGCAGATGCACAGATAACCCAGATGAAAGAATTAGCAGACAAATGCTTTACAATATTCTTGTAAATACATGAAATGAGATGGAGGAAAGGATGAACAAAATGGATGAAAAGATGGAGAATTTCAACAGAGAGATGAAAGCTATGAAAGTAGGTGCTCATTATTTGTTATTAAAAATAAAATAAATAATAAAAATAAGTGTTTATTATATTAACCAATTAATATAATACCTGAAATTAAGAACTCATTGGATGGGCTTAAGAGCAGACTAAACATATAGTAGCAAAAAGGATTGATGAAGTTTCAGACAGGTCCATAGAAATTATCCAAAATAAAGCACAGAGAAAAGATAGAATTAAAAGTACACAAACACACACACCCACATACACACATGCACAGAGAGAGACAGAGACAGAGAGAAGAGGGCCATATGGTACTGATCCAACTGTCTAACATGTGTATTGGAATCCCAGGAGAAGGGTGAGAATGGGATAGGAGCAATATTATTTTGATGGATAATAGCCAATTTTCCAAAATTGGTAAGAGACATTAACCCAAGATTCAATAGGCTTATCAAACTCCATGAAGTATAAAACTGGAGAAAACCATATTTAGTCACATCATAATCAAACTGCTGAAACTAAAGGAAAAGAGAAAAATGTTAGCTGCAGCCAGGAGAAAAAAACACCTTAGCACTAGAGAACCCCGGGGACGACGGCTGTCTCCTCAAACAGGGACCCCGGGGACGACGGCTGTCTCCTCAAACAGGGACCCCGGGGACGACGGCTGTCTCCTCAAACAGGGACCACGAGGATGATGGCTGTCTCCTCAAACAGGAACCCCGGGGACGATGGCTGTCTCCTCAAACAGGGACCCCGGGGACGACGGCTGTCTCCTCAAACAGGGACCCCGGGGACGACGGCTGTCTCCTCAAACAGGGACCCCGGGGACGATGGCTGTCTCCTCAAACAGGAATCCCGAGGACGACGGCTGTCTCCTCAAACAGGAGCCCTGGGGACAACGGCTGTCTCCTCGAACAGGAACCCCGAGGATGATGGCTGTCTTCTCAAACAGGAGCCCCGGGGATGACGGCTGTCTCCTCAAACAGGGACCATGAGGATGATGGCTGTCTTCTCAAACAGGAGCCCCGAGGACGACGGCTGTCTCCTCAAACAGGGACCCCGAGGACGATGGCTGTCTTCTCAAACAGGAGCCCCGGGGACGACGGCTGTCTCCTCAAACAGGAGCCCCGGGGACGACGGCTGTCTCCTCAAACAGGAACCCCGAGGACGACGGCTGTCTCCTCAAACAGGGACCCCGAGGATGATGGCTGTCTTCTCAAACAGGAGCCCCGGGGATGACGGCTGTCTCCTCAAACAGGAACCCCGAGGATGACGGCTGTCTCCTCGAACAGGAGCCCCGGGGACGACGGCTGTCTCCTCGAACAGGGACCCCGAGGACGACAGCTGTCTCCTCAAACAGGGACCCCAAGAATGACGGCTGTCTCCTCAAACAGGAACCCCGAGGACGACGGCTGTCTCCTCAAACAGGAACCCCGGGGACGACGGCTGTCTCCTCAAACAGGAACCCCGAGGACGACGGCTGTCTCCTCAAACAGGAACCCCGGGGACGACGGCTGTCTCCTCAAACAGGGACCCCGAGGACGACGGCTGTCTCCTCAAACAGGGACCCCGGGGACGACGGCTGTCTCCTCAAACAGGGACCCCGGGGACGACGGCTGTCTCCTCAAACAGGAACCCCGAGGACGACGGCTGTCTCCTCAAACAGGAACCCCGGGGATGACGGCTGTCTCCTCAAACAGGGACCCCGGGGACGACGGCTGTCTCCTCAAACAGGGACCACGAGGACGACGGCTGTCTCCTCAAACAGGAATCCCGAGGACGACGGCTGTCTCCTCAAACAGGGACCCCGGGGACGACGGCTGTCTCCTCAAACAGGAACCCCGAGGACGACGGCTGTCTCCTCAAACAGGAATCCCGAGGACGACGACTGTCTCCTCAAACAGGGACCCCGGGGACGACGGCTGTCTCCTCAAACAGGGACCCCGAGGACGACGGCTGTCTCCTCAAACAGGAACCCCGAGGACGACGGCTGTCTCCTCAAACAGGAACCCCGAGGACGACGGCTGTCTCCTCAAACAGGGACCACGAGGACGACGGCTGTCTCCTCAAACAGGAATCCCGAGGACGACGGCTGTCTCCTCAAACAGGGACCCCGGGGAGGACGGCTGTCTCCTCAAACAGGAATCCCGAGGACGACGGCTGTCTCCTCAAACAGGGACCACGAGGACGACGGCTGTCTCCTCAAAGAGGAATCCCGAGGACGACGGCTGTCTCCTCAAACAGGAACCCCGAGGACGACGGCTGTCTTCTCTAACAGGAGCCCCGGGGACGACGGCTGTCTCCTCAAACAGGAACCCCGGGGACGACGGCTGTCTCCTCAAACAGGGACCCCGAGGACGACGGCTGTCTCCTCAAACAGGAACCCCCAGAATGACGGCTGTCTTCTCAAACAGGAACTTCGGAAGCCAGAAGCAGACACTGGTAAGAAATCAAATTACCAACTTGGATTCTGATACTATTTAAAATTTCCCTCACAAATGAGGGCAAAATAAAGGCATTTTTTCAGATAAATAAAAGCTGAGAGGAATTGCTGCCAACTGCAATGTCAGGAGGAAGCATGGGGGTGCCACATTCTTTTCAGAGGGTAAATGTGAAGGGAGGTTGTGTTAGATGGTGTGTTGACTTTGGGGTGGATGGTGCTGGATTTTCTGTTGTAACCTTGAACCCAGCACACCCTCTTCTGAAGAACCACCAGACTCCCTCCCGTGTGGCTCTGAATTAGAGTTTTCTAAGGGAAACTCCCGTAGATCTTGGAAGATTAAGTGGAGACCCTCCTTTCCTGGGGTCGCTGAAGCCGGGCACGTGCGTAGACGGGAACCTCACAGACGTCCTCCTGCGAGCTTGTGGGGATGCTGTTTGCTGTAGAGAGTGACAGTGGGTGGAAGCTGTTTGGGGACCTTGGGGATTGCAGCGGCTTCCAGGAAAACTTATTTATTTATCAATAGACTCTATTTCTTTGAGCAGTTTTGGCTTTATAGAAAATCGAGAAGATAGTACAGAGGGTTCCCGTGTATCCTGCCCTGTCTCACATTTCTCCTATTAATCACACTTTGCATTCATGTGGTACAATGGATAAACCGATATTGATACGTGGTTATTAACACAAGTTTATAGCTTACACCAGGGCTCACTCTTTGTGTTGTATATTCTGCGGGTTTTGACAAATCCATAACATCATGCGTCCACCATTACAATGTTGCAGAATCGTTTCAGGGCCTTAAAAATCCCCTTGCTCCACCCACTCATCCCTCCCCTCTATCCCATAGCCCTCTGACCACAGCTGCCAGGAGAACGTTTGAGACCTCTTCTTGGGTGCTTTAAGCTGACATGTCCACCATCAAGTCTTCTCACTGTGGGGACAGCTTCCCCAACATCCATGCTGCCGGGTCTTCCGCCAGCCATGCCGCCTCCTGAGTCTGTATTCCATGCCGGGTCTTCCGCCAGCCATGCCGCCTCCTGAGTCTGTATTCCATGCCGGGTCTTCCGCCAGCCATGCCGCCTCCTGAGTCTATATTCCACCCTTTATTCCATCACATGTAAAAACAAGTGACCTTCCTTTCCCCACCACACGTAAAAACAAGTGACCTTCCTTTCCCCACCACACTCTGATCAATACGATCTCTTTCTGGGTGAAAGTGTGTGCTCTGGGAAGCCAGCCAGTCCTGTTAGAATACTGTGTAACATAAATACTAAGTCTGTTAATTTACAACATCAGTCCCTGTATAAAATAATAGGGTAGAGGAGGAGTGAGAGAAGAAATGAAATAATACATAAAAACATAGGGCAACTGCGGCCGGGCACGGTGGCTCACGCCTGTAATCCCAGCACTTTGGGAGGCCGAGGCGAGTGGATCACGAGGTCGGGAGTTCGAGAACAGCCTGGCCAACATGGTGAAACCCCATCTCTACTAAAGATAAAATAATTAGCTGGGTGTGGTGACATGCGCCTGTAATCCCAGCTACCCAGGAGGCTGGAGCAGGAGAATCACTTGAACCCAGGAGGCAGAGGTCGCAGTGAGCTGAGATCATGCCACTACACTCCAGCCTGGGCGACAGGGCGAGAATCCATCTCAAAAAAAAAAAAAAATATATATATATATTTATATATATATTATATATATATATATATACAATATATATATAATATATATATAAATATATATACATAAATAAAAAATATATATAAATATATATATATTTATATATATATATCAGCTGGAGAAAGCCCATGGGCACTTGTTATGGCTGAACTGTGCCCCCCTCAAATTCACATGTTGAGCCCTCACTCCCGCTACCTCAGAATGTGATAGCATTTGAAAATAGGGTCCTTAAAGAGGTGATTACGGTAGAATGGGGTCATTAGGGTGGGCCCTAGTCCAGCATGCCTGGTGTCCTTATAAGAGGAGGTGAGGACACAGACACACACAGAGGGGCAACCGTGACAGAATGCAGGGAGCAGATGCCATCTGCATGCCAAGGAGAGGTGCCCCAGGGGGAGCCAGCCCTGCTGACACCTTGATCTCTGATCTCCAGCCTCCAGGACAGCGACAGAATCCATTCCTGTAGCTTAAGCCCCCAGTTGTGGTGTTCGTTATGGCGGCAGGAGCTGACTAGTGCACTGCCGGACCCTAATGCCTGGGGCTTCCCACGACGCTGGGTGCGGCCGCTGTAACATCCCCTGTCCCCTGTTCATTCACGTGTATTTTGTCCTCAGGAAAGGGCTCTTTACTGGTGGGCTTGTAGACGCCACAGGTTCAGGTGTTCTCTGCTTGCGGAGTCTGATTAACAAGAGCAGGGGCCGGTAGAAAGCAAGAGACTTCATTAGCCAAGACTAGTGAAAGGAAGTAGCTGGATTCTGACCCAGAGCAACCACTTCAAATGTGGGGGGAAAGGCAAAGGTTCACAAATGGAAAGCTGGATATGGAAGGCATGCAGGAATCGTGCTGAGCACAGCGCCTGTGTGTCCCGTCCTGGTGGCTGTCTTGGGTCCCAGTTCACCTGGAGCACGGGCTGGCATCATCGCAACTATGGCCGGGCTGTTAATTACCCGCTTTGAAGTCATCTCTGGAATTTTGCGGCTGGGTCCCCAGGCTTGGCCTGTCTGTCTCAAGATTAGCCTGCGGCACTTCTAAGAAGGCACATAATTAGATACTAATGGACAGAGAACTTTGAGAGAGTATTTACGGTGAGAAAGGGAGGGATGAGGAGTGTATTTCAAGGCTAAGGGAAAAGGCTTCTGCAGTTTGCTTCAAGGTTATATCTTGAAACCCAAGAGAAAGGAAACAAGTTTAAAAATGCATTTTGAAGACCAGCCACTCAGTTACAGGGTGACTAAGCCCTCACTGCGGAAGCGTCTGGACTTTCCGCAGCCTTGTCTCTTTCTAGGGGCTCTGGTTCCCATTAACTTTTTCCCTTGGATGTGGGAGACGTAAGAGATGAGAGAGAGCCTTGAGCCCAGAGACAATTCCCCACACCCCATGGGAGCGGGGCCAGCTCGCTTCCTTGGTGAGTTGAAAACAGCCCCAGCTAGGATGGCACAGCCCCTTGCTTTGCCTATTGACTCAGAGGCAGGAACTCAGAACCACCATGGGTCAACTTTCGTTTCCAACTCCCAGGACCCTTGGGGTCCCCCTGGGGCGGTGCGGGGAGCATTTCTCCCTGGGACATAAGATCTCAGACCCAGCCCAGCTCACTCCTGCAGTGACAGGATAAACAATTCTGGGAGTGGCACTGCAGAAGAGCTTGGATTTTATCTTAAGCATGGTAGTTTTCTAGGAAGTTATTAGTCAATCTGGAGCGAGATATTCTCAGAAAAAAAAAAAGAAATTATTAGTCAAGTGCCCTTTTGTTGGCATAAATCACCATAACAACCACTATAAATATATAATTACTGTTCTCCAAGGGAACTGAGACAAGAAAATTTTGACTCTTGCCTGTTGTGATAGTCTGTTCTTTTGTTGTTGTAAAGAAATACCTAAGACTGGGCAAATTACAAAGAAGAGGTTTAATTGGCTCTTGGTATTGCAGGCTGTACAGGAAGCACAGTGCTGGCATCTGCTTGGCTTCTCGGGAGGCCTCAGGAAGTTTCCAATCATAGCAGAAGGCAAAGGGGAAGCAGGTTGTGGGGAAAAGAAAGACAGATCAGATTGTTACTGTGTCTACATAGAAAAGGAAGACATAAGAAACTCCATTTTGATCTGTACTAGGAAAAATTGTTCTGCTTTGAGGTGCTGTTAATCTGTAACTTTAGCCCCAACTCTGTGCTCACAGAAACATATGCTCTATTGAATCAAGGTTTAAGGGATTTAGGGCTGTGCAGAATGTGCCTTGTTAACAATTTGTTGGCAGGCAGTATGCTTGGTAAAAGTCATCGCCATTCTCCATTCTCTATTAACCAGGGACACAATGCACTGCGGAAAGCCGCAGGGACCTCTGCCCAAGAAAGCCTGCGTATTGACCAAGGTTTCCCCCCACTGAGACAGCCTGAGATATGGCCTTGTGGGAAAGGAAAGACCTTACATCCCCCAGCCCAACACCCGTGAAGGGTCTGTGCTGAGGAGGAGTAGTGAAAGAGGGAGGCCTCTTTGCAGTTGAGATAAGAGGAAGGTTTCTGTCTCCGGCTTGTCCCTGGAAATGGAATGCCTCAGTGTAAAGCTGACCGTTAGTTCTATTCTGAGATGGGAGAAAACTGCCCTGTGGCTGGAGGCGAGATATGCTGGCAGCAATACTGCTCGGTTACTCTTTGCTACACTGAGATGTTTGTGTAAAGTGAAACATAAATCTAGCCTACGTGCACATCCAGGCACAGTACCTTCCCTTGAACTTATTCATGATACAGATTCCTTTGCTCACATGTTTCCCTGCTGACCTTCTCCCCACCATCACCCTGTTGTCCTGCCACACTCCCCTCGCCAAGATAGTAAAAATAGTGATCAATAAATCCTGAGGGAGCTCAGAGACCAGCGCCGACGCGGGTCCTCGCATGTTAAGTGCCGGTCTCCTGGGCCCACTGTTCTTTCTCTATACTTTGTCTCTGTGTCTTATTTCTTTTCTCAGTCTCTTATCTCCACCTGACGAGAAATACTCACAGGTGTGGAGGGGCAGGGGTCCCTGTGGCTTTCTGCAGTGCATTGTGTCCCTGGTTAATAGAGAATGGAGAATGGCAATGACTTTTACCAAGCACACTGCCTGCAAACATGTTAACAAGGCATACCCTGCACAGCCCTAAATCCATTAAACCTTGATTCAATACAGCACATGTTTCTGTGAGCACAGGGTTGGGGCTAAAGTTACAGATTAACAGCATCTCAAAGCAGAACAATTTTTCTTAGTAGAGATCAAAATGGAGTTTCTTATGTCTTCCTTTTCTACGTAGACACAGTAACAATCTGATCTCTCTTTCTTTTCCCCACAGCAGGTATCTCACATAACAAGAGTGGAGAAAGGGGTAGGAGGCACCTCACTCTTTTAAACAATTACATCTCACATGAACTCAGAGCGAGAACTCACTCACTATCATGAGGATGGCGCCAACACGTTCATGAGGGACCCACCCCAACGATCCAAACACCACCCACCAGGCCCACCTCCACCACTGGGGATTACACTTCCAGAGATTTCTGAAATGCCTTTGAGGCCTTTTCCCCATGATATTTGGAAGAGATAGACATCTAAACCATATCATTCCACCCTGGGCTTCCCGAATCTCATGTCCTTCTCACATTGCAAAGTAAGATCGTCCCTTCTCAGTAGTTCCCCAAAGTCTTAACTCGTCCCAGCATCAACACAACCAAAAGCCTGCAGTCCCAGGTTCAAAGTCTCATCTGGAAATGAGTTCTTTCCACCTATGAGCCTTTGAACTCAAAGACAAGTTATTTATTTCCAAGATACAATGGGGATGCAGGCATTGGGTAAACATTCCCATTCCAAAAGGGAGAAATTGGCCAAAAGAAAGGAACAACTGTCCTCTTTCCGGTCTATGCCTCCAAGATGACAAAGAAAAGAAGGAACAATGGTCATGCCAAAAAGGGCCACAGCCATGTGCAGCCGATTCGCTGCACGAATGGTGCCTGATGTGTGGCCAAGGACAAGGCCATTAAGAAATTCATCATTTGAGGCTGGGCGCAGTGGCTCACACCTGTAATCCCAGCACTTTGGGAGACCAAGGTGGGTGGATCACCTGAGGTCATGAGTTCCAGACCAGCCTGGCCAACATGGCAAAACCCCGTCTCTACTAAAAATACAAAAAATAGCCGGTGTGATGGTGGGTGCCTGTAATCCCAGCTACTCAGGAGGCATGAGAATCGCTTGAACCTGGGAGGCGGAGGTTGTAGTGAGCTGAGATTGCGCCTCTGCACTCCAGCCTGAGTGATAGAGTGAGACCCCATCTTGAAAGAAAAGAAAAGAAAAGAAAAGAAAAGAAAAGAAATTCATCATTGGAAACATCATGGAGGCCGCAGCAGTCAGGGACATTTCCGAAGCGAGTGTCTTCGATGCCTATGTGCTTCCCAAGCTGTATGTGAAGCTACTTTCTTGTGTAGGTTGTGCAATGCACAGCAAGGTAGTCAGGAATGGATCTCATGAAGCCCACAAGGACCGAACACCCCCGCCTCGATTTAGACCTGTGGGTGCTGCCCCACGACCGCCACCAAAGCCCACGTGAGGAACTGAGTCCTTAAAGACTGAAGACAGACTATTCTCGGGAGGAAAACAAAATAGATATCGTACAAGAAAGAAAGAAAGAAGGAAGGAAGGAAAGAAAGAAAGAAAGAAAGAAAGAAAGAAAGAAAGAAAAAGAAAGAAAGAGAAAAGAAAGAAAGAAAGAAAGAAAGAGAAAGAAAGAGAAAGAAAGGGACAACCGGCCACACACAAGTCCTGCGCCCGGCATGGGAGTCATTAAGTCTTCCGGCTCCAGTACAGGCAATACTGCGTCTCTCCCTACACAGTCATCTAGGGAGGAGAATTCTGTCAGATTGGAAGCACTTTGGTTATCCACCCATGACCAAAAAAAAAAAAATATTCTATTGCAACACAGCTTGGCCAATGTTTGTTTGAGGGTCTGAGAAATGATGGCCAGTTTTTGGATCTTCGAAATTTCATACATTTATCCATTAAAACTGTTCTGCCAGAGGTCAGGCAAAGGGGGCAGAACACCTTGCATGCTGGCATGTATGTGGCTGCATAACGAGGATGCTGAAGAAAAGGGAAATGAGCTCATGGTGTGAGGCACTGCTAAGGTCTGTCCTGTTCCCCAGGGGAGGAAGAGAAAACCTCCCAAACCTGACAGTAAGTACCCTAAACCCCATAGTGTCTCCTGCCCCACCTCAGAAAAGAGAGGGAATGTCACCCCCAGAGTACAGGGAAGCAGCAGGGCTTCTGTCTTCCTCTCAGATTAGGCAAGGTACTAATTTTGGCTGAGGAGTCACAGAGTCCAGAGCAGGGCACTGCATAGTGTTCCCACGATGACAACATCCATCAGCAAGAAGCTCCAGCCCAAAATGATTGGGCCTGTAATCCCTGCTCCACCTCGGACTTGTTACATTGGAAGAACTCTAACCCTCCCTACAGACAGGGAGGATCCCTGAAAGATGGCTGAATTATTTACCACTATTTGCTGCACACCATCTCACCTGGGCAGACGAGCAGGCTCTCTGGGACATTATGCTCACTGCAGATGAGCTATGGCTGGTTTTAAATGAAGCAAAGGAAGAGGCACAGCACCTTCATGATGAAAATCCAGACGACACTCCAGATCCCGACTGGAGCAATTCCCCGCACGGACCCAAACTGGGATGTTGTAGAGGACATACATTCCACTGTAGCTAACCTGTATACTATGTCTGCTTCTCTTCCTGGAGATCATAAATGGTTTGCAGTACTGGATTTAAAAGAAGTTTTCTTTTGCATACCCACAGACACAGAAAGCCAATTGTTGGTCACCTTTGAATAGACAGGTCCTAAAGCCACACACAAGTTCAGTATCATTGGATTGTGCTCCCACCAGGATTTCAAAGCTCTCCAACTATATTTGGAGTAGCCTTGGCTCAAGATTTGAGGAGCTTGCAATCGAAAAACTGGGTATATTTACAATATGTGGATGATTTACTAATATCTAGCCCCTCTGAATGGGGCTATCAGAATAACACCATTAAAACCCTAAACCATCTAGCAACCTGTGGATATAAGGTTTCAAGTAAAAAGGCTCAAATATGCCAACAAACTGTGAAATATTTAGGTTTTCTCTATAGAAGGGAAACAGAGCTCTAACAGTGGAAGGGCGAAATGCAACTGCTTCCATCTCAGCCACCGCTACCTGAAGGCAGCTAAAAGGATTTCTAGGCATAACAGGGTTTTGTTAATCTGGATTCCTAACTATGAACTACTGGTAAAGCCGCTAGACAAACTGTTGAAGGGAGCTAACAATGGCCCCTTCGACTGTGAACAAAACATCAGCATGCATGTGAATAACTGAAACCTAAGTTAACCTCTGCCCTAGCCCTGGGGCTCCCAAATTCTCACAAGCCCTTTCATGAGCCCTGTACATGCCTGAGAGACTGGGTCTAACACTAGGGGTCCTTACACAGAAATTAGGAAGAATATTGCAGCCAGTGGCTTACTGGATGCTGTGGCCAAAGGCTGGCTCCTTGTGTAAGGGCAGTTGCTGCCACTGCCTGCTGTTAAAGGAAGCTGAAAAGTTGGTTTGGGGACAGCGCATCATGATCCATGAGCCTCACCAGGTGCAGGTGTTACTGGAACAGAAGGGAGGCTACTGGCTGACAGCGGACAGGCTGAGCAAATGCCAGGCCACACTCCCAGATGACCCTGCAGTAAAAGTGCAGACTGCTGGAGTCTTAAACCCAGAAACTGTACTTCCCGCTACTGAAGAGCCTAAAGAACCTATGCACAATCACTTAGAAATTATTGACCAGGTGTTTTCCAGTTGCCCTAATTTAAAGGACACAGCCCTGCCACATGCAGACTGGACATTGTTTGTGGATGGGAGCAACCTGGTAACCAACAGAAAAAGAAATGCTGCATATGCCTTGGTAACTGTTTCCGAGGTAACAGAAGCGAGGACTTTACCAATAGGAACCTCTGCACAGGAGGCAGAACTGATTGCCCTTACGAGAGCCCTGCAGTTGTCCCAAGTACTCAGGGCACTTGGAGTAAATTGGGAGCTGCATTCAGCATGGAGACCGCAATCCTCTGGACTGATGGAAAGGAAAAATCAAACCGTTAAAACAGTTCTTGCCAAACGGTGTCAGGAAACTCAACTGAAATGGATTTAGGGCTTTGGCCTTGCACTGCTCTGGGTAAGAGTGACCCCCAGAAGTGGGATCAGGTTAAGTCCCTATGAAATTATATATGGGAGACCCTTTGCTGCTAGTCTGTCTCAGGTTACTGGGGTGCCTCTCAGTAGAAAGCCAACTATTAAACATACTCAAGTGGGACAAATCCTTCATGTTTTGCATAAGCTTGCTCCAAACAGGAGCCTGTGAACTCGGCAGAACTTGTCCAGATTTTCCAGCCTGGTGATCAAGTGCTGCTAAAAAATGGAGGGGACAGGCCCAACTCAGCAGCTGTCTGTCCCCTTTGCCAATACCAAGCTGTCATAACAATGGAAAGTTTCAGAAAATCTTGACACGTGATTCATAAGCCCTTGTTCTTCTCCAAGGTTGCCCTGGCTATTCTAAAACTTTAGTATTTCCAGATAAATTACAGACTCAGCAGGCGAATTTTGACATCATCATCATCATCATCATCATCATTCCTGATACCCTTTTGATCAGGATTGCATCAAATCTGTACATCAATTTAAAAGTATTAACTCTTCCAACAGATGCCTTTGTATGTCCTTCCTTATATAGATCTCCATTTTTTTCTCATGTGTATTTTTATTTCTTTGAGATGGAGTCTCACTCTGTCACCCAGGCTGGAATGCAATGGTGCGATCTTGGCTCACTGTAACATCCGCCTCCCAGGTTCAATGATTTTCCTGCCTTAGCTTCCCGAGTAGCTGGGATTACAGGTGCCCACCATCACTCCCAGCTAATTTTTTGTGTATTTAGTACTCCTGGTCAACAGGATTTCGCCATGTTGACCAGGCTGGTCTTGAACTCCTGACCTCATGATCCACCCGCCTTGGCCTCCCAGAGTGCTGGGATTACAGGCGTGAGCTACCACGCCCGGCCTCTTGTGTATTTTCTTGGTTTTTCAGGGTAGAGGTCTTCTGCATCTCTTGTTAGGTTTCATTTTGAACATTCTATTGGTTTTGATGATAATATAAATGATACTGTCTTTAACATTTCACTTTACCTTGTCAGTCTATAGAATATATTTGATTTTTGTACCTTGACCTTCAGAACCCTGTTAAATTTATGTATATTTTGTTTGCAAATTATTTTGGTTTCTCCCCATATGCAAATATATCATTTGCAAATAATGACAGTTTCATTTCCTTTCTAATCATATCTTTTTCTTGCCATATTGCATTTATTTCTTTCCAACCTTTATATGTTTTATTTCTAATTATAGATTAATTGCCTGGCTGAGCATGGGACACATTTGATAAATGTTCTACATTCACTTAAAGAAATGTGGATTCTCCAGGTGTTTGGTACAGCATTCCATGTATGTTCAGTATGTGAATATTTATAATCTTGTATAAATTCATGTATTCTAATTTTTGTCCGCTTGTTCTATCAGTTACTTAAAGATTCGTATTGAAATACCTGGCCAGGTGTGGTGACTCACACCTGTAATCCCAGCACTTTGAGAGGCCAAGGTGGGCACATCACCTGAGGTCAGGAGTTCAAGACCAGCCTTGACCAACATGGAGAAAACCCATCTCACTAAATATACAAAATTAGCTGGGCATGGTGGCACATGCCTGTGATCCCAGCTATTTGGGAGGCTGAGGCAGGAGAATTACTTGAACCCGGGAGGTGGAGTTTGCAGTGAGCCAAGATCGCACCATTGCACTCTAGTCTGGGCAACAGGAGCAAAACTCCCTCTCAAAAACCAACAAACAAAATAAAAAACACCAAACCAACCAACCAACCAACCAACCAACCAAACAAACAAACCTAAGTGTGATTGTGGATTTGCCTTGATTTTCAGCTTTGTCCTATTGTGGTTAAATGTTTTGAAGCTATTTTATTAGATATGTACAAATGTAGGATTAAAATATTGTCGTGTTGTGTTGACCCTTTTATCACTATAAATATCCTTTTATTTCAGCTGCATTTCCTGCCTAATACTATCAGCATGATGTATCTTTTCCCATTCTTTTCATTCAGTGATTTTTTTTTTTTTTAAGAGACAGGGGTTTGCTATGTTGCCCAGGCTTGTCTTGAACTCTTGGGCTCAAGAGATCCTCTGACCTCAGCCCCTCAAAGTGCTGGGATTACAGACGTGAGCCACCATGTCTGGCCTGTGTCCTTCCTTTTAAAATGAGCACTGTGACCAGTCTATTGTTATCTTTATTTGGCCTAAAACTTTTTGTCTATAAATTAGAATAAGTTCATTTACATTTAATGTGAGAACTAATATAATTGGGTTAAAACCTTCCATTTCACTGTTTGCTTTTATTTTTCCTATCTTTCTTTTCCTTTACGGTATTCTTTTGGATTTGTTAAATATTTCTCGTATTTTCTTTTGTTATATTCTTAGATATATTTTACGTGATTCATCAGTGGTTATTTTAGACATTACAATATGCATCTTTGACTTACTATAGTCCATCTTAAGTTGGTTACTGTCTCATTATAGGGTCCAGCCCTACAGGACCTGTGGGTTTTTCTCCTCGTGTGTGGAGATGAGAGATCGTAGAAATAAAGACACAAGACAAAGAGATAGAAGAAAAGACAGCTGGGCCCTGGGG
This sequence comes from Homo sapiens, assembly GCF_000001405.40. Classification (NCBI taxonomy): domain Eukaryota; kingdom Metazoa; phylum Chordata; class Mammalia; order Primates; family Hominidae; genus Homo; species Homo sapiens. The sequence continues at coordinate 143,060,694 of NC_000008.11, read as the reverse complement.
ACCACTACCACCAAGGCGTGGAGACCGGTAGTGACCCTGAATGCCTGGCCGTGCCGTTATTTATTGTATATAAGGCAAGAGGGCAGGGTAAGGAGTGTGAGTCATCTCCAATGATAGGTAAGGTCACACAAGTCATGTGTCCACCAGACAGGGGGCCCTTCCCTATTTGGTAGCCGAGGCGGAGAGAGAGAGGGGACAGCTTACGTCATTATTTCTTCTATGTAGTTCTGGAGAGATCAAAGACGTTAATACTTTCACTAATTCTGCTACTGCTATCTAGAAGGCGGAGCCAGGTGTACAGGGCGGAACATGAAAGTGGATCAGGAGCGTGACCACTGAAGCACAGCATCACAGGGAGACGTTTAGGCCTCCAGATAACTGCGGGCGGGCTTGACTGATGTCAGGCCCTCCACAAGAGGTGCTGGAGCAGAGTCTTCTCTAACTTCCTCAGGGAAAGGGAGACTCCCTTTCCTGGTCTGCTAAGTAACAGGTGCCTTCCAGGCACTGGCACTACCGCTAGACCAAGGAGCCCTGTAGTGGCCCTGTCCGGGCATGACAGAAGGCTCGCACTCTTGTCTTCTGGTCACTTCTCACCATGTCCCTTCAGCTCCTATCTCTGTATGGCCTGGTTTTTCCTAGGTTATAATTGTAGAACAAAGATTATTATAATATTGAAAAAAGAGTAATGCTACAAACTAATGATTGATAATATTCATATATAATCATATCTATAATTTATTTCTAGTATAACTATTCTTATTCTATATATTTTCTTTATTATACTGGAACAGCTTGTGCCCTTGGTCTCTTGCCTCGGCACCTGGGTGGCTTGCCGCCCACACTCATGAACAATTCAGAACATTACACAGCATAACTTCATTTACCTACCTCTATTCCATTGTACTTTCATTGTTTTAATATTTGCTTGTGCCAGACACAGTGGCTCATGACTGTAATCCCAGTACTTTGAGAGGCTGAGGTGGGAGGATCACTTGAGCTCAGGAGTTCAAGACCAGCCAGGCAACATATCATGATTCCATTTCTACAAAAAAATTTTAAAAATTAGCTGAGTGTGGTCGTGCGTGCCTATAGTCCCATATATATTTACTTGCATATATATTATAAACCTACAAGACGTTATTCTTATTTTACACCATTGATATTTTATATTTATCCAAATAGTTATTATTCTGCTTCTCTTGCCTTCTTAGAGTTCCATACTCCCATTTGGGATCGTTATAAGTTAGCTTGAAGAATGGTGCTGGATCAATGGAATATTTGTCTAAAAAAAAAACCGTCAGTAAATCATGACCCCAAACCTCACAGCCTACCCAAAACCATCCTAGCCCTGAATGTAGGACTTAAAACCATAAAACATTTAGAAGTCAACACATGGGAATATTTTAAGTAATCTTTGTCTACTCCACAAAAGCACTATCAGAGTAAATATACATGAATTTGACCTCATTAACATTGAGAATTTCTTTTCATAACAAGATGTGGCCGCATACGGTGGCTCATGACTGTAATCCCTGCACTCTGGGAGGCTGAGGCATGTGGGCGGCAAGCCACCCAGGCGCCGAGGCAAGAGACAGAGGACATGAGCCGTTCCAGTATAATAAAATATAAAACAAGAATAGTTATACCAGATATAGATCTTAGATATGATTATATATGAATATCATTAGTCATTAGTTTGTAGCAATTACTCTTTATTCCAATATTATAATAATCCTCACTCTATAATCATAGCCTAGGAAAAACCAGGCCATACAGAGATAGGAGCTGAGGGGACATAGTGAAGTGAGACCGGAAGACAAGAGTGCGAGCCCTCTGTTATGCCCGGACAGGGCCACCAGAGGGCTCCTTGGTCTAGCAGTAATGCCAGCGTCTGGGAAGACGCCGGTTGCCAGGCGGACCGAGGTCTAGCGGTAGCATAAGTGTCAAGGAAAAACACCCGCTACTTAGCAGACCGGGAAAGGAAGTCTCCCTTTCCCCAGGGGAGTTTAGAGAAGACTCTACTCCTCCACTGCATGTGGAGGGCCTGACATTAGTCAGACCGGCCCGCAGTTATCCGGAGGCCTAACCGTCTCCCTGTGATGCTGTGCTTCAGTGGTCACGCTCCTAGTCCGCTTTCATGTTCCATCCTGTACACCTGGCTCTGCCTTCTAGATAGCAGTAGTCAATTAGTGAAAGTACTAAAAGTCTCTGATATGCAGAAATAATGGCATAAGCTATCTTTCTCTGTCTCCTCTCTCTCTCTGCCTCAGCTGCCAGGCAGGGAAGGGCCCCCTGTCCAGTGGACACGCAACCCACGTGACCTTACCTATCATTGGAGATGGCTCACTCTTCTTATCCTGCCCCTTTTGCTTTGTATCCAATAAATATCAGTGCAGCCAGACATTCGGGGCCTCTACCAGTCTCTGCAACTTGGTGGTAGTGGTCCCCTGGGCCCAGCTGTCTTTTCTTTTATCTCTTTGTCTTGTGTCTTTATTTCTACAATCTCTTGTCGCCGCACGCGGGGAGAGACCCACCTACCCTGTGGGGCTGGACCCTACACCCCTTGTTTGTGCATCCTCAGAACCCTCATCACTCTCTGAAATGCTCTATTTGTTTGTAATTGAATACTGTTAAATTAATTGCACTGACGTTAATGAACTTGCCTCCACTTTCTTTCTTCTCAATTTGACTCAGTCTGTGGGCTGCCAAGATTTGAGAGAGATGCAGAGGGAGGGAGGGTCAGACAGAGACGACGCTGAGACCACCCGCACCGTGGGCCGCATCCCTCTGGTTGCGCATGGGCTGGTTGAAATCTCTCATATGGCACCCGACACAGGCCCCCAGTCAGGCCAGCTGCAGGAGCCGAAAAGTCTCACCCAGTCTAGCTGTTGATGGTTTTTCAAGAACACATCCACAGGCAGAAGCCCTAGATAGAGCTGATCAGATCGACACAGTGATTAAGCTGAATGTGCCCTTTGAGGTCATTAAACAACGCCTTACTGCTTGCTGGATTCATCCCGCCAGCGGCTGAGTCTTCAACATTGAATTCAACCCTCCCAAAACTGTGGGCATTGATGACCTGACTGGGGACCCTCTCATTCAGCATGAGGATGATAAACCAGAGACGGTTATCAAGAGACTAAAGGCAGCCAGGCGCAGTGGCTCACGCCTGTAATCCCAGCACTTTGGGAGGCCGGGGCGGGCGGATCACAAGGTCAGGAGTTCGAAACCAGCCTGGCCAATATGGTGAAACCCTGTTTCTACTAAAAATACAAAATGTAGCCGGGCATGGTGGCAGGCGCCTGTAGTCTCAGCTACTCAGGAGGCTGAGGCAGGAGAATTGCTTGAACCCTGGAGGTGGAGATTGCAGTGAGCCGAGATGGCACCACTGCACTCCAGCCTGCGTGACAGAGCAAGACTCCACCTCAAAAAAAAAAATAAAAATAATAATAATAGTAAAAAAGAGACTAAAGGCTTATAAAGCCAAACAAAGCCAGTCCCGGAATATTACCAGAAAAAAGGGGGTGTTGGAAACATTCTCCGGAACAGAAACCAACAAGATTTGGCCCTATATATACACTTTCCTACCAACTAAAGTTGCACAAACAAGCCAGAAAACTTCAGTTACTCCATGAGGAGAAATGTGTGTAACTATTAACAGGAAGATGGGCAAACCTCCTAGTCCCTGCATTTAGAAGCACTTTTCCTAAGACTTCCAATATGTATGAATTCTTTGAAAACTATATTACTTTTATTTCTACTGATTTTATTCTGGATACTAAGGATGTGCCAGATGAGTCAGATACTAAGATTCATCCTTTGAAATCATCTAGTGTGTTTTATGCAGTTATCCTCAAAAATATCAGCGATGCCTGAACTTTTAAAACATCTGTTAAAGCAAAATTAAACGAGCATTTTGTAGTAATCTCACTTTTTGTTCAGTTAATAAGTGGTTGATAAAGTTTCCATATTTTTCTGGAAAAGTTAAAAAAAGTTACATGTCATTTGGGGAAAATATGTAATCAGAAATTTTTGCATAGATTCATTCCAAAAAAAAGGCATTTCTAGCCTTTTTGTGGAACATGGTGAGACATTATATAAATTCCAGAAAGAAAACAACTGGATTTACAGATTTATTGTAAGACACAAATTCACTTCTGCCTTTACAGTAAGAAATGTATGTGCTAACCATATATGCTGTATTTATTTTGTTGTTAAGCATACTTTCAGTTTGCTCAGAATTTTCAATTTGCTATAAAAATGTATCAATTAGCATATAGAAAAATATTACTTTAAGATGACTTGTTTCTTTTGAAAATACATATATATTCGGGGTTATGATTTATGTCAGAAATTGACATCATAAGTCCTTGGACAAGCACCAAAGTTGAATGAATTTTCAACAAAATGGAATTAAAGTCTATATGTTTCCCGATGTGACTCAGGTTGATAAATGTGTTTTAGGATCTAGTTGCCGGTTTCTCTTTTCGATCCAAATGTATGATCTACCCTGATAAATAACAAGTGATAGTGCCACCCCCACCACCAAAAACAGAAAAGAAAAAAGAGGAAACCCGCGGCACTGTGTAAATAAAGTAGGCTCACTGTGTCATGAGTAAACAGATGAGGCACGCCTGGGAAATGCTCCCTTGGCATAAATAGCAATCAATCATAATTAGTAAACAGGTGTGCCAATAAAAAGAATTTATGTGACAGGTTAACAAGGACCAGGAAAGTGAGTGAGTTTCCTGAAGGAGTTCTTTGTTCCTGATCAGAGAACTCGATACCTGTTAGCATTCACTGCCGCCTTACTGTAAGGAGAAAGAACTCTATTGGCGTCGTCTAAGCAGCCATTTAAAAATTGGAATCTACAGTGATTCCTGAGTGGGCAGCAAGGGTGGCTGCTGATGTGCTGTGTGGTCTGGGAGAAGTGGAGGAAAAGCCCGATGGCGTCTTTCACGGCGTATTTACTCTTCCTTTACTTGATGCCAAGTCAAATGAAACAAGCGCTCGTACAAGCTGTTATTAATTGCCTTTAAAAATCTGGTCCGTTTTTTTCCAGGTACTTAAAATACCAGTGCCAGTAAGTGGTTCTTACGTATTTTGGGGGGAAATTTTTATTTTTCTTTTCTTCTGATATTTTAAAAATTCATTGATCTTTCAAGATGAGCCAAGGTTTTTTAAAAGAATGACAGTAAACACTTCATTCTTTACAAAACTTTCTATAATGCCTTATTTGAATGTTAATCGTATGTGCTTTCTAAAAATGTTGTGAACTGCCAAACTTATGGATTCTCACTAGGTTATCAGGCATACATTAGTCTTTATCAGAATAAAATGAAATGTCATTACTGTGGCTATTACTTTGTCCTTGGTCCTTCCCAGGGCCTGCTCCGCCCCAGCTTCCTTCCTGCTGCCTGATGTCTCAATGGCTTCTGAATGACTGTGTTCTAATAAATGATCTTAAAACAGAAAAGCAACAACAACAACAAAAAAAAAAAACAAAGTTGGTCTAAAAGTTAAGGCTAAAAGTGTGGTAATAATCAGCACTATTAAAGGGAGTAGGGCAGACAACAGCCATTGCTTCCAAGTTCCCATGGAAGTTCCTAAAGATTCCATTTTGTCTGCCTGGGTAACAATGTTTTTAATTCGTTCTACGACCAAACTGGGCTGATTGACGTAGACATGGCATTCCCCTTTTAGATATAGATACGTTCCTCCTTGTCCAGCATGAGAAGATTTAAGGCCCCTCGGTTTTGCAGGACTACGGCAGCCAGGGAGTCCAGCTGCTGTTGAAGACTCATGAGGCCCTCTGCCGTTTGCTGGAGGGCCATTCAGTCTCCCAAGACAGTTTATGCTGGATTCCCAAGGCTCTGTCTCCCGTAGCTGTCCCTGCTAATCCCAATAGAGAGGATAATACTAAACCCAAGGGAAGAAGGGGTCCTGCTCAGAGGCGGCTCGCGCAATGTTGGTACGTGGGAAAAGGGGGAGACGTAGTAGCCAGTGTGGAGTTAGATGGGGGGAGCTGTAAGCGTGGAGTTAGATGGAGGGAGCTGTAAGCGATGGAGCGCTGTCCCTTCCAGAGTGGAGGGAGTCGTAGATACACTGGAGATCCACAACCCCCCACAACTCCGTGTGGTGGTGAAATTTGTGCTACAAAAGTATTTTTCATTATAGTGGTAAAAGCAGTGGAGGTTCTATAAGAGGCGGTTTTCTATTTTCTGGCCTGTAAGTGAAAGGTTTTGTGCAGCTATGTTGGCAGTGGTCACTGGGCCCATCAGGGGATGGTAGAGTTGGATGGTAGTGTTAACAAGTTCTTTAAATAGGGTTCCCCTCTTAGGGTCCCACCACAAGTGTAGTTCTCTCTCTTTTTTTTTTTTTTTTTTTTTTTGGGATGGAGTGTAGCTCTGTCCCCCAGGCTGGAGTGCAGTGGCACCATCTCAGCTCACTGCAAACTCTGCCTCCTAGGTTCGCCATTCTCTTGCCTCAGCCTCCCAAGTAGCTGGGATTACAGGCACCCACCACCACGCCTGGCTAATTTTTTGTATTTTTAGTAGAGGAGGGGTTTCACTGTGTTAGCCAGGATGGTCTTGATCTCCCGACTTTGTGATCCACCCGCCTTGGCTTCCCAAAGTTCTGGGATTACAGGCGTTAGCCACCGCGCTCGGCCAGGTGTAGTTATCTTTAATAGGAAATGTTGATGGTCCCCAGAGGATATATTGAGCTAGAGTGATTAAAGGCTTCCCATGAGAGGGCAGCCCAGCAGAAACCAGACGTCCTAGTTGTGCTGACAGGAAGTAGAAACCATGCCGGTCAGGGAACAGGATAGAGCGGGAGATTGATTGCATGGTGAGTTGTCCATTTATCAGTATAATTCCTGCAGACATATGGACTAGATAGGTGACCCAGTGACAAAGTTTCAGCTACACTGACTCTCTTGGAGCTTTCTTGCAAAAGTGGTAGAACTGGCATGATTGCTGTAAAGGCAGAAGGGGAAATACTCCAGGTAAAAGATATGCTAAGAAAGCATTTCTCCTTTTGGGACGTTTGAATTACCGTTGATCGTTAAGAGGGGGAACTTAAAGAACCCATGAGCCCACTCAGTAAAATCCCTTTGTATTGACGGTTGGGGCTGCTATCCCTATCCTGCGGGCCAGGGAGTTTGTTCCTGGAGGTGTGCTGGGAGGCCAGAGTCTTCCACGGGCACAGGTCTGGCATATTCCCAGCGTTTGGTAGTCATGGAAAGCCAGCCAGGTTGAGTTATGTTTAATAGACTAACAGTATGGTTCATCGCTTCCCTAGCACACAGACCAGCATCTCTAAAAGCACCTAGAGCACGGCAGGCGAGCACCAAGAAAAGGAAGATGTTACTTGTCTTCCAGATCAGCCCCATCTGGAGTTGTTTTCTTGAATAGAAACTTCAGAGCCTCTGTGAGCTCCCGGGTGTCATGAGCGGCTTCCTCTGGTTTCTGTAAAGGTTAATTGCAAAGTTTAATTCTGGTCATGTGGGCCCAGCTGGTGACTCCCTGTAGCTTTACAGCCATCGGGGGTGGTTTGTAGCACTTGGTAAGGTCCCTTCCATTTAGGAAGAAGTTGATCTGCTGGGGAACCTTCCTTCTAGGTGTTTAATAGGACCCAGTCTCCAGGCAGCATTTTGCTGTTGTGTTTCACTTGCCAGGCGAGGGCAGCCCTGTGTTGCCATATTCCTGGACAGCCAGCCGTACCTGGCCTAGATTTTGAATATATTTTACAATACACTGAGTTTCAGGTTTGATTAACAGGTCTAAGGTGAGGGAGGGTCTCCCATAAGTCATTTCAAAAAGACTAAGTTTCCTTTTCGCTTTGGGGACCGTTTGTATTCTCATGAACGCGATAGATGACAGAGTATACCAAGACCCAGAAGTTTCCTGGCATAATTTTGCCAGGGTTTGCTTTAAAGTGTGACTGGTCCTTTCAATCTTGCCGGAGGATTGCGGCCTCCACGAGGAGCGGAGACGATACTTAATTCCCAAAGCTCGAGCTCCCTGCTGGGTTCTAGCTGCAAGGAGCGGGGGAGGCCAAAACATGCCTTGACCACTTCTGTAGCTTTCTCTGTTCTTGGGGGAGAGCTTCCACCCAACCGGTAAAGGTGTCTACAAAACCAAAAGGTATTTAAAGCCTCGAAAGGAGGGCGTGTGGGTGCGGTCAACCTGCCAGTCCTCAGCAGGAGGGGTTCCTGGGTTCCTCGCTGCTGGACTGGGGTTAGTGAGAGGCCTTTGTCTTTGTTTGCCCCCACGGTTATTTTGGGAGCAAAGTTCATAGGCCCGAGTGACTCTATTGTGGTTGCCAGGCCCTTGCCCATAAACAGATGGTCTACCCAGGTGGTCATGGTGTCCTGCCCCATATGGAGATAATTATGTAAATTTTTTTTTTTTGAGACGGAGTCTCGCTGTGTCCCCCAGGCTGGAGTGCAGTGGTGCGATCTCGGCTCACTGCAAGCTCTGCCTCCCGGGTTCACGCCATTCTCCTGCCTCAGCCTCCCAAGTAGCTGGGACTACAGGCGCCCGCCACCACGCCTGGCTAATTTTTTGTATTTTTAGTAGAGACGGGGTTTCACCGTGTTAGCCAGGATGGTCTCCATCTCCTGACCTCGTGATCTGCCCGCCTCAGCTTCCCAAAGTGCTGGGATTACAGGCTTGGGCCACCACGCCCGGCTTTTTTCTTTTCTTTTCTTTTTTTTTTTTGAGACAGAGTCTCACTCTGTCACCCAGGCTGGAGTGCAGTGGCACGATCTCGGCTCACTGCAACCTCTGCCTCCCGGGTTCAAGTGATTCTCCTGCCTCAGCCTCCCGAGTAGCTGGAATTACAGGTGGGTGCCACCATGCCCGGCTAATTTTTGTATTTTTAGTAGAGACGGGGTTTCTCCATGTAGGCCAGGGTGGTCTAGAACTCCTGACCTCAAGTGATCCACGTGCTTCGGCCTCCCAAAGTGCTGGGATTACAGGTGTGAGCCACTGTGCCCAGCTGGGAATCATGTAAACTTTTAACCATTTTCTACTGGTCTGGCTGAGGAAGCAAGAGCTTTTGACCTATGAGCCACTAACCTTCAGGTGTTAGAGTCCCCTGACTTTCTTTAGCTTATGCTTGTTTTGATGTTTTAATTATTATTAGTTTTGAGTCAGAGTCTTGCTCTGTCACCCAGGCTGGAGTGCAATGGTGCGATCTTGGGTCGCTGCAACCTCTGCCTCCCCAGTTCAAGTGACTCTCCTGCCTCAGCCTCCCGAGTAGCTGGGATTACGGGTGCATGCCATCACGGCCAGCTAATTTTTGTATTTTTAGTAGAGACGGGGTTTCACCATGTTGGCTAGGCTGGTCTCGAACTCCTGACCTCAGATGATCCGCTCGCCTTGGCCTCCTAAAGTGCTGGGATTACAGCCACCACGCTGAGCTGCTAGTTCTTTTGTAGTTAAGATGGATTTACGTCAAGAGAATGGGCACAGGGGAACAAGGCTAGCTGGGCCACTGCTCCCGGAGTTCCCTCTTAGCTTTCCTGTCAGCCCTTGCATTTCCCAATGTCACTGAGGAGTTTCCTCTTTGATGTCCCAGGCAGTGAAGGGCTGCCACTCGCTCAGGCTCCTGCACAGCCTCTAAAAGCCGCAGTATTTCTTTTGCATATGTAATGGGGGATTTCCTTGCATTTAGAAGACCTGTTCTTTCCAAATGTTGTGTGTGCACGAGGGACAAGGGAGGCGCCCTTGGAGTCCGCACACCCGTGAAGCGCCTTTCCCCGACCCCGAGCCGGGCCCTGGTCAGGGGACTCACTCTGCTTTTTGCGCCGAGGTATTAGGTGGCAGTGTGGGCATCTGTTGTTTGGTGTAGACTAACCACAGCATGTCCTGCCCCTCTTTTTTTATTTTCCATGCAACTACTTCCATCCGTGAGCCATTCAGCACCAGGATTCTAGAGGGTGCACCCCTGAGGTCTATTCTACTGTGGAAGGCCTGGCCCATGTTGCAACCCTGGAACGAGTTAGGTTCTCCCAGGAACAGGCTGGCATGAGAGAAGCTGGATTAAGGGTACCACAGGTTTTTATAGTAACCTTGAGGGAGTCCAGGAGGGCGCCTGATCACGGCAAGTCTTCCTCCCAAGAGCCAACATGGCCCTTTATTTCTAAAACTCCCTGCACCTGGTGGGGAGTGAGGACCTCGAAGGTGTGTCTGAAAGTCAGGTTTTGGGGCCGGGCAAGCTGGCTCACTCCTGTAATCCCAGCACTTTAGGAGGCTGAGACGGGTGGGTCACTTTAGGTCAGGAGTTTGTGACCACCTTGGCCAGCATGGTGAAACCCCGCGTCTACTAAAAATACAAAAATTAGCCAGACGTGATGGTGCATGCCTGTAATTCCAGCTACTCGGGAGGCTGAGGCAGGAGAATCGCTTTAACCCGGGAGGCAAAGGTTGCAGTGAGTCGAGATCACACCACTGCACTCCAGCTTGGTGACAGAGCAAGACTCCGTCTCAAAAAAAAAAAAAAAAAAAAAAAGTCAGGTTTTGGGCTTCTTCTACTAGAATGGCGATGGCTGCAACTGCCCTAAGGCAGCCAGGCCACCTGCAGGGCGCAGAGTCCAGCTGCTTTGGAAAGGAGCCAACCAGATGAGACGTTTCTCCCACAACCGGACCAGGCGTTTCTCCCACAACTGGACGAGGTGTTTCTCCCACAACCAGACAGGGTGTTTCTCCCAGTTTCGGGAGGACTCCTAGGGCTACTCTCCATTTCTCTGCTACAGAAGATGAGTTTTTGTTTTTTTTGCTTCCATTGGATTAGATTATTTATAGATGTGAGTCTATAAATTAGATCATTTATGGGACATGTGTCATAATGGTCCCCTCTCCATTTGGGACCTCCCATAAGGGGAGCAGTTTCTCTGGCCCTGGATGGTGTGAAGTCCCAGTGCGAGCAGCTCCAGCTGGGCAAGTCCCTATTGTACCTGCAAAGGAGGAGGAGCATAAGGAGGGGGTGAAATGGGATTAGATTCCACAGGAGACTCTGATAGTGCGGGGGATGCTGGGGAGTCGGAAGGAGGTGTGGAGCCCTGAGAACCCCTATCTGGACTTGGAGTTGGGCCATGGGGCCTGGAGTCCCTTCCCTTTAATAAAAGAGGGTCTTCGCATGGGTCTGGGGGGCTTTCTGGCTTACTGGATTTTAGCCTGCAGGTGCTGCATAAAGCCGGGTTCCGTTGTAAGGCCATAAATACCTACTCATGGGTACTTCTGACCATTGTCCCTGATTCCTCTGGAAAGACGGAGCTGCGGGATGGCGATGAAGCTCACAGTTCCACTCTCTGACCACTTTTCATTGTCAGCTAACTTGTACCCAGGACAAACAGTGTAACAAAAGATGTCTTTTCCGTTTTAGCTCACCTAGCCGAAAGGTGTTCCAATTTTTACAGATACATCCCAGGGGTGTTCAGTGAGAGTAGAGAAGGTGGTTCCCGTGGTGCCGAGAGAATCCTGCAATGACAAAAACAGATACCAAAGTCCAGGAGGTCACAGGTGTCCCCGAGCCAAGCTGGACCATGACAGGGTGTGGGACATCCCCTTGAACCCCCATGAAATCAGGGCGCTAGGAGGTCACGGGCATTTGGCATACACCGTCCTGGGTCTCACGGGCGCTGGAAGTCTCCAGGCCCGACTGAGGTGGCCCCCGCTGCTGGCTGGGGGGCCCAACGTCTCATCAGCGAGCCTTTCCCTGCCTCACTGGTTGGCCATTGGTGATGCCCGATTACAGTGCCTGGAATACCCGATGCAGTCCCCACAGCCTGGCAGATACATGACTGAGCATCTTTTGTTCAGCAAAGAACGCCAGTTGAAGGACCATCTGAAGGAGGTGGAAAATGCATAAGGTCTGGAGGGACAGCGCACTCTTAATGTGTCCCTCAAAACAGATTTCGGCCAGGCACGGTGGCTCACACCTGTAATCCCAACACTTAGGGAGGCCAAGGTGGATGGATCACTTGAGGTCAGCAGTTCGAGACCAGCCTGGCCAACATGGTGAAACCCCCATCTCTACTAAAAGTACAAAAAATTAGCCGGGCGTGGTGGCAGACCCCTGTAGTCCCAGCAACCCAGGAGGCTGAGGCGGGAGAATCGCTTGAACCAGGAGGTGGAGGTTGCAGTGAGCTGAGGTGGTGTCATGGCACTCCAGCCTGGGCAAAAGAGACTCTGTCTCAAAAAAAAAAAAAAAAAAAAGAAAATTTTGTAAAACAGAAAACCCGATCAGACAATAAATCACAATGGCCACGAGGTGGCGGCCGAGTGCTACCAGAGGGACAGCAAACGGGCTGTGTCTGAAACGAGGCCAGAAAGGCGTGAAACCAAGCAGCGAAACAGCCCAAATACTGAATGTTGAGAGCAACCGATGTGGTTGGATAATGATGAGTGGTGCAGAGGCAGCAGCCAGAGGAGAGCAGCACATATATCCACAGAAACGGTCCAGGCAACTTAGAAACCTTCCCCGGAGCTTGACTGAAACAGCCCTGGGCAAACCAGCGGCAGCCAACCAGGCAGCCTGGCACTGCCACGGTACCCGCTGCGGGGAAGGGAAACTGGAGTGAATGACGCAGACGAACCTCCATCCGAGTCACAGCACCAGAAACGTTGGCGGCTGCTGTGAGGCCTCCATTCTTGTCTTCTTAGTTTAAAAGAATTTAAACAAGAGACACACAGCCAAGGAGATGCAGCACAGAGCAATGTATTGCAAAGGAGAAAGAACATTTTGAAAGTTTGATGCAGAAGAGATAGGACGCCCTGAGAGAGAGGATTCAGGGCCGGCTGCTTGTAAGGGCGAGACAGCAGAGACTGGCACCAGGGAGGCTCCTCCATGGGAGTCTTCCATGATTACTCACAGCGGGTGGGCAGAGGTGTTGCTAGGAAGCATGTTCTGGGGGGGTCCTCTGGGTGCACACGTGCAGTAGCTGCACCTGCTTGCTCATACGTCGCATGTGTCATTAGCATCTTAAATCTCCACCAGGGGTGTGTTTTCTATTATAATGAGCAAAGGGTCAGTCTGAGGACAGGGAAAATCAAATATGCCTGCTCTGTAGTTGGGAGGGGGGATTTCTCTCCTGGAGCTAGCTTTGCTTGGATGAGCTGGACCACAGCGCAAATGCAAAGGCTTACTGTGTTGACTGTACAGTGGCCACGGTGGCTGCATCCCAAGGATATGGTCACTTCCTTGACTACCTATCCTGGCTCATGAGCAGAAGTCAAGCCCCTGGGCCAGGCGCCGTGCCTCTCATGCCTGTAATCCCAGCACTTTGGGAGGCCGAGGCAGGCAGATCACCTGAGCTCAGGAGTTTGAGACTGGCCAACATGGTAAAACCCCGTCTCTACTAAAAATACAAAAGAAAAAAAAAAGCCGGGCGTGGTGGCAGGCGCCTGTAATCCCAGCTACTCCGGAGGCTGAGGCAGGAGAATCACTTGAACCCGGGAGGCAGAGGTTGCAGTGAGCTGAGATGGCACCATTGCACTCCAGCCTGGGTAACAGAGCAAGACTCCATCTTAAAAAAAAAAAATCAAGCCCCTACCATAATGCTAACCTTGTGGTCTTTCGTTAGTTTTACAAAGGCGGCTTTGGTCTCAAGGAGTGGAGTAGTTTTGGGAAGACACTATTATCATCCTTACTTTATTTTTTATTTGTATTCATTTATTTTTGTTTTGAGATGGAGTTTCGCTCTTGTCACCCAGGCTGGAGTACAATGGCACAATAACGGCTCACTGCAACCTCCACATCTCGGGTTAAAGTGATTCTCCTGCCTCAGCCTCCTGAGTAGCTGGGATTACAGGTGCCCGCCACCACGCCAGCTAATTTTTATTTTTTTTCAGTAGAGACAGGGTTTCGTCATGTTGACCAGGCCGATCTCGAACTCCTGACCTCAGGTGATTCACCTGCCTCGGTCTCCCAAAGGTATTAGAGGTGTAAGCCACCATGCCTGGCCCATCCTTACTCTAAACTATGAACTAAATTCCTCCCATAGTTAGCTTGGCCTATGCCACCTGAGCAAAGGCAAGTTAGCTTGTGAGATTAGAAAGCAAGATGGAGTCAGTTATGTTAGATTCCTCTCATTTTTTTTTTTTTTTTTTGAGCTGGAGTCTCACTCTGTCACCCAAGCTGGAGTGTAGTGGCGCAATCTCATCTCACTGCAAGCTCTGCCTCCCGGGTTCATGCCATTCTCCTGCCTTAGCCTCCCAAGTAGCTGGGACTACAGGCACCTGCCACCACGCCCTGCTAATTTTTTTGTAGTTTTAGTAAAGATGGGGTTTCACTATGTTAGGCAGGATGGTCTCGATCTCCTGACCTTGTGATCCGCCCACTTCAGCCTCCCAAAGTGCTGGGATCACAGGCGTGAGCCACCGTGCCTGGCCTCCTCTCATTGTTATAATCTTGCAAAAGTGGTTTCACTCCTGGCCTCAAGCTATCTTCCTGCCTTGGCCTCCCAAAGTGATGAGATTACAGATGTGAGCCACCAGGCCCACCTGCTGCCAATTCTAGTATAAAGAGTAAATTGGGCTGGGCGTGGTAGCTGACACTTGTAATCGTAGCACTTTGGGAGGCCAAGGTGAGAGGATCACTTGAGGTCAGGAGTTCGAGACCAGCCTGGCCAACATGGTGAAACCCCATCTCTACTAATATACAAAAATTAACTGGGTGTGGTGGTGGGCACCTGTAGTCACAGCTACTCGGGAGGCTGAGGCAGGAGAATTGCTTGAACCTGGGAAGCAGAGGTTGCAGTGAGCCAAGACTGTGCCACTGTACTCCAGCTTGGGTAACAGTGAGACTCCAGCTCAAAAGAAAAAAAAAAATGAGTAAATTGGCCTGGAGTCACCTATTGCTCCAGTAGCAAGTTCCTGTGAAATGGAAATTCAGGAACCCACCCTTGTTCTGGGCCAGTCAGGAAGAGCCTGAGGGGAGGAGCCGCTGAGGGCAGGGCCTCTCCCTGCCCCACCTTCCTCTCTCTGGCAAGCCTGCAGGGCAAGTGGCTGAGAATCAGCCAGAGGGAGGAAAGTGAGGAGGGGTGGACCAGGCCTGGGAGGGTCCTGGGTGGGGGCGCTAAGGAGAGGAGGTGCAGTACAGCCATGGGGCTCTGGGTGAGAATTGCAGGGAAGGATGGGAGGGAGGAATGGGGACTGGGGTGGGGGCGTGAGGCAGACAGTTCTCCTTTGGGTGACTGTGCTGAGGACAGGGTGGGAGATGGAGAGCCGGATGTTCTGGCTTTGCTGCTGTGCAGGACTCATTCGATCCCCAGGAGGGTGAGGAGTCCGAGGGCTGCTCTGATTCGCTGAAGTTTGTCTGTGCACTAGCACCCTGGAATGAGCAGTCTCCAGGCCATGAAGACCTTGTCCCTGGTCCTGCTGGTGGCCCTGCTGAGCATGGAGAGAGGTGAGAAGCAGAGGGGCCTTTAGAGGACTTTGTTCCAGCGCACTCCTGCTGCCCCGTGTGTGCTGGAACTAGTTGCAGGTGGGTGTGCTCGGAAGGCGTGCCTGCTGGGGGTGGCGGGCTTCGGTGTTCCGGTGGCAGAGGTGACTGGTGTGTTTGGTGCCTGCTCTGTGCTTGTTACCGCGCGTGCTGGCTGTGCTCACTTCCGAGGACTCACTGAGTCCTGGGCACGTGTATGCCTTTGGCATTGGGCAGTGGCTGCTGGTGCCTCTGGACAAAGAGGTGGTGTTGGAGGGTTGCAGGCCACCAGTTGCAGGCTGCCAGTTGCAGGCAGGTGTGTGGGGCTATTGCAAAGGTCCAGGTGGCAGGTTGGGACAAGGGTGGTGGTGAGAGTGGGTGCCCTTGTGGGCATGGGACTCTCACCAGGGCATTGGTGTATGTCCTGGCATGTGCTGCAGTCACCCACCTTGCCCTCTCTCCCAGCTCAGGGTCTGCGCTGCTACAGATGCTTGGCGGTCTTGGAAGGGGCCTCCTGCAGCGTGGTCTCGTGCCCCTTCCTGGATGGGGTCTGTGTCTCCCAGAAAGTGAGCGTCTTTGGCAGTGAGTCCCTGGGGTGCCAGGGCAGAGGGCAGGTTCTGGGGAGGGAGGGGCACTTCTTAGATAGCTGCATGATGGACCAAGGTCCCCCTACAAGCCCTCAGCACTTTGGGGGCCGGTCTGTGGCTCCTGAGGTGGGGGGTGGGGTGGGGTGGGCATGGCGGGCAGGACCTGTGCAGGGAAGGGTGGAAGAGCGGCAGGGCTGAGGAGCCTGGGCCACCAAACTGAGCCTAAGGGTTGTGGGTCTGCAGGGACAGGGGATGTTCCGGGTTCTAGAGCAGGGGGCGCCCACAGGGCCCTCATTACTGTGGAAACCATCCCAGCCCCTCCCAGTGCCCAGCAGCAGGGCCCACACCAACTTCCCAGTAGCCTCCCAACGCCAGCTGCTGTAGCTACTCTGGGGACCCCAGTGACCTCTGCCCCTTGTCCCCACTTCATGCCGCGGGTCTCACCAGCTCCATGCAGGAGAGGCGCAGGCTGTGAGCATTCAGTGAGTTACCTGCCTGGAAGAACCTGGAGACAGTTAGCTTCAAGCTAAAGGAATGACTCTGGAATGGTGGGATATCAGCCAGGCCATGGGAGGACTGGGGAGGGGCTGCAGCCTGCCCAGGCCCTCAGCACCCTCAGCACCCTCAGCACCCTCAGCTCTCGGAGCTGCATCTGTCCCCAGGCCACACCCTTCAGTGAGGTGAGGCAGGAAAAGGCCTGCCCTGGCCGGGCACGGTGGCTCATGACTGTAGTCCCAGCACTTTGGGAGGCCAAGGCGGGGGGATCACCTGAGGTCGGGAGTTGGAGACCAGCCTGACCAACATGGAGAAACCCTGTATCTATTAAAAATACAAAATTAGCCGGGCCTGGTGGGGCATGCCTGTAATCCCAGCTACTGGGGAGGCTGAGGCAGGAGAATCGCTTGAACCCAGGAGGTGGAGGTTGTGGTGAGCAGAGATCGCCCCATTGCACTCCAGCCTGGGCCACAAGAGCAAAACTCCATCTCAAAAAGATATTTAAAAAAAAAAAAGCCAGCCTGGAGCCCGCAGCTGTTTCCCAAAAGCAGCACCCAGCTCCCCTCCACAGCCCACCCAGCTCCCGCTTCGGGGGTCCCAAGGCCGGGGCAGGGTGAGGGCTGCCTGGGGAAAGAACTCAAACCCTGCTGCCCTTTCTGCCACAACCCTGGTTCCCTGGGTGGCCTCAGCGTCCCCTAAGTGAAAGGGCTCCGATGGCCTTGGTCCTGATGGCTTTGATGTTCAGGCTCCCAGCCAGCAGATGTTGGGGTGCGGAGCCTCCCTGCAGAAAGCCCCTGAGGCCCCGGGGCAGGGCCCTGCTCATCCCCCACCCCGCTCTCTCGCAGGTAAAGTGAGAGGGGAGAACAAGCTCTCCCTCCTCTCCTGCCAGAAGGACGTCGGATTCCCCCTGCTGAAACTTACAAGTGCCGTTGTGGACTCCCAGATCTCTTGCTGCAAGGGAGACCTCTGCAATGCGGTGGTCCTGGCAGCCAGCAGCCCCTGGGCCCTGTGCGTACAGCTCCTGCTCAGCCTGGGGTCAGTCTTCCTCTGGGCCCTGCTGTGAGGGCCTTTCCCGCCCTCTCCCCCGCAGGCCTACCCTCTGTCCCTGTGCGTCACCAGCTGCTTGGTTTTGAAGAGCTGCCTCACTGAATTGCAGGAATTCTGGTGTGGCTTTTCAGCCATGAGATCAGGGGAAGGATGTGGCCAGGGCAGAGGTCGGGGCTTCCCTGTCAGGGAACATATCCCTGCTTAAACTCCTTGTCCTCTGGGCCCAGGCCCTCCAGCCCATGCCCCCCAACAACACCACTTTTTTCAGAGCTGGGCCTCAGAGACCAGGCCCCACCACTGGCTGCTTGGGACCTAGGGTCATAGAGAAACCGTGGCCCAGGGCGGGAGTCCCCAGCTCCATCCAGCTTGCCACTAACTTGCCGAGGAGCCAGGGCCAACCCCTCAGCTCTCTGGGCTACCTGAATCCAAGCAAGGAGGGAACGTGGTCCCAGGGGGCCCTGCTGGCCTCCCACACAGGATGAGGGCCTCCCTCTCAAGGTCAACAAACAGCCCTTTGCTGACCCACTCAGCGTCAGCACTCGGCTTCTTCCTCACCATTCCTGAGGCCGCCCACCTGCCACTCTGACCTCAGGCCTCTGCAACATCCTGCTGGCACCATGGCCTTGGGGAGGTGCTCCTGGGGCACGGGTGCCCCCCCAGGGACCAGAACCCACAGAGTGCCAGGCTCATGGCTCTTCTGGCAGAACTCTTGCCATGTGGCTCCAGGGAACATCTGAGTAGGGTTGTCAGAGAGCCTCTGGATGGTCACCAAGAGGCAGAGCTCCTGCGGCCACCAGCCATCCTGTGGTGTGGGCCAGGCCTGTCATTTCTGTGCCCTGGCTAGGGCTCCCATGATGCCCCGTGTCAGGGGTTAGACTGGTCTCCCCTGGTGGTGGGAGAAAGGGGCTCCTTCAGGACTGCACTCTGGACAGAAAGTCAGGGCTGGGCTCAGAATGGTCTGGGTGGACGGTCATCTCAGCCTGGAGTCAGGGCTGGGCTGAGAACGCCCTGGGTGGACGGTCGTCTCAGCCTGGAGTCAGGGCTGGGCTGAGAACGCCCTGGGTGGACGGCCGTCTCAGCCTGGAGTCAGGGCTGGGCTGAGAACGCCCTGGGTGGACGGCCGTCTCAGCCTGGAGTCAGGGCTGGGCTGAGAACGCCCTGGGTGGACGGCCGTCTCAGCCTGGAGTCAGGGCTGGGCTGAGAACGCCCTGGGTGGACGGCCGTCTCAGCCTGGAGTCAGGGCTGGGCTGAGAACGCCCTGGGTGGACGGCCGTCTCAGCCTGGAGTCAGGGCTGGGCTCAGAACAGTCTGGGTGGACGGCTATTGTCAGGGACCCCAAACAGAGGGACCGGCTGAAGCCATGGAAGAAGAACATAAATTGTGAAGATTTCATGGACATTTATTAGTTCCCCAAATTAATACTTTTATAATTTCTTATGCCTGTCTTTACTGCAATCTCTGAACATAAATTGTGAAGATTTCATGGACACTTATCACTTCCCCAATCAATACCCTTGTGATTTCCTATGCCTGTCTTTAATCTTTTAATCCCATCATCTTCGTAAGCTGAGGAGGATGTATATTGCCTCAGGACCCTGTGATGATTGTGTTAACTGCACAAATTGTTTGCAGAGCATGTGTGTTTGAACAATATGAAATCTGGGTACCTTGAAAAAAGAACAGGGTAACAGCAACGTTCAGGGAACAAGAGAGATCACCTTAAACTCTGGTTGCCTGTGAGCCAGGTGAAACAGAGCCATATTTCTCTTCTTTCAAAAGCAAATAGGAGAAATATCGCTGAATTCTTTTTCTCAGCAAGGAACATCCCTGAGAAAGAGAATGTATCCCTAAGGGGAGGCCTCTGAAATGTCTGCTTTGGGGACGGCTGCCTTTTACAGTTGTAGATAAGGGATGAAATAAGCCCCAGTCTCCCGCAGTGCTCCCAGGCTTATTAGGATGAGGAAATTCCCGCCTAATAAATTTTGGTCAGACTGGTTGTCTGCTCTCAAACCCTGTCTCCTGATAAGATGTTATCAATGACAATGTGTGCCCAAAACTTCATTAGCAATTTTAATTTCGCCCCGGTCCCGTGGTCCTGTGATCTCGCCCTGCCTCCGTTTGCCTTGTGATATCTTATTACCTTGTGAAGCATGTGATCTCTGTGACCCACATCCTATTTGTACACTCCCTCCCCTTCTGAAAATCACTAATAAAAATTTGCTGGTTTTACGGCTCAGGGGGCATCACGGAACCTGCCGACATGTGATGTCTCCCCCGGACGCCCAGCTTTGAAATTTCTCTCTTTTGTACTCTGTCCCTTTATTTCTCAGACTGGCCGACACTTAGGGAAAATAGAAAAGAACCTACATGAAATATCGGGGGTGAATTTCCCCCGATAGATGACCATCTCAGCCTGGGGTCAGGGCAGGGCTCAGAATGGTCTGGGTGGACGGCCGTCTCAGCCTGGAGTCAGGGCAGGGCTCAAGGTCTGGGTGAATGGCCATCTCAGCCTGGAGTCAGGGCTGGGCTCAGACGACCAGCAGTCTTTGACCTGCCATGCCGGGAGCCACATCTCGTGACCAGGTCCTGGCCTTCCACGCTGGCCAGACGCCTGCATCCAAGACGTCCTGGTCCCTCTGACTGCACAGTGTGACAGCCACCACCCAGCCATGCCCTGTACTCCTGGATGTGATTTGCTAATTAGGGTCAATGGGGTAAGATGCCCAATTAAATATGAATTTCAGATAAACAATTTTTAGCATAAGTATGTCCCAAACATTGGTAAAAATGACTATTTGTTGTTTATCTGAGATTCAGATCAAACTGGGCATCTTGGACATTTTATTTGCTCAACTAGAAATTCATGAGTGCCTAAGGAGCTCAAGGGACATTCCAGACCCCCCAAATCTGTGTCGGACACAGGGGCAGTCACAATGGGGTGCAGTGGTTGTACCTGGTGACTCAGGACATTCGTCTACCTCCTCATGTCCCCCCTGCCTCTAGCACCACAGTGTCATGCCCTACCCTCCAGGGGGCCCAGAAAGCAGTGCTTTTGCCCAGGGCCATTGTCCCCTAGATAGAGGGTTCAGCCCAAGGAGGGCAGCCCTGATTCCCAAGCCTCCTGCAGCACTGACTCTCCACTGCAGCAGGCCTGGGGTTTCTGGCCATGGCTCGCCTTTGGCTCACCTCTCCAGAAGGTCTCTGGAAGCTTCTTCCCCACAGGGTCCTCCCTTCCACTGTAACCTTCCCTGGTTCTGGGAAACAAACTTGAGAGGCCCAGGCGCACCCCACCTCTTCTCTTTAGGTCTCCACAGCTTTTCCTCTGCCTCGTCCCCAAGGGGATCACTCTGGCCTTTCCCCTCTCCAGTGACCCTCTCCACACCCTCCCGGCTTCCCCCTTCCTCTGAGCACCCCAGATGCCAAAGGACAAGGTGAGGGAGCCTTTGGAGAAATGTTGCCTGACGTCACTGGTCCCCCACGCTCGGGGGACCCACACGGCCCGCCCTGCAGGCAGCCCCCTCCCCGCAGGCAGCCCCCTCCCCGCAGGCCGCCCCCTCCCCACCTCACCTCACAGCTGCAGGGGTCGGGGCTCGGAAGTGCTGGGGGCAGTTCAGGTTGAAGGCTGGGCAGCGTGCACTTCTCCCCCAGCCTCCTGGGGCCCGGGCATCACCGGAAGCGGAGTTTGTTCCCACTTTGTATCAGTCGCAAAGAAAGAGCACCCAATTGGACAAAAGGCAAGCAGGCTGCGTTCCTGGCCCGGAGTGGAGAAGAGTGAGCCCCTGCCCTGTCAGGGAAGCTGAGGCTGGGGGTTGTGAGGAGTCCCGTGCCGGGAGGAGGCTGCAGGAGCGCCTCAATGCACCTCTTGATACCACGCATGCTTAGCAAGGCCTGGGGACTGTCCTCTCGGGCAGGACTTCCGCCTTGTAATGACATGTCGCTGATTTAAAGGGAACTGGGGGTCACCAGCTCTGGTTTGTGCAAGTCTGGTGCGTTCTTATCTCCCTTGTATTTGGCAGGGGATCCTAAACCTCTCCTGGTATGTTGAGACATCTGGAGCTCATTAAGCCTCGGCGCCTGTAGATAAAGAGATTAAAGGAAAAAAGAAAAGAAATCCCGCCCTGGGGCAGCTGGGGTAGGATTAGCCTGGAGGCCACGCCTCTGCAGGGTCTCCCATAGGCTGGGCCAGCCTCTGCCCTCCCTGCTTCCAGAACCCCGGACGCTGATGGCCTGTGGCGGCCACTCTCCGCCCACCCCGGAGCCCAGCCTAGCGGGGAGAAGGCCGCCGGCCCGTTCGAATGTCCCTCTGCTTCCAGGGTCAGCCTGCACGCCACTCTCACAGAGGCCAGACGGGCGGTGGGGCGGGGACTCAGTTCATCCTCTGCCTGAGGAGCAGGTCTCGGGTGCGACTGAGCTTTTCACCCTTTGAGAGGAGTCAGGGACACGCAGCGTCTCCAGCAAGCTGGTGGCAGAAACTGATGGAGCATCCTAATCACAAAATAGGAAGAGAGTTTGCAAAATAGGAGCATTTACCAGAAGCCTCTCTCTCTCCCTCCCTCCCTCCCTCCCTCTCTCTCTCTCTCCCTCTCTCTCTCTCTCTCTCTCTCTCTCTCTCTCTCTCTCTCTCTCTCTCTCTCTCTCTCTCTCTCTCTCTCTCTCTCTCCCTCCCTCCCTCTCTCCCTCTCTCTCTCCCTCCCTCCCTCTCTCTCTCCCTCCCTCCCTCTCTCCCTCCCTCCCTCTCTCTCTCTCTGTGTGTCTCTCAAGTAGAAGTGGGGTCTCTATGTTGCCCAGGCTGCTCTCGAACTCCGAGGCTCAAGCGATCCTCCTGCCTCAGCCTCCCAAAGTGCTGCGATTACAGGTGTGAACTACTGGGCCCAGCCCCAGGCCCTCTTACAGGAGTGGGCTGCCTAGAAACATTCCAGTGCCATATCCCACTCCACTCCGGGTGCAGGGACAGGACCCCTGCCACCCCCAACCCAGGCCCAAAAGGAGGGGCCAGGAGGGGAGGGGCCACCAAGGCAGGTGAGCTGCTTAAGAGGAGCGAGGGCTGTGGACAGTCCTGCGGACTGCAGGAGGGGCCAGCAGGATCAATATCCAGCTTCTCTCTCCTGCTGGGCTCCTGCTGGGGCTCCCTGTTGGTCACCCCAAAACCTACTGTCTCTCATCGCTGCCGGGGCTGGCCAGGCTCAGCTGCTGGTTCTGCCTTGGGGCACCTCCTAGGTGGAGTCAGGGTGGCTGAAGGCTTCCCCACTCATGCGTCCACTGTCTGGACATCCTGCCCCTGCCCGACCTCCAGGAGTTGCAGTGTGTGAAGGCCACACCACAGCCCCTCTCTGCTGCCTCCCTCATGTCTCCTCCAGAATGATGCTCTTAACCCCCTCATTAGAGGCCCCCATCCTTCCCAACTGTACCTCTTGACACCCTGAGTACAGTTCAAGAGACCCTGAAGAAACTCAGAAAAGTGACAACTGGAGGCTCTGGGAGAGAAGAGTGAAGTCACTCACATTTGTTTTTATTTACTTATTTTTTTTTTAGAGATGAGGTCTTGCTTTGTTGGCCAAGCTGGTCTCTTGAACTCCTGGCCTCAAATGATCCTCCCATCTTGGTCTCCCAAAGTGTTGAGATTACAGGTGTGAGCCATTCTCTCCGGCTTACTCTGCGTTTTACAGGATGGGATGTGTTGATGAAAGAAAGCCAAACTCTAAAATATTTGAAGAGGTTTATTCTGAGCCAAATGTGAGGACCATGACCTCACATGACAGAGACTCAGGAGGTTCGGGGAACATGTGCCCAAGGTGGCCGGGGTACAGCTCGATTTTATACCCTTTAGGGAGAAAGAAGTTACAGGATGAGATGGTTTGGATTTGTGTCCCCGCCCAGATCTCATGTGGAATTGGCGGAGGGGCCACGTGGGAGGTGATTGGATCGTGGGGTCAGACCTCCCCCTTGCTGTTCTGGTGATAGTGAGTGAGTTCTCAGGAGATCTGATGGTTTGAAAGTGTGACGTGTCCCCCTTCGCTATTTCTCCCTTGGGCTCAAGGGATCCACCTGCCTCGGCTTCCCAAAGTGTTGGGATTACAGGTGTGAGCCACTGCGCCCGGCTGAAGACTCTGTTGATCCTGATTTTTTCCCCATTGCTATTATGGCTGTTTTTCTCCTCTTCTTTTCTTGACTGGTCTCCCACAAGAATTATCCACATTTTTAAGGCTGGGCGTGGTGGCTCACACCTGTAATTCCAGCACTTTGGGAGGTTGAGGCAGGTGGATAATTTTAGGTCAGGAGTTTGAGACCAGCCTGGCCAACATGGTGAAACCTCATCTCTACAAAAAATAACAAATATTAGCCGGGCATGGTGCACAAGCCTGTAATCCCAGCTACTTGGGAGGCTGAAACACAAGAATTGCTTGAACCTGGGAGGCGGAGGTTGCAGTCAGCTGAGATTGCACCACTGCACTCCAGCCCTGGCAACAGAGTGAGACCCTGTCTCAAAAAAAAAAAAAAAAAAAAAAAAAAGCAAGAGTTATCAAAGTTTTTAGTTTATCCAAAGAAATAACTAACTTGTGTATCCTAATATGTACATAATTTCCATATTATTAATTTCTGATGTCACTTTTATTCGTTTCTTTCTTCCGTTTTTTTGGATTCCATTTGCTGTTCTTCCTGTAATTTCTTGTGATGAATGCTTCATTCATTAATGTTGAATCTTTTTTTTTTTTTGAGATGGAGTCTCTCTCTTGTCACCCAGGCTGGAGTGCAATGGCGCGATCTCGGCTCACTGCAACCTCCCGGGTTCCAGCTGCCCTCCCGTCCAGCTGCCCTCCCGGGTTCCAGCGATTCTCCTGTCTCAGCCTCCCAAGTAGCCGGGATCACAGGTGTGTGCCACTAGGCCCAGCTAATTTTTGTATTTTTAGTAGAGACAGGGTTTCACCCTGTTGGCCAGGCTGGTCTCCAACTCCTGACCTCCGGCCTTGGCCTCCCAAAGTGCTGGCATTACAGGCATGAGCCACCGTGCCTAGCCTGAATGTGTTTTTAATGTATGAAGGTAAGGGCCAGTGGGAAATCTTCCCTTTTAACCCCTGACATTTCCATGAAAACGCGACTCAGAAAAGGCAGATTAACTGGAGAAAAGGCGCAGAGATGTATTAATGTGTCCACAGGGGAAAACGCAGAGCGATATCCCGCACCCTGCAGCGGGGTTCAGACGCTTAGGGACCATCCTGGCCACACAGGCCATGAGGGGAGAAGAGGATTCTGAGGGCAGTGGAGCAGGGAGCGGAGATTAACTTGTAGATAGTTCTCTTTGGAATGTGAATGGGCCTGAGGGACAGACATTATTATCTTGTGAAAGGGTTTGTTCAGGTATGGTGACATTCTTTGTCTGGGGGTAGGGGGAAGAAAACACAATTGTTCTTGGTGAGTCCAGACTTTAGGCAGACAAAGGAACTTCAGAGAACTCCATCCTAACTTTGGGAGAGTCTGTGGGTTGTGGGGGAGGACAGAAAGTTCTTGAAGTTTCTTCAGCATGTCAAAGTGCCATATTTTGGGGTATTGGTTTCTGAGACCTAACAGTGGATACAGTTCTCTCAAAGCATGCAGTTATGGCTGGGCGTGGTGGCTCATGCCTGCAATCCCAGCACTTTGGGAGGCTGAGGAGGGCGGATCACCTGAGGTCAGGAGTTCGAGACCAACCATGGCCAACATGGTGAAACCCCGTCTCTACTAAATATACAAAAATTAGCCAGGTGTGGTAGTGCATGCCTGTTGTCCCAGCTACTTGGGAGGCTGAGACAGGAGAATCGCTGGAACCTGAAGGTAGAGGTTGCAGAGCCGAGATGGTGCCACTGCACTCTAGCCTGGACAACAAGAGCAAAACTCCGTCTCAAAAAAAAAATTAAAAACTAGCAAGATGTGGTGGTGCGTGCCTGTGGTCTCAGCTACTTAGGAGGTTGAGGCGGGAGGATCACTTGAGCCCAGGAGGTCAGGGCTGCAGTGAGCTTTGATTGGACCCACTGCATTCCTGTTGCATTCGGCAACAGAGCGAAATCCTATTTTCCTTTTGATTTCTTCTGTGACATATACGTTATTTATAACTATACTTGTTCATTTCCAAACAGAGGAGCATTTTCTTGTTTTGGGTAATAATTTCTAGTCTAATTTAACTGTAATTAGAGAAGCCACTCTGTATGATTTCAATTAATTTGTGGAGACTTTTTCATGGCTCATTATGTGATCCATAGTTGTAGATGTTTGTGTGTACTTGAAAAGTGTGTGTGTTCTGGAATTGCTGTGATCAGTTTTCTATGTCGGTTACCTTTCTTTTTTTAATTTTAAAATTTGTTTTATTTTTAAAAATTTTTAAATTGAAAAATTTTTTTTTTTTTGGCTTTGAGACGGGGTCTTGCTCTGTTGCCTAGGCTGGAGAGCAGTGGCGCGATCTCGGCTCACTGCAGCCTCTGCCTCCCGGGTTCAAGCAATTCTCCCACCTCAGCCTCCTGAGTAGCTGGGATTACAGGGGTGCGCCACCACACCCGGCTAATTTTTGTATTTTTAGTAGAGATGGGGTTTCACCATGTTGGCCAGGCTGGTCTCAAACTCCTGATCTCAGGTGATCCATCCACCTTGGCCTCCCTAAGTGCTGGGATTACAGGCGTGAGCCACTGCGCCCGGCTTTAAAATTTGCTCTAAAGAGACAGGGTTGCTGAGTGCAGTGGCTCATGCCTTTAATCCCAGCACTTTGGGAGGCCGAGGTGGGTGGATCACGAGGTCAAGAGATTGAGACCAGTCTGGCCAATATGGTGAAACCCCCATCTCTACTAAAAATGCAAAAATTAGCTTGGCATGGTGGCACGTGCCTATAATCCCAGCTACTCGGGAGGCTGAGGTAGGAGAATCACTTAAACCTGCAAGGCGGAGATTGCGGTGAGCCAAGATCGTGCTACTGCACTCCAGCCTGGTGACAGAACAAGACTCTGTCTCAAAAAAAAAGAAAAAAAAAAAAAGTCAGGGTCCTCCTATGTTGTCCTGTGCTCAAGCAGCCCTCCTACCTCTGCCTCCCAAAGTGCTGGGATTGCAGGTGTGAGCTGACATGATCAGCCTCCATTAATTTCTTTCGTTCATCCTGGTTTTTTTTTTTTTTTTTTTTTTTGAGATGTATCTTGCTCTGTTGCCCAGGCTGGAGTGCAGTGGCGCGACCTTGGCTCACCACAACCTCTGCCTCCTGGGTTCAAGCGATTCTCCTGCCTCAGTCTCCTGAGTAACTGGGACTACAGGCGCACACCACCATGCCTGGCTAAATCTTTTTTGTATTTTTAGTAGAGACGGGTTTTCACTATGTTGGCCACGCTGGTCTCAAACTCCTGATCTCATGATCCGCCCGCCTCGGCCTCCCAAAGTTCTGGGATTACAGGCATGAGCCACCGTGACCGGCCTATTTATCCTGTTTTAACTCTCTATCTTTGTTGATTTTTCATCTGCTATTACAAGGGGTGTTACAGGGCCTCAGAGTATGATTCTTTCTCTTTTTAGTTCTCTCAACTTTAGTTTTATTTATTTTCTGACCATTTAATGGATGTTAAAAAATTTAGAATTATCATCTTTGGGTTAACAGTATTTTTTGTCATTTTGAATTAAGCCTTTTAACTGCATGCTTTATGCCTTAAATTTTCTTTCGTCTGTTGGTAATCTATTTATAGAAGAGTTAAGGCCAGGCACGGTGGCTCATACCTGTAATCCCAGCACTTTGGGAGGCCGAGGCAGGCGGATCACCCGAGGTCAAGAGTTCAAGACCAGCCTGGCCAAGATGGTGAAACGCCGTCTCTACTAAAAATACAAAAATTAGCCAGGTGCGGTGGCAGGCGCCTGTAATCCCAGCTACTCGGGAGGCTGAGGCAGAAGAATCGCTTGAACGTGGGCGGCGGAGGTTGCAGTGAGCCGAGATTGTGCCACTGCACTCCAGCCTGGGCGACAGAGTGAGACTCCGTCTCAAAAAAAAAAAAAAAAAAGCCTGGGCAACAGAGTGAGAATGAGACCCTGTCTCCAAAATAAATAAATAAATACATAAATAAAGATTTGGAGGTATCTTGACCATGTTGGCCAGGCTGGTCTCGAACTCCTGACCTCAAGTTATCTGTCCACCTTGGCCTCCCAAAGTGCTGGGATTACAGGTGTGAGCCACCATACCTGACTCCTATACCATTATTTTTAAAGCAAATCTTATTCTCCAACTTAGAATGCTTTTTGTTCTTAAAATGTTGGGACATTTCCTTAAGTTCTGCGTCTGATTAATTAGTTAGCATTATTAACTCGTTCCCTCAACCACAGGCATCTTGTGACACACAATGCCCAACCCCTGGGAATGTCACCCAGCAGGTGTGGCTTTGTTTAGCTTTTATTCACGATGGGGTCACTCCAGTTTGGACGCCTCTTACAGTCTTCTACAGTTACTGAACCGAGCTGGGCTCTTCTCACCCAGGGCAGTAAAGTCAAACACTGATGTTGCAATTTGCAGCAGGGGAAAGATGATATTTATTGCACGGTACCAAGCAAGGAGAACGGACAGCTCACGCTTAAGACCCAAACTCCCCAGTGGCTTACAAGCTGGGGTTTTTAGGGGTATGGGTACATTTCAGGAAAGCAGAAGTTGCAGGCAAAATCATTAACCAATACATGGGGTGTCATGAGCAGTGCAAAGTTAGAGATAATCACATCCAAGCATGCCTGTGTCTTTCACAATGTCAGAATTTTATTGAGGCTATTTCAATCCCTAAAGCCACGAGCCACACGGCGTTCCCAAGGAGGCATGCTGCTTAGTGCTCCTTTCCCTCAGTAGTGAGAGCTGCGGTCACACGGGCTCAAGCCACTGCACATGTCAGCCAATATTGCACACGACAACGTAATAGTGTACTTAATCAGTATATACATGTTACAGGTTAACGTTCCACAACAAAGAAAGTAGCACTTAACATCCAGAGGAAACAGAGATAGGAGAAAGGGTTCACGAACCAGTCCAGGAGAGTGAAGAAGACACAAGAAGAAGACAGAAACCTCCTGGTCTGGGCCAGTCTGTGGATCTTGCAAGGATGTCTTCGAGGTGGTGGAGCCTCAGGCGGCAGATGGTGAGTTCTGCTGGGGCCTTTCCTTCTGCAATCACAGAGGCCTCCCGTGAGAAGTGA
Source organism: Homo sapiens (assembly GCF_000001405.40). NCBI lineage: Eukaryota > Metazoa > Chordata > Mammalia > Primates > Hominidae > Homo > Homo sapiens. The sequence goes on along the minus strand of NC_000008.11, from coordinate 143,031,968 downwards.
CATCTGAAGAGTGCGCTTGCTTGCGTCCTCATCTGTTTGGATGCAGGCTTTATTTTTAACTTGTTTATTAAGCAAAACATCTTACCTTTGTTGGCCAAGTGCCCTGTAAGATATACAATGGAGTCTCTAAGATGGAGTTAGTTATGCCAAGGGTGCTGTGTGCATGGGGGCACACATTAGTGGCTCACAGCTGTGACTCCCTCCAGGCCCCTCAAGAAGAAATTCATGACAGAGAACACGGCCAGAGTTCAGTCCTCAGTTCCCCCTTATCTGGGTCTCTGTGATAGCAGTCGGCATTTTCCACCGGGTGGGGGTTTCTGAAAGACTTGAGAATGTATGTTATGCTTTAGTTTCTATAGGGAAGCAAACCACCTGTGGCTGTGGCCTGCTTGGGAGACCCGTGCTCCCGTCGCCTTCCTGGCAGGCTGCTCACTTACCTTTCAAGGCTGGCAAGGTGACTGGAATTTCCCTTGAAGGGATTCAAGAGTGTTCCTTGATTTCCAAGCTTGGGAGAGCCTGGCAGGCACCTAGGAGGGGTCCCTGCTCCATCTCACTATGTTGCCCATGTGGGTCTTGAACTCCTGGGCTCCAGCCGTCCTCCTGCCTCAGCCTTCTGAGTAGTGGGGACTACAGCTGTGGGCCACTGTGTAACCGCCCAGTGGGTTCGCCTCATTGTATTCACTCCTTTCCAGGTTTGTATTTATGGTATGAATTTTAATTTCACCACAAAAACTTAAATCTCCCACAAGACAGAACTTTTTTTTTTTTTTTGAGACGGAGTCTTGCTCTGTCGCCCAGGCTGGAATGCAATGGCGTGAGAGGCCTTCTGGGTTCAAGTGATTCTCCCATCTCAGCCTCCCTAGTAGCTGGGATTACAGGCATGTGCCACCACACCTTGCTAATTTTTTTTGTATTTTTAGTAGAGATGGAGTTTCACCATGTTGGTCAGGCTGGTCTTGAACTCCTGACCTCAGGTGATCCGCCCCCCTCGGCCTCCCAAAGTGCTGGGATTACAGACGTAAGCCACCGCGCCGGCCACTATTTTATCTTTTTTAATAGAATTGATGTTCATTTAGACTCACCACATTTCTACGAATCTGTGCTTCATCACTTGAGGTATCTCTGATTCTGAATGGGACCATTTTCCTTCTGGCTAAAGATCACTGTTTTTTTTTCTGAGATGTAGTCTCGCTCTGTTGCCCAGGCTGGCGTGCAGTGGCGAGATCTTGGCTCGCTGCAACCTCCGCCTCCTGGGTTCAAGTGGTTCTCCTGCTTCAGCCTCCCAAGTAGCTGGGATCACAGGTGCGTGCCACCACACCCGGCTAATTTTTGTATTTTTGGTAAAGATGGGGTTTCACCATGTTGGCCAGGCTGGTCTTCAACTCCTGACCTTAAGTGATTCACCCACCTCAGCCTCCCAAAGTGCTGGGATTACAGGCACAAGCCACTGTGCCCGGCCTAAAGATCACTTTTTTTTTTTTTTTTTGAGATGGAGTTTTGCTCTTGTTGCCCAGGCTGGAGCGCAATGGCACAATCTCAGCTCACCACAACCTCTGCCTCCTGGGTTCAAGCGATTCTCCTGCCTCAGCGTCCTGAGTAGCTGGGGCTACCCGCATGCGCCACCACGCCCGGCTAATTTTTTTGTATTTTTAGTAGAGACAGGTTTCTCCATGTTGGTCAGGCTGGTCTGGAACTCCTGGACTCAAGCGATCCTTCTGCCTAGGCCTCCCAAAGTGCTGGGATTACAGGTGAGAGCCACCATGCACCATGTCCAGCCTAAAGATCACTTTTCTTTTCTTTTTCTTTTTTTTGTTTGAGACAGAGTCTGTCTCTGTCGCCAGGCTGGAGTGCAGTGGCATGATCTTGGCTCACTGCAACTTCTGCCTCCGGGTTCAAGCAATTCCCTACCTCAGCCTCCCGAGTAGCCGGGATTACAGGTGCCCACCACCACACTCAGCTAATTTTAGTAGAGACGGGGTTTCACCGTCTTGGCAAGGCTGGTCTTGAACTCCTGACCTTGTGATCCACCCGCCTTGGCCTCCCAAAGTGCTGGAATTACAGGCATGAGCCACCGTGCCCGAAAAGACTTTTTAAAAGACCTTCTTGGCCGGTGCTGTGGCTCACACCTGTAGTCCCAGCATTCCTTGATCAAGGGAGTTCAAGACCAGCTGGGGCAACAGGGAGAAACCCCGCCTCTATGAAAATACAAAAATTAGCTGGGCATGGTGGTGCACACCTGTCATCCTAGCTACTTCGGGGACAGAGGTGGGAGGATCGCTTGAGCCTGGGTCAAGGCTACAATAAGCTGTGTTCCCGCCACTGCACTCCAAAGTGAGATCCTGTCTAAAATAAATAAATAAATAAATAAATTAAAAAAAGATTTTCTTTTAGTGCAAGTATATTGGGGACAACCTTTCTGTCTGACAGTCTTTCTTCCATTGCCTGTGGAACTCAGGGCTGTCATCTCTCCTGGCTTCCACAGTTGTCCTTCTCACTACCGACCCCTGGTGGCTGATCTTTTTCTCTGGCTGTTGACAGGACTTTTTTCTTTGGTCTTCTGCATTTTCACGGGTGCATGTGGGGCTATTTATTTGTTGATGCTGCCTGGAATTTTCTGGGCTGCTTGATCTGTGGCTGGACGCACTTTATCAGTTCTGGAAATGTCTCAGCTATTAGGTCTTCAATATTGCTTCTGCGCTATTCGCTCAGCTATTTGGGGAACTGTCTCCGTGTATCTGCTATCTTTGTATATTTCTTAATTTTTCTACTATTGAGTATGGATCAGGCACTGAGGGGAAGTCCGTCAGAAGGATTTTCCACAGATCCCTCTCCTCCCCAGGTGGGAAGGCAGATCCCAAGCTTTCCTCCATGGAGGAGGCTGGTTCTCCCAAAGGCATCTGGGTGCTTTCTGGAGAGGGAATGGTGGCTGTGTGTTTTTAAATTGCGGACCAGGCCGGGTGCAGAGGCCCACGCTTACAATTCCAGCATTTTGGGAGGCTGAGGCAAGGGGATCACTTGAGCCCAAGAGTTCAAGATCAGCCTGGGCAACATAGTGAGATCCCATCTCTATAAATTTTTTTTTTTTAAATAGCTGGGGGTAGTGGCAGGTGCCTGTGGTCCCAGCTACTTGGAAGATGAGGCAGGAGGATCGCTTGAGCCTGGAAGGACTGCAGACTCGGCGCGGCCTGTTCTTTTCTGCTTGTCTCCTGATTGTCTCTGTGTCCCCACTGGCTTCAAGGTTCCCTGAAGGGGGCGGTCCTGGGGTGGGACCAAGGGGGTCGGGTGGGGCTTCCTGTGCCAGACACCCTCCTCTTTCACCCACAGGGCAGAAGTTCAGCTACACTAGCAAGGGCTGTGGCCCTCCCTGTGTGTCCAGATTATGAACCTCACCCATCCTGTGGTCCCTGGAGGGTCTTACCCCATAGAAACTGAGAATGGACTGATTGATTGAAGACTGAGAAGCTGGACATGACCTGCTGTGAAAAGAGCCTCTGTAACAAGGGCGTCAAGGGGGCAGAGGCTGTGGATGGGGGAGGTGGCACAGGGTCCTGCCTGGGCCTTACCTCCTGAGGTCCCCACAGGGGCTGAGTGGTGGGGGGCGGGTGAGGGGCAGTGCCAGGACTTGCTGCCCATCCTCCGGAGGCTCATCCGTGGGCAGATGCTGGGAAGTGGGGGCTGGATGGGGCTGCAGAGAGGAGGGCGCCCAGTTCCAGGCCAGTGTGGAGACTGGGAAATCCCTGGTGGGAGGCTCAGGTTCAGAGCCCTGAGATGAGCCTCCCTTCCTCTCCCTCCCCTCCCCTGCAGGTTGAGGTTGGGAGGGAGGTTGAGGCTGCAATGTGCTGTGATTGTACCACTGCACTCTAGCCTGGGTGACAGAGGGAGACCCTATCTCAAAAAACATAACAGGCCAGGTGTGGTGGCTCATGCCTGTAATCCCAGCACTTTGGGAAGCTGAGGCAGGCAAATCACTTGAAGTCAGGAGTTTGAGACCAGCCTAACATGGTGAAACCCCATCTCTACTAAAAATAAAAAAATTAGCCGGGCATGGTGGCGGGCGCCTGTAATCCCAGCTACTCGGGAGAATCGCTGGAACCCGGGAGGCGGAGGTTGCAGTGAGCCGAGATCGCGCCACTGCACTCCAGACTGGGCGACAGAGCAAGACTCCGTCTCAAAAACAAAATAAAACACAAAATAACCGCCCTGCCCATAAACTGGGGACCATGTACATAGAGGGTGTAAAATCAGTCGAGTGGGACACAATCAATACTCTTTCAAATAAAGTAGAAGATATCAGAGTTGATCACAGGAAGTGAGGATAACTTGCTGTGTGAAAGCCGTGCTTTCATTATCCATAGATACACAGAGTGCACACCTCTTGGGGATGCTCGTGCTCTGACTGGCATGTAACATGCACTGCTTATAGATGTCAGATTAAAACATATATTTTAAGATTCAAAAATACAAGTCAGTATCCCTAGCAATATTCTAACTTCTCCATTGCTTGGTGTTATGATGTCTGGCTCAGCCATCATCAGGCCCTGGGACCTGAGCAGTGTGGCCGCAGGGCCAGCAGAGTGACCCGTGGACCATGGGCCCCCCTGGCGCTGCCCCTTCAGGTCTGGCCTGTGCTCTGGTGTGCTGCCAGGCGGGGTGGTCAGGCCTCTTGGGTCCAAGCCTTGCCCACAGCTGCCCCGAGTCACTGGGGGGGTCTTCTGGGCCTGACGCCTCCAGCTCCGCCCTTGTCCTCCCTGCTCTCAGGAGCCACCCCCACCTCACCTGGCCCATCCTCTCAGATGCCATGGACTCTCCAAGCAGAGACCCCTGAGGGCACAGAGTGGATTCTGCTTTTCGGAAGGGACCACCCACCGGAGAGGCGACCCATCCTTATGCAGGTCTGCTGCCTTTATCTGTCTTCATCAAGGGCTCTGTCCCCACAGCCCAGGCAGCCCTCTCTTCCTTCTGCCCAGCACCTGGTTGGGGAGGGGGGGTGGAGTCTGCAGTCAGTCACCCCTGGCCCATTTCCTGTGTCTTCTGATTCTCCGTGAAGAACAAATTCGGGTGTGGGTGTGATGGGGGTGGGCAGGGGGGAGGGACAGGGGTGGTTCCGGTTGTGGCCAGGACAGAGTTCTGGACCCCTCCTCCCCTGCCCCAAGGGAGCCCCCATGTCGTCCCACCCCGTTACAGGGGCCTCTGCTCCCTGCACAGAAAACAAGGGGTGCCTGGCTTGGGGTCTCAGTGTCAGAGCTTGTTGCCCTGCTGGCCCCTCCCAGGCTCTGTCTGCACGGGGGCCTGCCAGTGGTGGGCTCAGCCAGAGACCCTCATCCTGAGCGGGAAGGGCCTGGTCCTGGGTGTGACCTGAGGTCTCACGGCTGCTTTTCTCTCCTGCTTCAGACACCAACACTGTGATGTACCAGGAAACTGAAACTGAAACTCAAGGCCCTAGTCCAGGACCCTCCTCTCTATTGAGTCAGAACTTCTCCTAAGGCGTCCTCCCACCCCAGGGGACAACCTCTCCCTCCTCTCCTCACCGCAGCCCCTCCTCTCTTCACCGCAGCCCCTCCTCTCCTCACCGCAGCCCCTCCTCCCTCCGGATCTGTTCTGCTCACACCCTGAGCTCTGGGAGGCCCCAGGCAGAGAAGGGGTGGGGTGAGAGGGGTCTTGCTCAAGGTCATGTCTGCCTTCCAGAGCAGCCAGGTCAGGAAGGAAGGGTTTCTACCCCTCAATTCCCATTCTGTGAGATGATGGGATGAGGCCATCAGCTGTGTGCACTTTACACAAACAATCCGGGTTCCTCATCACAAACCAGAAGTGGGGCAGAGGTTCCCAGGCTCGGGGGTGCAAGGCCTCCCCTAGCTCTTCCCAGGCTCAGAGCCTCTGTGCCACACGTGCCCTCAATGCACCCATACCCAAGACCATGAAGGTCACTAGCCCCATGCTGCTGCTGGCTGAGGGTGGGGGATGGGAAGGAGGCCTGAAGGTGGGAGTAAGACCCTCTTGATGCTGGGGGCTCCAGATGCCAGCAGGACCCTGCCCACAATTCTGAGTAGCCAAGGGCACCTGAGCCTACCTGTGTGCTGCCCAGGCCTGCTGCCGGTGCTGGTGAGAGGGACTGGAACCCACCCTTCAGCCTGCGACCCTGACCTGCACCCTCCCCGCCCCATCCCAGGCCAGGGCCTTGAGTGCTTCCAGTGCTACGGTGTCCTGGACCCCAGCCTGTGTCACCCCGTCTCCTATCCCATGCAGGCTCAAAGCTGCCCCTCCTCTGTGGTCACTGGCACTATCGATGGTGAGTCCTGGGTGGGACCCAGCGTCTGTAGGCAGGTGAGGGGTGGGCAGGGCACTCTCTGGCAGCATCCCAGGGGCTCTGCCTTGAGCCCCCTGGCCTGGTGGAAGCTTAGATCTGGGGACAGAGCTCAGGGACCTCCATCTAATGGACTGCAGACTTGGTGTGGGGCCTGGGGCCGCCGCCCGTTCTCTTCTGCTCGCCTCCGCGTCCCCACTGGCTTCAAGGTTCCCTGAAGGGGGCGGTCCTGGGGCGGGTCCGAGGGGGTCGGGTGGGGCCTCCTGTGCCAGACACCCTCCTCTCTTGCCCACAGGGCAGAAGCTCAGCTACACTAGCAAGGGCTGTGGCCCCACTCTGTGCCCAGATTATGAACCTCACCCATCCTGTGGTCCCTGGAGGGTCTTACCCCACAGAAATTGAGGATAGACTGATTGACTCGAAGATTGAGAAGCTGGACATGACCTGCTGTGAAAATAGCCTCCGTAACAAGGCGGCCACAGTGCGGCGTGGCCTCTGGTGCCAGGCTGTCAGGGAGCTCCTGCTCAGCCTGAGCCCCTTCCTCTGGGCTCTGCTGTGAGCCCAGCCCGCCCTGGCACTGCCCCTGGTGGGTAAACAGGAGCTCAGGGTGGTTGCCCAGTGCAGCCCTCAGCTCCTGCCCCGATGCCCCCGCCTGGCCGCCCAGCAGCCCAGAGACCCCCTCACCCAGCATCCTAGCTGCCTGCTGGCTCAGATAGTAAATGCAGGTGTTCGCCCAAGGACTTTGTTCCCTTATTAACCCCTGGGGTCTGGCCTGCGGCCTTCAAGGTGTCCCAGCAAATTCCCCAGGGTGGGGCTCAGAGACTGGAGGGCCTTCCCCCAGGCAGCCCGGCCCTGCACTCATTTCCAGCCAGGATCGGGCTCAGCCCCAGCCCCGAGGTCCAGAAGCAGCCTGGAGGGTCTCGCACTCAGGGCTGGGGACCCCCAGGAAGACTTGCTGGGGGCTGACGGAGGGGTGGAGGCACCGTGGGCCCAGGCCTGCTGTGGCTGCCGGGTTTCCACGACTGTGGACAGCGTGTGAAATGGTCCCGGGCCCACAGGCTGGCGACTCCTGCAAGGCACCGCAGAGGGCGGGGGTGTCAAGGGGGCAGAGGCTGTGGATGGGGGAGGCAGCGCAGCGTCCTGCCTGGGCCTCACTGCAGGAAGTCCCCACAGGGGTTGAGCGGTGGGGGGTGGGTGAGGGGCAGCGCCGGGACGGGCCGCCCATCCTCCAGAGGCTCATCCGCGGGCAGATGCTGGGAAGCGGGGAAGCGGGGAAGTGGGGCTGGATGGGCTGCGGAGAGGAGGGGGCCCAGTTCCGGGCCGGTGTGGAGACTGGGAAATCCCAGGTCCTAGCGGGGTGCGGTGGGCCCTGGGCGGGAGGCTCAGGTCCAGAGCCCCGAAACGAAACGAGGCTCTCTTCCTCTCCCTCCCCCAGGCTTCAGGAAATTGAAACTCAGGCGCTGGGCTCCTCCCCTCTCTGCTCCAGGCCCAGGACACAACCCGGGCTCCCTCCCGCTGCTCCTGGAAACCACCTGTCCTTGGGGGGCCTCCAGCCTCCCGAGGGCGGGGCAGCAGGAACCCGGCGGGACTACCCTACCCACCACCAGCAGGAGGTCAGGGCTGCCTCTGACCTCAGCCCTAAACCCAGAGCAGAGGGAGAGCTGGGCCCCGAGTCCCAGATCCTAGGAGGACAAGCGGCTTCCACTCTGAGCCTGTCTCCCCTGGGGAAACGAGGGGATGACTGCGCCCCCGTCTCAGTGTGGTTGTGAGGCTCAGTAACCAGTCAGCTCACCTGGGAAGTGGAGGAGATGCCAGAGATGGAAGCGCAAGTTAGCTTTAGCAGAAACAAAGCATTTGTTAGAAATTCCATCATCGCCCAGCGCCCACCACGCTTCTGTTTCCCTGCAGTCAGATCCAGGTTCCCGGCCATGGCTTTTGGGTGCAGCTTCCTCTCACCAGCTCCACTATGATCAACTGTCTGTCCCTCCAGCAAAGCCACCTGCGATTCCGAGTGAACAATGCAGTGAACGCACTGCACACCGGGGCCCGAACACCGGGATCTCTGTCCTCCTGGCTACAGTGCCCAGGCTCCTGGACCATCTGGTTTCCACCCTCTGTTCTCTGCTTGCATTTCTCAATGCTAGAGCGACCCACTCAGCGAATCCAAACTCCCGACGGAATCTCAAGCTCAGTCTCTGCAGGCTGCTCTGATGGGCTCCGGGTCCTTGCACAGGGATAGCTGATCCACCGATCAGGCCCCTCCTCCCGCTGACCTCTTCCAGGCCCTCTCGCTCGGTTACAATGGGCCCCTCATGGGTGGCAGTAATGATTCATGTGTTTCAGACAGGAATCACTAGCTCAGGGACCCAGGAGGAGGACACAGGTCTTTGACCTGCCTTGACCTCAGGGACCTGGGAGGACCCGGCTATTCACATCAGCTGCCAGGGGTGGGAATCTCGGGCCTCCACGTTGACCACCGGCCCCTCCTGCTGGACGGTGCCCCTGGGATCCTGACACACACACACCACAGTTTCTGGCCAGCCGGGAAAATTCAGGGTCGGGCCCTAAGTGGCTGAGACCCTGGCCGGCTCCCTCCCACTGTCCCGGAGAAATGAACAAACACACCTCCACTGGGTGTCTGTTCTTGTTTTCTCTCTCCAGCCCAAAGAGCCCTCTGGGCAGCGCACAGCACCCAACTGCAGACACGGCGGCCTGGGCCGGCTTCCTCTGTCAGGAGGCTGCCACCTGTTTGCCAGGGGGAAGCGGGCAGCACTGCAGTCCAGGCACGGATGGGTCAGGGCTGCTGCCCAGAGCTTCTGCGTGGGAGCCCCCTGCCCCTCCCACAGGCCACTCACTACACTCCGGCCCGTCTGTCCTGCCCCAGCCCAGCTTTTGTACCCTCTGCACCAGCGGGTCCAGACAGACACCCTCCATTCCCAAGTCCTACGGCCCTGGGTGCTGCCCCAGCCTGAGCGTGCTCCTTCTTGCACCCGCTTTCTTTCCTCCATGCCCCCCAACACCTCCTTCCGCTGTGGGAGGAGGAACTCACTTGACCTGCTGAACCTGGGGCAGAAGAAAGGGCAGAGCACTGGGGAGGGGCTCCCTCTGAGGTCAGGCAAGCAGCTGGCTGTGGCTCAGGGGACGACTCCTCCTCCCCCACCACCCCCCTGGGCCATACCACAGAAGACCCCAGGACCCTCCAAACCTGGGGTGCTCTGCCTCTCCCCGCAAGGGGCAGCCACACTCAGAGCAGGAAGCTGGGGGACATCTGTATTTATTTGAGGCACCAAAGCAGCAGGAGGGCTCCAATGTGGGGGTGGGCTGGGGCAGGACTGGCTGGATTTGGGGCAGGGCCTAGACCCGGAAGTGGCAGAAACCCCAACCCCCAAAGGCTGCCCTTGAAGTGCATGCAGCTGTGCCAGGGCAGGGGGCTACAGGGACTGAGGCTCTCCAGGCTGCTGGCACACCTCCCTCCCCAAACATGGCCCCCAGAAGCCGCCACGTGCTCTCACGTGCACTGCACACCCACGTACACAGCCAGGCACACATCCCTACTGACACGGTCTCCCTGGGGACCCTGTCAGCATGTCCATGGGACTTGGTCCTGATGTTGGACCGTAAGACTCCAGGGAACCCTCGTCCCTTCCGCGGTCCCCCAAGGAAGGTCACATCATCCACCCCAGAAGTGAGGGCAGCTGGCCCCACTTGGGGCAGAGGCAGGGGCTGGGGCAGGTGGAGGTGCAGGGGGTGGGCCTGACCTGGGACCAAGGGCACAGATCAGGCACGTGAGGAGTCAGGGGCTCCCATACACTGTGGGATCCAGAAAGGGCTGGGCTTTCCTTCCTGAGCTGGGGGATCGGGGGACAGGGTCTGGGCGGTCAGGGGCCAAACCGCAGCAGGGCCGGCAGCAGGCTCAGCAGCAGCCCGGCACCCAGCAGGGTGACGCTTGCCCGCAGCCCGCCATCGGCCGCACTGAAATTGCACAGAAAGCTCTGGCAGCAGCTGATGCCCATGGAAGCCACACCAACATTGACGCCTTCTGGGATGGGGCAGGCCGGGGAACAGGTCTTGCTCAGGCTGTGGCCAAATGTCACGAGATTCCCTGCATGGGAAATGAGGCTGTCAGGGGAGAGACAGACGGCTGCAGACAGACAGCAATGGCCTCTGCTGAGCCCCGGCCCGGGCTAGGGAGATGGCCAGGGGAGGAAGGCACGGTCTGAGGCCTGGCACTCACCAATGCCGGCACTAGCAGACACAGTCACGCAGTAGTTGTCCTGGTCGGAGCAGATGGTCGGCTTCAGGCAGTACAGATTGCTCTTCTGGTTCAAGCAGGAGAAGCACATCAGCGAGCTGGCTGCGGAAGGAGGACACACCTGTCTCAGGGAAGCCTCCAGTGTCCCTCCCAGGCCTGACCCCAGTGGACATTTACTGAGAAATTACTGTATACCAGGCCCTGGGCTGAAGGCAGAGCAAAGACAGTGACACCCCACCCTGGCCGTCGAGCAGGTCAAGCGACACTCAAACACACAGTGAGACAGTGTGGCCAGGCCGGGTGAGCCCTCTGCTGGGAGCGGCCTGGAAGGACCCCTGGGGCGTCTGCTCAGGGGAGAGGGGTGGAGAGGGAGTGGAGCAGGGCACAGCTGGACAAAGGTCTGGGGTCCCCAAGGGCACCTCACCTCGCTCCACACCCAGAAGGGCAGCCAGCAGCACTGGCAAGAAGATCTTCATTCTGGAGAGGATGGCCGTCCTGCCTGGAGGTCACAAACCAAAGCAGCCTGTCCTGCTCTGGAGAGACACACTGGTTAGGGGGCCGGGTGGTGCCTCACTCCTCCCCAAGACCATGCACCCCCACTTTGCAGATGAGGACACAGACAGCAGAGGGGAAGGGACCTGCCAGCACACAAGGACTTCCCTGCTTCTCTCCTGACCCACTCCTCACTCAGTGCAGACATGCTCTAGGCTATCTCCCTCCTGAAACCTGGCAGGAGGGGGCTGCACAGGCAAGAGGAGGAAACTCAGCAGCCTTCTCAGAACCACAGAAAAGAAGGCAGAGTGAGTGGCCTCTGCCAGTGGTCCTGGGGTGGGGGAATGGGGAATGGGGAATGGTGATCAGTCATAATATTAGCTAGTCTGGGGCTGGGTACAGGGGCTCACGCCTGTAATCTCCATGCTATGTGAGGCCAAGGCAGGAGGATCATATGAGGCCAGGGGTTTGAGACCACCCTGGGCAACACAGTGAGACCTCCTGTTTCTACAAAAAATACAAAAATTAGCCGGGCGTGGTACGTGCCTGTGGTCAGCTACTTGGGAGGCTGAGGTGGGAGGATCTCTTGAGCCAGGGAGTTCAAGACTGAAGTGAACTATGATCATGCCACTGCACTGCAGCCTGGGCAACAGAGTGAGACCCTGTCTCAAAAAAAAGAGAAATCTATATACACATCTATATGTGTATCTGTCAGTGTATATTAGCTAATCTGTATCTAGAATTTTCCTTGGGATGGCTCAGTGTTTTGAGCCCAGGCAGCTCCCCTCACATGGAGACCTGGGGCCAGGTGGGGCATGGCTGAGGGGGAAAGCACTCCCCATTCCTGATGTTACTCAGTTCCGAGGAAAGCACCCCACTCAGTATCTGCTACTCCCCATTCTGTGGCTGGGAAATGGGCTCCGAGAGACAAGGCTGCGTGCCACTGGTCCCACCAGCAGGAAAGGGCCAGATGGGTCGCTGTACTGCTCCTCGGCCTCTGCACAGGACCCTCTGCACTGCTGGAGAAAGAATCTGGAACACACCCAGCTGGGGTCGTGATTCTCTGTTTTGTGAGTGCATGGTGTTGGAGGGGGAGGCTGCTGCCTTCTGTCAGGGACAGCCGTGGGCAGAGGAGTGGGAGGGACATCCCGGGCCTGGGGAGCTAGTGCTGGGCACTGGGGGTAAGGAGGATGCCTCAGAGAACAGATCTGGAGAGGGGCCCGCAGAGGCCCTAAGGGGAGAGCAGCAGGCCAGGACAGTGAGACCTGGGCTGACATCCTGGGGTTGGGAGTGGGAGCCCCAGGTGGCCAAAAACAGTGCCAAGTCCGGCTGGGGCCTATCCCCGCCTCCAGGGAGTAGCCCGAGGAGGAAGGATCTCCAATTCCTTTTCCCCCCACCCCCCTAAAGTGAGGTTCTGGTGTGGGGGGGTCCCTGAGCTGTCTCTGAGGAAGTCCTAGCATACAGGGCCACAAACAGGTCCAGCTGGTGCCGCCACCTGCTCACTGGGTGGCACCCAACCCGCTGGGCCACCAGGCTGAGCTAAGGCACCGGTGGGAGCCGAAGGCAATTAGGAAGGCCGGGTGGGCCATGGAGCCCGGAGGGAGCCAGCCGGCAGGCCGTGGGGGGCGCCCCTGGGGCCCAGGCTGCAGGCTCATGGCTCATCCCCAGGCTCAGGGAAGCTGGCCCCTGGGAGCCAGGTATCTAGGGGCTGCCCAGCCAGCAAGGGGCGGGAGCCTCTCCTGTGTCCCGGAACGGGGAGGGGCCCGGCGGTCCACTCAGGGAGGCTGGGCTCCTTGGACCTCACCGCAAGCACCACCAGTGCCAAAACAAGAAGCGGGGGCGGGTTCCAGTGCTCCGGGGTGATATGCCGGGGGCGGTCAATCCTCCCTTTCCGGCCAGGAGCTCTGCAAGGTCCCGTGCCCCCTCCCCTAGTCCTCAAGGCTGTCCCTCCCGGCCCACGTAGAGGAGCCAGGAGCGTCTGGAGTTGGGTGATGGGCTCCAGTGGCTGCGCAGCCCTGGGGCGGCCGGGAGGCTCCTGGCGGCAGTCTCCGCCCGCTCCCGCCCCAGATCTTTGGAAACATTCGGGGAGGCCTGCGGGGGATGGGAGGAGAAGCTCAGCTCTCTGGGGACCAACCCACCGGCAGCCCCAGCCCCTCTCCTGCGCCTCCCCGTGCGCCCCTCTTGCTCTCTCCCACCCTCTCCCGCCCCGGCCCCCGCAGGGCGCCTTCCGCCGCGCGTGGCTGAGCCGGGGCCGCGTGCACCGCAGCCGAGGCCGCCGGGTCTGAGCGCGTGCGCGCAGGTGGCGGGGGCGTCCCGGCCGGGGGCCCGCGGACTCACCGCCGGGCGGACGCAGGTACCAGCAGCCTGGCCGAGCTCCCCGAACCTCGCGCGCTCTGGACCGCGGCTGGCCCGGAGCCTCCCAGGCAGCCGCGCGGCCCCGGGGCGGGGGCAGGGGCGGGACGCGGGAGGGGCCTCCGGCGGGCGGAGTCGGCGAGCCCGCGGTGGGGGTCCCCGCGCCGCCCAGGCCTACCCCGGCTCCTTGGGATAGATGGGGAAGCTGAGGCCCAGAAGGGGGCTGAGACCACCTCCCAGTTTCCCCAGTGAGGTGGCGCCTGAGCCACGGCCAGGCCCGGCCTCCTTCCACCCGGCCCTGCTGTGCGCGCGGCGGGTGCTGACCTGGCGAGGCCGGACAGGGGACCAGGTCGGGGTGACCGTCACTGACACCTGGACAGTCCTCGTTGTGTTCGGGGTGGGAAGCCCACGGGTGAGCAGACGTGTTTGGGTGTGAGCACGGAGGAGGGGTGCCTCGGAGAGTGTCGGGGAGCAGTGTTGGGGGTCTCGCCTGCGGAGTGGAGCTCGGGAGGGGAGGACGCAGGCACCCCCGCAGCCTGGGATTCCTGAGGTCATCTTGTCCCTGCTTCCCGCTCCAGGCTGGGCTGTTCCTTGGCCATCCCTCAGGCGGGGGTGGGGAGACCGGCAAGGGTTGGGAGGTGGGAGGTTGTGGGTGCTGGCTTCTGCGAGGGCACTGAGGCTCTGCCATCGGTGGGTGCCTCTCCTCCCGCCAGGCCCTCTCCGAGGGGCTGTGGGCGCTGGGGCTCTGCCACCGGCCTGTTCTCCAGTTGACAGTGCGTTTCCTTTCTGGGTGACAGGGCGAGCACCAGGGAGGGGTCTTCTGAACCCCACACGGGAGTAGGGGGAGGGTGTGCGGAAATGTGAGGGTGGGCAGGTGGCCATGTGGTCAGGAGGGGGCTGGGGCTGACAGACACCTGTAACACCCCTGTCTCAAATCTAGGGGTGCAGTCAATGTGGCTGTGTGTGTGTTTTGCATGAGTGAGTGTGTGTGGTGCGTGTGTGTGTGTGTATGGAGGCTGAGGCTGGGGCTGTGTGTGTCACGAGATGTCCTGGCCGTGGTATGATGGCATCGTGGGTGGGGCTTCCACAGCTTTGGGGGCGATGGCCCAGCTGTCTCTGGGGACAGGAGCCTCCAGTAGGCTGTGGCCCGGGGGAGTCCCTGCCTCTGGGTCTTACGTGGGGCACAGGCAGGGCATCTTCCCCTCTGGAATGTTGGCGGTGAGGGCAGGGGGTTCTGTCTCTGCAGCCGGCACCTGGGGCCATCCCTGCCATGGCAGGGGCTCAGTAAGAACTGTGGGACGAAAGCACGGGTGGGTTTGCCCCCTTCAAGACAGGACCCTCTGATTCAGAAAACAAGCTGCATTAGGAGGAGGGCTGTTTGGAAAAAACTCTCAAACCATTTATCCTGTCTCTCACTCAACACAGAAGACATCAACACAGGAGACTCCCAAGACTGCTGGGGCCAAATGTGGCAGGTGGACGTCTCCCCGCCACCGAGCAAGCCATCAGTTCTGCAGCGGACACCAGCCGAGTGTCCTCCAACACCATTCCGGTACCTGCAGATAGCGTCAGATCCAGACACCTACACACACACACACACACACACACACACACACATATGCACACACATGAGCTGCGAGGGCCAGCCTCTGGAACTTCTTACCGACTGGCCCGACGTTGAGGTTCCCACTGTTAGAGGAACGCTTGCTCACCAGGCCTCTGGTTTAATGAAACATGACCAGAGTGACTCCATCTTGAAGTGAGTAGGAGGCACTCACAAGGCACCTATAAGGTTAATGCTTATGGTCTAAAAATAGCCATGTCTCAAGCTGGACACCAATTATAATTACAGAATATTTGTGGCCATATGGGGCATCTCCCAGCAAGCCCGCAGACTGTCCAGATAACCCAAGAGTGCAGGCCACTTTACTCAGAGATAATTTCAATGAGCAGCCTGAGGTTGGAGGATGAACGGGCACTGATGGCACCCACAGCCCCTATCCTTAGTGGGTGCATCTGCCCATTCCAGGTGTAATTGTAGCTCCTTACAGTTTCTTGTAAGCAGAGGCACTAACAGAGGACAGGCCCTCCTCCTCCTGCTTTCTGAGCACGCCCCACTCTGGAACGGAGCCATTTCAAATAAACCTGCTTCTCTCACTGTGCTCTGTGGCTCACCCCAAATTACTTCCTGCACAACATCCAAGAACCTGCTCTTGGGGTCTGGATCAGGACCCTCTTTCCCAGCAATACTGCAGCCCCTCCCGGTTTTGCGTTCAATTGATTTGCAAGAGTGGCTCAGGGAACTCAGGGAAACACATTTGCAGTTAATTATAAATGGATACACGCGAGAGGCACAGGGCGCCGTCTCCCGGAAGGGGTGGGGAGCTTCCATGCCGCCCACGTGGCCCCTCCAGGAAACCTCTATGTGCTCAGCATTCCTGCCCCCAGGGCATGGGACTGATCCTCTCTGAATGAGCCTCTTTGGGCCCATGATCAGAAAGGAGAGGGAGTACTGGAGACCTGCCTTGGGGCAGGTGAAAGGGGAGCAGGAGATGTCACAGAGATTCCATTTCTACCCACAACTGTAACAAGGGCCATGGAGTCCTGACCGGGCCGAATGCCAACTCTCCCCCCACACATCTACCTCCTTCTTACGTAGCAGCACTCCTTCTCACACAGCACTCCCTCCTCCTCCTCACACAGGACTCCCTCCCCCCTCACACAGGACTCCCTCCCCCTCACACAGGACTCCCTCCTCCTCCTCACACGGCACTCCCTCCTCCTCACACAGGACTCCCTCCTCCTCCTCACATGGGACTCCTTCCTCCTCACACAGGACTCCCTCCTCCTCACACAGCACTCCCTCCTCCTCACACAGGACTCCCTCCTCCTCCTCACATGGGACTCCTTCCTCCTCACACAGGACTCCCTCCTCCTCCTCACACGGGACTCCCTCCTCCTCACACAGGACTCCCTCCTCCTCACACGGGACTCCCTCCTCCTCACACGGGACTCCCTCCTCCTCACACAGGACTCCCTCCTCCTCACACGGGACTCCCTCCTCCTCACACGGCACTCCCTCCTCCTCACACAGGACTCCCTCCTCCTCCTCACACAGCACTCCCTCCTCCTCACACGGGACTCCCTCCTCCTCACACGGGACTCCCTCCCCCTCACACGGCACTCCCTCCTCCTCACACGGCACTCCCTCCTCCTCACACAGGACTCCCTCCTCCTCACATGGGACTCCCTCCTCCTCACACGGCACTCCCTCCTCCTCACACGGGACTCCCTCCCCCTCACACGGCACTCCCTCCCCCTCACACAGGACTCCCTCCTCCTCACACAGGACTCCCTCCTCCTCACACAGCACTCCCTCCTCCTCACACAGGACTCCCTCCTCCTCCTCACATGGGACTCCTTCCTCCTCACACAGGACTCCCTCCTCCTCCTCACACGGCACTCCCTCCTCCTCACACGGGACTCCCTCCTCCTCACACAGGACTCCCTCCTCCTCACATGGGACTCCCTCCTCCTCACACAGGACTCCCTCCTCCTCCTCACACAGCACTCCCTCCTCCTCACACGGGACTCCCTCCTCCTCACACAGGACTCCCTCCTCCTCACATGGCACTCCCTCCTCCTCACACAGGACTCCCTCCTCCTCCTCACACAGCACTCCCTCCTCCTCACACGGGACTCCCTCCTCCTCACACGGGACTCCCTCCTCCTCACACGGGACTCCCTCCTCCTCACACGGCACTCCCTCCTCCTCACACAGGACTCCCTCCTCCTCCTCACACAGCACTCCCTCCTCCTCACACGGGACTCCCTCCTCCTCACACGGGACTCCCTCCTCCTCACACGGGACTCCCTCCTCCTCACACAGGACTCCCTCCTCCTCCTCACACAGCACTCCCTCCTCCTCACACGGGACTCCCTCCTCCTCACACGGGACTCCCTCCTCCTCACACAGGACTCCCTCCTCCTCCTCACACGGCACTCCCTCCTCCTCACACGGCACTCCCTCCTCCTCCCACACCAGAGCAGAGAGATCATAAGACTGGGACGGGCCTGCTGTCATGCGGAGGCTTTTGTTTTTTTAATTTTTAAAATTTTAAACCAGGCAACCTCCGAACCAGAATAGGTTCAGGGAGACTTCCATGACTAAGAGGCCTTTGGCCCTAGTTGTGGAAGACTTTTGTCCTGGTAGCGTCTCAGATGACGGGAGGAGGCTGCTGGGGCCTGTGGGGAGAAGTCCCACGGGTGAGAGTGAGCAGTGGGCCTCCAGCGAGAGGGCAGAGCCTTGAGCACTTTCCCCTGGCAGGACTGGGTTAGGCGCCTGTGGAGTTTGGGGCACGTTTGCTGCAGGCTGCCTCCCGGCTCTGTCTCGGGTCTGGACTCAGGCGTGCCTGCTGTCAGGAGGGACCTGGTTGAAGGCCTGGCCCAGCAGGCGGTGTCTGGAGCCAGAAAGCCAGATGCTGCTGCCCCATGAAGAATGAGCCGGTGGCCTTACTGCTGGGGCTGGCAGATGAGGCCACCGATGAGCTCTGCCCTGTTTTCTGGGTTCAAGAGGGAAGGAGCCACAGCTGCCCTGTGTGCTCCTAGGACGGGTCAGCCACCTGAGATCTGCCCGTGGCCACAGGCCTCATCCTGCCCTGACCTTTCTCTGGCCACGATTCAGGGGTCCTGTGGGGGAGCGCCTCTGATTCTTGG
Organism: Homo sapiens; assembly: GCF_000001405.40. Taxonomy (NCBI): domain Eukaryota; kingdom Metazoa; phylum Chordata; class Mammalia; order Primates; family Hominidae; genus Homo; species Homo sapiens. The sequence continues at coordinate 143,013,855 of NC_000008.11, read as the reverse complement.
CCTCCCCCATCCAGCCCCTGCTGCCGCTGCCTGTGTCTCTTGGAAGGCAGGGACTGTGGGGCTGGCCAGGAGGCCTGACGGGGAGTGCAGATGGCAGGACAGGGCAGGCTGGGGCGGGACGGGGCAGGCTGGGCTGGGACCTGCCTGCTGGCTCTGGTGGGAGGTAGGCTGTCTCCCAGCCTTGGCTCAGTGCGGGGAGAGCAGGCTGACTCTCTGGCTGGGCTGCCGTGAGGTGAGCTCGCTGCCTGACCTCCCTGTGTCCAGGCTTCACATTCCAACGTGCAGCTGCCAGTACTCTGCTCTCAGGCTTGGTTCCCGCCTCTCCCAGGGCACAGTCCAAAGTGCTCCCGGGGATTTCAGCATCTGCTCCCACCACTGGGGCCTTAGGCTCTTCCTGTAACTTCCACTGCCACCTTGACCCTGGCTCAACCCTGAAACCGAAGTTGGCTCCAGGCCTCCCTGAGTTGCTGCTTGTCCCTCCTCTTGGGACATCTTCCCCAACCTCAGGGGAGGCCCCTCCCACAGAGTGACTGAGACAGGTCTCAACCAGTTCAGAGGTTCACTTTGCCAAGGTTGAAGCCATGCCCGGGAAAAAGAGGCAGAAAACACAGTAGGGTGTGCAGCCCACTCCTTTTCCAAAGAGGGTTTTGGGGCTTCAATAGTTAAAGAAAGAAGTGGCCGCAGGGGAAGGAGGAAAGGAAAAAAGGGAGGGTCATATTCTTGTGAGGCTGTGATCAGTGTCCACTGCTCTCCAGGTTGCAGGTGAAAGTGGGGGCCAGAGGAACAGTTGATTTGTGTGTGTGTGTGTGTGTTTTTTTTGAGATGGAGCCCCACTCTGTTATCTAGGCTGGAGTGCAGTGGCGCAATCTCAACTCACCGCAACCTCTGCCTCCCGGGTTCAAGCGATTCTCCTGCCTCAGCCTCCTGAGTAGCTGGGATTACAGGCATGCACTACCACCACGCCTGGCTAATTTCTGTATTTTTGTAGAGATGGGGGTTTTGCCATGTTGGCCAGGCTGGTCTCGAATTCCTGACCTCAGGTGATCCACCCGCCTCAGCCTCCCAAAGTGCGGGATTACAGGCGTGAGCCACGAGCCACCGTGCCTGGCTGATTTGTTGTTCGTTTACATTTTCAGGTGAGGGAGGCCACCTGGGGAGACACGTGGCCTTCTATCTTGTAGCTGTCTGTTTAAGAACAAAAGGAAAGGCAGGGGTTTTTTTTGTTTTTGTTTTTGTTTTTTGCATGACTCAGTTTCTAAGCTTAACTTTTTCCTTTGGCATAGTGAGTCTGGGGACCCAAGATCTTATTTTCCTTTCTGTCACCCCCGCTTGGTTTTGGATTCCGTGACAGCTGGACCCGGCTTCTGCGTGGTGAGTGCCTCTGAGTGGAAACACTTGTGGTGGTGTCGTGTGTGTGTTTGAACACGTGGGGGGGATCTCTGAAGGAGTCGCTGACGGAAGTCCAGCAAGCCTCACTCAGAGAAGCCTCCTTATTTGTGTGGTCCCATTTGGTGAGCCCTGAAGGAATTGTTAGTGGAAGCTCAACAGGCCTGACTGGGGGTGTCCGTCCGCTCGTCCATCTGGCCCAAATACCACCCATTGAATTCCCAGTGAGAGGTCATCCCTCCCCACCTTGAGTGCATCAAAGACACCAGGGACCACAGGGGGCAAGTCTGAGCCTTGTGCGGTCAATGTTGGCTGCTGAGCGAGGTGACCTGTGTCTGTTTCCTTGTATTTTGCGACAGCTGGGATGGAAAATGTTAATTTTACCGGTTCCCCATGCAGCTCACTGGGCAGCATCTTGCAAAATCGAGAGGTTTTTTCCCCCTGTGATTCCATGAAGTGGAAAAAGGTGATTTTCCTTTGTGATGTGGCTTCGCCCCCATAGCTGTGGTTGGTGCTGTGAGCAGGGTCACCAGGGCAGCCCAGGGAAAGGGGACCCAAAAAACCTGGCATGCCAGCAACAGGGTAAGAATGTCTTACCGGGCTGGGCGCAGTGGCTCATGCCTGTAATCCCAGCACTTTGGGAAGCCAAGGCGGGCGGATCACCTGAGGTCAGGAGTTCAAGACCAGCCTGGCCAACATGGTAAAACCCCGTCCCTACTAAAAATACAAAAAAAAAAAAAAAATTAGCCAGGTGTGGTGGTGGGCGGCTGTAATCCCAGCTACTTGGGGGATTGAGGCAGGAGAATCACTGGAACCTGGGAGACGGAGGTTGCAGTGAGCTGAGATCACACCATTGCATTCCAGCCTGGGCAATAAGAGTAAAACTCCACCTCAAAAATAATAATAATAATAATAATAATAATAATGCCTTACCAGCCAGGCTTCTGGGCCCTCTCTCTCTGTGCATACTGGTTGAGTGAATGGTAAAAACCACTGTTTATTAATGAGAAGAAGGATTTGTGAGGCTAGTCTGAGCCTGTAGCAAATCTGGAGTACCTTGTGCTATGAATTCGTTTTTCTCTGTTGTTCTGTCATAAAGCGGGGGCACCACAGGATAAACATGAGCTCAGGACCCCTGGAAGCCCACGGCTCAACCTGGTCCGACAGGCTGGTCAGTGACAAACTTTGCTGCGGTTTCCTGGAGCAAAAACTGGAGGAAGTTTCCCTCTTGTCTTGGTTTATGTCCTTGAAAGCGTGACTTTGTGACCATGTGCAGGAATTCTCTCCTGGTCTCCACCATCTGGAGGGCAGGAATTTTCAAGTTCACGTCAGGCGGCTGGTCCAAGAGGACCAGGAGTCAGAAATGAGTTGCCTTGCTCTTCCCCTGAGTGTGTTGAGCCCTCTCAAGAGTTTTGTCTTAAAAGGTCTCGTCCCTACAGGGCTTTTACTGTCTATCGCTTTCTTCTTCTTCTTTTTTTTTTTTTGAGACAGAGTCTCACTCTGTCGCCCAGGCTGGGGTGCAATGGCGCAATCTCAGCTCACTGCAAGCTCTGCCTCCCGGGTTCATGCCATTCTCCTGCCTCAGCCTCCCAAGTAGCTGGGACTACAGGTACCCACCACCACATCCAGCTAATTTTGTTTTTGTATTTTTAGTAGAGACAGGGTTTCACCGTGTTAGCCAGGATGGTCTCGATCTCCTGACCTCATGATCTGCCCGCCTTGGCCTCCCAAAGTGCTGGGATTACAGGTGTGAGCCACCGCGCCTGGCCGCCTATCACTTTCTTAAGCCCATTTCTGAGAGTGAATTCTTGGGGATCACGGAGATGCCTGCTTTACTCCCTTTCTGGAAATACCTTTTGCTAATATGGTAAAAACCTGGAAAATTGCCATCTGGACTTTAGCGGGCTTTTTAGATTGAATTGCTGTTGGAACTGACTCCTGGGAAAGACACCAGCAGCCACCTTGTGCTACAGATCAGCTAGCTAAGGCTCTGGTGGTTCTTCGCAATAGTGGCCTGGGTTCAGTTCCTGGCTTTGGGATTGAGTCCTTCGTGGTCTAATACTTGCTGGACTTTTGCCGCTTATTGATTATTTTCCCCTCTATGGACAGCTTCTGATTTTCTGTCTTGAACTACCTTTGGGGAGATTTTAGACCTTGTAAAAATCACTTATTATCTCTTTGGAGACACTTTGAATATCTGTGGTTAAGTCATCCTCTTTGTTAAGGCTCACTGATTTACCTTTAGTAAAACAATTCAAAAGCCAGAAATATTGGCCCGTTGTCCTGGCTGAAATCTAGTAATAAAAGATTTATTATTATTATTATTATTATTTTTATTTTTGAGATGGAGTTTCACTCCTGCTGCCCAGGCTGGAGTGCAATGGTGTGATCTTGCCTCACTGCAACCTCCGCCTCCTGGGTTCAAGCAATTCTCCTGCCTCAGCCTCCCGAGTAGCTGGGATTACAGGTGCCCGCCACTATGCTTGGCTAATTTTATATTTTTAGTAGAGATGGGGTTTCACCATCTTGGCTAGGTTGGTCTCGAACTCCTGACCTCAGGTGATCCACCCACCTCGGCCTCCCAAAGTGCTAGGATTACAGGCGTGAGCCTCCATGCCCAGCCAGATTTTAAAAGGATTTTTCTTTTGAGAGCTCTATAGTTAGAAATCGACTTCATTAAAGCTGATATTTGGGCTATATTTGTGCAGATATTGTTTTAAAGCCCCTGCTCTCCCTCTAAACACTTCTTAGTCAACGGAATTCTGTCTTGATTCTTCATTTCTGTCTGTCTGTGTATTTAATGTGTCGCTTGTGGTCTTTCTATAAAACAGCTCTAATTGCCGGGCGCGGTGGCTCATGCCTGTAATCCCAGCACTTTGGGAGGCTGAGGTGGGTGGATCACCTGAGGTCGGGAGTTCAAGACCAGCCTGACCAACATGGAGAAACCCTGTCTCTACTAAAAATACAAAATTAGCCGGGCGTGGTGGTGCATGCCTGTAATCCTAGCTACTCAGGAGACTGAGGCAGGGGAATCGCTTGAACCCGGTAGGCTGAGGTTGCGGTGAGCCAAGATCGTGCCATTGCACTCCAGCCTGGGCAACAAGAGTGAAACTCCATCTCAAAAAAAAAAAAAAAAAAAAAAAAAGAGCTCTAATTAACTGAATTAAAGAAAAATAGGCTAAAAGTTGGAAGACAGCCGACAACGTAGCCAGGTGAAACAGCTGCCACCGAGGGGCAGAGACAACTGGCATGTTTCCAACAGATCTTCAGAGGGAAGGCACCAGGAGTGGACTGCGGGACACCCAGAGTGGACTGCAGGAGGACACAGAAGCTAGGCTGAAGCGGGAGGAAGCTGGGAACCCTGCACGGGGCCACTGCGCACTGGGACTCGTTACTGGTCCCCAAGACTCAGGGAGAATGGGTGAGTTGAACTGGCAAGGAGGAGCCCACTGTCATTACGGGCCTCTGGAATCCCGGCAGGAGGAGATTAACCACATGGACATTCGAGGTGGCAGAGAGAGCTGCCTAGAGAAGGTGCGGGGGCAGCAGCCAGCTGAGGCAGAGCCCGGAGGGTTTGGTGCAGGAGCGTCTGTAGTGGAGGGCCATCCCCCAGGCTCAAATTCCTCCCATAGGAGATTTTAGCCCTAGGGGAGCTGTTGTATGTGATCTTTGTGGGGTGGTCTTGCCCATCAGATGGGGCCAGTCTGACCCGAGCATGCCTTGGTCTGCTGGCCTCTCCCAGGGCCCCGGCCTGGCCACGCCTGCTTGCAGGGCAGCTCTGGGTGCCCTGGGGGCCTGCAGCATAGCTTCTGCACTGGCAGACCATGCCTGATTGGTGGAGAGCTCCAGCAGGGCAGCCCCCACATCCCTGTGCCAGCCTGCCCACTGCCTCCCACACTGTAGCTTCTCCAGGGCCCACTGTCACCCCCCATCTTGCTTTTGCCAGTGCATGTCTGTGCAGGTGGGTTTTGCTTTCCTTGCCCGCCAGTGTACCTGTGTGTTTGCACCCTGCCCTGCCATTGCTGTGGCAGGAGTACCGTTTGCCCAACGCCCCCTGCTGACTGCCATTGCAGTTGGAGCCTTGGCAGACACAGAGCCAGCCAGCCCCACCTCCCTTGCACCCCACTCTTGCACCAACACTGTTGCGGGAGTGAAACTAGGCACGGAATAGGGACCACCCTGCCTGTGGGGCACAAAGAATGCCACAGGCCTGGGCCTGCCGGTGCTCCACCTCCATCCCAACACCACCGCCAGCATGGCTGTTGCCAGCAGGGGGCCCTGCCCCCCAGGTGCTTTCGTCTGCCACTGTGGTGAACACCTGCACAGAGGCAGGCACCCCAGCACTTGCTAGCACCCTGCCACAGCCGATGAACGTGCACCCTGTGCTGCTGCCACCACGGCTGCTGGCATGTGCAAGCAAGAATGGATCCCGCTGCCACTGCACTGCAAAATGCACTGGCTGGCACCACCTATCAGAGTGTAGTGACCGGTAGTGAGGAGCACCTTGATCCCTCAGTGCAGTTGATTCCTAACCTCCGGGAGCCAGAGAACAAAGTTGGTGCCTGATACAAGTACCCCAGTTAGAGCACACAGTCTGGGAGTTGGGAACTGAGCCTTGGCCCCCTAAAATCATCCAGAAACAAAGCCAGTCAGCTGAATCCAACTTATACTACAATCAAATCCTCAAGGTCATCAAATAGGATAAAAGAAAAAAAAATCATCCAAAGGTTAGCAACTTCAAAGAGCATAGGAACATCAGCCCAAAAGATAAGAAAGAACCAGTTCAAGAACCCAGACAACACAAGCCAGAGTGCCTTCTTTCCTCCAAATGACTGCCCCACCTCTCCAGCAAGGGTTCTGAACCAGGCTGAGATGGCTGAAATGACAGAAATAGAATTCAGAATATGGATAGGAACCAAGATCATTGAGGTGTAGGGGTATGTGGAAACCCAATCCAAGGATGATAGGAGTCACAATAAAATGATGCAGGAGCTGACAGACAAAATTGCCAGTATAGAAAAGAGCATAACTGACCTGATAGCACCGAAAACCACACTATAAGAATTTCATAATGCAATCAGAAGTATTAATAGCAGAATATACCAAGTGGAGGAAAGAATCTCAGTGCTTGAAGACTAGCTTTCTGAAATAAGACAGTCAGACAAGAATGGAGACAAAAGAACTTTGAAAAGGAATGAACAAAACCTCCAGGAAATATGGGATTCTGTAATCCAAATCTGTGACTCATTGGTGTCCCTGAAAGAGATGGGGAGAGTGTAAGCAACTTGGAAGACAGATTTCAGGATATCATCCATGAAAACTTCCCCAGCCTAGCTAGAGAGGCTGCCATCCAAATCCAGGAAACTCAGAGTAAGATACTCTATGAGAAGATCATCCCCAAGACACATAATCATGAAATTCTTCAAGGTCGAAATGAAAGGAAAAAAGTTAAAGGCAGCCAGAGAGAAAGGCCAGGTCACCTACAAAGGAACACCTATCAGACTAAGAGCAGACCTCTCAGTAGAAACCCTACAAGCCAGAAGAGATTGGGGGCCAATATTCAACATTCCTAAAGAAATTCCAACCCAGAATTTCATATCTGGCCAAACTAAGCTTCATAAGTGAAGGAGAAATAAGATCCTTTTCAGACAAGTAAATGCTGAGGGAATTTGTCACCACCAGACCTGCCTCACAAGAACTCCTGAAGGCAGCACTAAATATGGAAAAGAAAGACTGTTACCAGCCACTACAAAAACATACCAAAGTACACAGACCAGTTGCACTATAAAGCAACCACACAAACAAATCTGCATAATAATCAGCTAACATGATGACAGGAGCAAATCCACATATATCAATACTAACCTTGCATGTAAATGGGCTAAATGCCCCAATTAAAAGGCACAGAGTTGCATGCTGGATAAAGAACCAATACCCATCGGTATGTTGTCTTCAAGAGATCCATTTCACATGCAGTGACATCCATAGGCTCAAATAAAAGGATGGAGAAAAATCTACCAAGCAAATGGAAAACAACAAATCAGGGGTTGCAATCCTAACTTCAGACAAAACAGACATTAAGCCGACAAAGATCAAAAAAGACAAAGATGGGCATTACATAATGGTAAAACGTTCAATTCAACAAGAAGACCTAACTATCCTAAATATATATGCACCCAACATAGGAGCACCCACATTTATAAAGCAAGTTCTTAAAGACCTTCAAAGAGACTTAGACTCTCACACAATAATAGTGGGAGACTTTAACACCCCACTGACAGTATTAGACAGATCATTAAGGCAGAAAATTCACAAAAAAATTCAGGAGCTGAACTCAGCACTGGAACAAATGGACCTGATAGACACCTACAGAACTCTCCACCCCGAAACAACAGAATATGCATTCTTCTCATTGCCACATGACACATACTCTAAGATAGATCACATGATTGAACAAAAAACACTCCTCAGCAAATACAAAAGAACTGAAATCATAACAACCAATTTCTCAGACCACAGCACAACCAAATTAGAAATCAAGACTAAGAAATTCACTCAAAATCATGCAATTATATGGAAATTGAATAACCTGCCCCTGATTGACTTTTGCGTAGATGATGAAATTAAGTCAGAAATCAAGACGTTCTTTCAAACTAATAAGAACAAAGATACAGCATACCAGAATCTCTGGGACACAGCTAAGTCAGTGTTAAGGGGAAATTTATAGCACTAAAGGCCCACATCAAAAAGTTAGAAAGATCTCAATTTAACAACCGAACATCACAACTAAAAGAACTGGAGAACCAAGAGAAAACCAGCCCCAAAGCTAGCAGAAGACAAGAAGTAGCCAAAATCAGAGCAGAACCGAAGGAGACTGAGACGTGAAAACCATTCAAAAGATCAACAAATCCAGAAGTTGGTTTTTTGAAAAAGTTAATACAATAGATAGACCACTAGCTAGACTAATACAGAAGAAAAGCGAAGATCCAAATAAACACGATCAGAGATGACAAAGGAGATATTACCAGTGGCCCCACAGAAATATAAATAACCACCAGAGAATATTATGAACACCTCTATGCACATAAACTAGAAAATCCAGAAAAAATGGGTAAATTCCTGGACATATACACCCTCTCAAGACTGAGCCAGGGCCAGGCATGGTAGCTCATGCCTGTAATCCCAGCACTTTAGGAGGCCAAGGTGGGTGGATCACTTGAGATCACGAGTTTGAGACCAGCCTGGCCAACATAGTGAAACCCCATCTCCACTAAAATATACAAATTAGCTGGGCATGGTGGTACATGCCTGTAATCCCAGCTACTCAGGAGGCTGAGGCAGGAGAATTGCTTGAACCTGGGAGGCAGAGGTTGCAGTGAGCCAAGATTGCACCACTGCACTCCTGCCTGGGAGACAGAGCAAGACTCTGTCTCAAAAACAAACAAAAAACAAAAAACTGAGCCAGGAAGAAATGGAATCCCTGAACACACCAATAATGAGCTCTGAAATTGAATCAGTAATGAATAGCTTACCAATCAAAAAAAGCCCAGGTCCAGATGGAGTCTCAGCTGAAGTATATCAGATGTAAAAGGAGAACTGGTACCATTGTTGCTGAAATGATTCCAAAAAAATTGAGGAGGAGAGACTCCTCTCTAACTCATTCTATGAAGCCACCATCATTCTGATACCAAAACCTGGCAGAGACACAGCAACAACAACAAAAACTTCAGGCCAATATCCTCGATGAACATCGACACAAAAACCCTCAACAAAAGACTGGCAAATGGAATCCAGCAGCACATCATCAAGCTTATCCACTATGATCAAGTAGGCTTTATCCCTGGCATGCAAGGTTGGTTCAACATACACAAATCAACACATGTGATTCATCACATAAACAGAACTAAAGACAAAAACCATACAATTATCTCAATAGAGTCAGAGAAAGCTTTTTATAAAATTCAATACCGCTTAATGTTAAAAACTCTCAATAAACTAGATATTGAAGGAACATACCTCAAAATAATAAGAGGCATCTCTGACAAACCCACAGCCAACATCATACTGAATGGCCAAAAGCTGGAAGTATTCCCCTGGAAAACCAGCATGAGATAGGAATTCTCTCTCTCACCATTCCGGTTCAACGTAGTATTGGAAGTCCCAGCCAGAGCAATCGGGCAAGAGAAATAAATAAAAGGCATCTTGTCCAGGCATGTGGCTCACTCCTATAATCCCAGCACTTTGAGAGGCTAAGGCAGGTGGATTGCTTTGGGCTCAGGAGTTTGAGATCAGCCTGGGTAACACAGTGAGACCTCGTCTCTACAAAAAAAAAAAAAAAAAAAAAAGCAAAAAATTAGCTGGGCATGGTGGCTTGCATCTGTAGTCCCAGCTCCTCAGGAGGCTGAATCAGGAGGATCACTTGAGCCCAGGAAGTGGAGGTTGCAGTGAGCTGAGATTGCATCACTACACTCCAGCCTGGGTGACAGAGTGTCTCAAAAAAAAAAAAAAAAAAAATTAAAAAGGCATCCAAATAGGAAGAGAGGAAGCCAAACTATCCCTGTTTGCAGACAAATGATCCTATATCTAGAAAACCCCATAGTCTTGGCCCAAAACTCCTTAAGCTGATAAACAACTTCAGCAAAGTCTCAGGATACAAAGTAAGTTTGCAAAAATCACTAGCATTCCTATACACCAACAAGAGTCAAGCTGAGAGGTAAATCAGGAATGCAATCCCATTCACAATTGCCACAGAGGAATAAAATACCTAGGACTTCAGCTAATCAGCGAGGTGAAAGATCTCTGCAGGGAGAATTACAAAACACTGCTCAAAGAAATCAGAGATGACACAAATGGAACAATATTCCATGCTCATGGATAGGAGGAATCAATATTGTTAAAATGGCCATATCACCCGAAGCAATTTATAGATTCAGTGCTATTCCTATTAAACTACCAATAACATTTTTCACAGAACTAGAAAAAACTACTTTAAAATTCATATGGAACTGAAAATTAGCCTGAATAGCCAAGGCAATCCTAAGCAAAAGAACAAAGCTGGAGGAATCATCCTACCCAGCTTCAAACTATACTACAGGGCTACAGTAACCAAAACAGCATGGTATTGGTATAAAAACAGACATATTATGGTCTGTATAGACCAAAGGAACAGAATAGAGAGCCCAGAAATAAGGCCACACACCTGCAACCATCTGATCTTCAACAAAGTCAATAATAACAAGCAATGGGGAAAGAACTACCTATTTAATCAATGGCTCTGGGATAACTTGCTAGCCATATGCAGAAGGATGAAATTGGTCCCCTATGTTTTACCACATACAAAAATTAACTCAAGATAGATTGAAGACTTAAATGTAAAACCCCAAACTATAAAAACCCTGGAAGACAACCTAGGCAATACCATCCTGGACATAGGAAATGACAAAGATTTCATGATGAAGACACCAAAAGCAATAGCAACAAAAGCAAAAATTGACAAATGGGACCTAATTAAACTGAAGAGCTTCTGCATAGCAAAAGAAACTATCAGCAGAGTAAACAGACAACTTATAGAATGGGAGAAAGTTTTTGCAAACTATGCATTTAACAGAGGTCTAATATCCAGCAGCTATAAGGAACTTAAATGACTTTACAAGAAAAAAACAACCCCATGAAAAAGTAGGCAAAGGACATGAACAGACACTTTTCAAAATAAGGCATACATGCGGCCAAGAAGCATATTAAAATAAGCTCAACATCACTGATTGTTAGAGCAATGCAAATCAAAACCACAATTAAATGCCATCTCACACTAGTCAGAATGGCCATTATTAAGAAGTCAAAAAATGGCCAGGTGCGGTGGCTCACGCCTGTAATCCTAGCACTTTGGGAGGCCAAGGTGGGTGGATCATGAGGTCAGAAGTTCAAGACCAGCCTGGCCAGCATGGAGAAACCCTGTTTCTACTAAAAATACACAAATTAGTTGGGCATGGTGGTGTGTGCCTGTAGTCCCAGCTACTCAGGAGACTGAGGCAAGAGAATTATTTTAACCCAGGAGGTGGAGTTTGCAGTGAGCTGAGATCATGCCACTGCATTCCAGCCTGGGCCACAAGAGTGAAACTCTCTCAAACAAACAAACAAAAAAAGTCAAAAAATATCAGATGCTGACAAGACAAGGTAGTAGAGAAAAAGGAATGCTTATACACTGTTGGTGGGAATGTAAATTAGTTCAACCACTGTAGAAAACAGTTTGGCAATTCCTGAAAGACTTAAAAACAGAAATAGTATTTGACCCAGCCATCCCATTACCAAGTATATACGTAAAGGAATGTAAAGTATTCTGTCATAAAAATACATAAATGTGTATGTTCACTGCAGCACTATTCACAATAGCAAAGACATGGAATCAACCCTAATGCCCATCAATGGTAGACTGGATAAAGAAAATACGGTACATATACACCATGGAATATTATTATGCAGCCATAAAAAGGAACGAGATAATATCCTTTGAAGGAACATGGATGGAGCTAGAGGCCATCATCCTTAGCAAACTTAGGCAGGAACAGGCACCAAATACCGCATGTTCTCGCTTATAAGTGGGAGCTAAATGATGAGAACACATGGACACATAGAGGGGAATAGCACACACTGGGGCCTATTGGAGGTTGGAGGGTAGGAGGAGGGAGGGGATCAGGAAAAATAAGTAATGGGTGAAGGGGTGGCCTGCCCCTCCACACCTGTGGGCATTTTTTGTCAGGTGGGATGAGAGACTGAGAAAAGAAGACACAGAGACAAAGTATAGAGAAACAATAGTGGGCCCAGGAGACCGGCACTCAGCATACCAAGGAACTGCTCTGGCACTGGTCTCTGAGTTCTCTCAGTTTTTATTGATTGTTATTTTCATTATCTCAGCAAGAGGAATGCAGTAGGAGAGCAGGGTGATAATAGGGAGAAGGTCAGCAAAAAACATGTGAGCAAAAGAATCAAGGGGAGGTACTATGCCTGGATGTGCACGTAGGCCGGATTTATGTTTCTCTCCACCCAAACATCTCAGTGGAGTAAAGAATAACAAGGCAGCATTGCTGCCAACATGTCTCGCCTCCCGCCATAGGGCGGTTTTTCTCCTGTCTCAGAATTGAACAAATGTACAATCGGGTTTTATACCGAGACATTCAGTTCCCAGGGGCAGGCAGGAGACAGTGGCCTTCCTCTATCTCAACTGCAAGAGGCTTTCCTCTTTTACTAATCCACCTCAGCACAAACCCTTTACGGGTGTCAGTTTGGGGGACGGTCAGGTCTTTCTCATCCCACGAGGCCACTTTTCAGACTATCACATGGGGAGAAACCTTGGACAATACCCCACTTTCAAGGGCAGAGGTCCCTGCGGCTTTCCGCAGTGCATTGTGCCCCTGGTTTATTGAGACTAGAGAATGGCGATGACTTTTACCAAGTATACTGCTTGTAAACATTTTGTTAATAAGGCACGTCCTGCACAGCCCTAGATCCCTTAAACCTTGATTCCATACAACACATGTTTTTGTGAGCTCAAAGTTGGGGCAAAGTGGCTGGGACAAAGTTACAAATTAACAGCATCTCAGCAAAACAATTGTTCAAGGTACAGGTCAGAATGGAATTTCTTATGTCTTACCTTTCTACATAGACACAGTAACAGTCTGATCTCTCTTTCTTTTCCCTACAAGTGGGTGCTGGGGCTTAGTACCCGGGTGATGAGATGATCTGTACAATGAACCCCCACGACACAAGTTTACCTAGATAATAAACCTACACATGTACCCCTGAACTTAAAATAAAAGTTAAGTGATAAAAGAAAAGCAAGTGCTTAAATCAAACGCTGTCAGGAAAATAGAAACTTTAATGCCTTTTAGGTCATGTGATTGATAATCTTTGAAAAATAAAGACTGTTAAAAGATGATTGCTGGGAGGCTTACCCATTTGGTCTAAATTAGGAATGCTTAGTACCATTTGCTAGATACTTTAAGGCCATAAGCTGCTTCTATGACTTTTAATAAGTGTTTGACTTGTCTGTTTTATAGCCATTAGATTCTAGGGAAGGCCTGGGGACACATGGAGTTAGCTAGGTCCCCTGGTGAGGCTGGGAAGAGTCACACATTATCTGCAGCAATCTCCTTGCCTGGGCTCTCCAATCTTATACATGGTGAAAACTGCTTCCTTACTAGGTTTTTCAGCAAAAATAAAAGTTGCTAAGAGTTAACAGCGTAACACATACTTGAGACTACTGGAGAAACAGATTTACATGCAAGGTGTAGAAGGGAAGTAGAATGTGTTCTTTGTAAAAGGTTATAAGAAGGCTTGGAAATATGTGTTTTTTTTTGTTTTTTTTTTTTGTAAAACAGAATGTAATTTTGTCTGCTGCTGCAGAGATTTTTAAGGGTTGCCCTAACCTAACAGAGAAATGGGACGAAACTGAAAGTTTAAGCAAGTCGTGAAGGGTTTGTGAAGGGTTGATCTTGTTCAGGATGTTCTGTGGATATGAGCAAGTTGGCTAGGATTTAAAGGGGATGATTTAGTTTTCCGTAGGTTGAACATTGAAATAAAAGCACACTGATGCAGGGTCAGTATCCGGGCCCGTGTGTTTGAATAACAGGGCTTTCTTAGCGAGCTGATCTGCTGTTTAACAGAAAATTATAAAACATTTATGGAAATTTTGTCTTATGTTCAAAGTAAGATTGGATAGACTTGTTTGTAAGGTTTTATTAAGAATCAGATTTGGCCTGGCGTGGTGGCTCATGCCTGTAATCCCAGCAATTTGGGAGGCCTAGGTGGGTGGATCACCTGAGGTCAGGAGTTCTAGACCAGCCTGGCCAACATGGTGAAACCCCATCTCTACTAAAAATACAAAAATTAGCCGGGTGTGGTGGTGGACGCCTGTAATCCCAGCTACTTGGGGGGCTCAGGCAGGAGAATTGCTTGAATCCAGGAGGCAGAGTTTGCAGTGAGCCAAGATCGCGCCATTGCATTCCCGCCTGGGGGACAAGAGTGAGACTTCGTCTCAAAAAAAAAAAAAAAAATCAGATTTAACATTAATAGTACATTAATGGAAAGGTGAAATTTGGGTTTCCTTTTTGAACAAGATTTTGATGTAATAGTAAAAGAGAATGAAATATTTTTGTTTGCCTTTTGAATAACAGCAGGAAAAAAGGGAGGGAAAGAGGGGACATTCAGTTGGCCTCATGCCATCTTTTTTGGGTCCTGTTTGGAAAGGGGAGTCTCCCCTCTGTCAATGAGTAAAGATTTTCCCCTTTACTTATAGTGACCTGGACTTTCATGTTGTAATATCAAATGTTTGATTAAACCTTTGATATCTGACAAACTTTCCAAAGTCAAATTCTAAAGTTAGCCTTTTTTTTTTTTTTGGAGACAGAGTCTCACTCTGTCACCCTGGCTGGAGTGCAGTGGCGCCATCCCGGCTCACTGCAAGCTCCGCCTCCCAGGTTCACGCCATTCTCCTGCCTCAGCCTCCCAAGTAGCTGGGACTACAGGCACCCGCCACCATGCCTGGCTAATTTTTTGTATTTTTAGTAGAGACAGCGTTTCACTGTGTTAGCCAGGATGGTCTCGATCTCCTGACCTTGTGATCTGCCTGCCTCGGCCTCCCAAAGTGCTGGGATTATAGGCATGAGCCACTGTGCCCGGCCTAAAGTTAGCCTTTTTAAAAATCTGGTAAAAGTCCAAAAGAGGCATATTTGGTTTATTTGGTAAAATCATACAGGAAGCATTGTCAAGTATGAAACGGTATTTGGCTTTATTTGGGCTGTATTTGTATGAATATGTTATTAGTATATGTTCCAAAATTGTGTAAGATTCCTGTAATTCAGATATATCTCAGTATGTGTTATCAGTAATAATTAGGATTGTTATGTGAAATTATTGTGTACCACAGAGATGACCAGACGTTAACTGTGGCCGTTCTGAGATTTCCTCATCCACAATTGTTTTACTTTATTTTCAAGGTGGTTTTATAATCAGCTATAGGACTCTGACAGGTGCTCTTGAAGGCAAGTTTCTAAGAACTTTGGCAGTTGTGGCATTAGAATAGAGGAGAAACTTCCAAGACTCCCACAGACAGCTAATGTGTTCCTGAATATTGAGCAGAACAGAAGTCAATTACATAGACTGAACTAAAGGAAGACGGGAGTAATCTTTTCATTGCTTTTTTGTTTGAAATGTTGCTCATTCTTTTGTTTTTCAGAGTCTAGAAAACCTTTTTTTTCTTTTGAGCTGTTTATAGCTTTTTTTTTTTGGCTTGTGAAGGGCTTTCGTTTGTTTAATACATCTGAAAAGAATGCATATACAAAAAATTGAGATATGAGAAGGCATTGGTTTAACATTAATGAATCTACAAGAATTAGGATTGGGAAGGTGGAAAAGATTACCTCAACATTTTAAGAAATTGGAAACTGCAACCAAAATAAGCTGATAAAATCCCTATTAACACTTATGAAAAGTCTTCATAAGACTCTTTCCGGTAGGGCGTGGTGGCTCACGCCTGTAATCCTAGCACTTTGGGAGGCCGAGGCAGGTGGATCATGAGGTGAGGAGATTGACACCATCCTGGCTAACACAGTGAAACCCCGTCTCTACTAAAAATACAAAAAAATTAGCCGGGCGTGGTGGTGGGTGCCTGTAGTCCCAGCTGCTTGGGAGGCTGAGGCAGGAGAATGGCATGAACCTGGGAGGTGGAGGTTGCAATGAGCCGAGATCATGCCACTGCACTCCAGCCTGGGTGACAGAGCCAGACTCCAGCTCAAAAAAAAAAAAAAAAAAAAGACTCTTTCCATGATTTTTATTAAACTAGAGAGCCTCACCTGGCTGCTGTAGGGTTCCTCATATGCAAAACAGAAATAAGGGGACTCCCCTGACTGGTCCCCATGTTGTTATGTGTTCTCCCCACCCCCAGCTTCTTAATGAAGAAGGCCTCTATCCTCCTAATGAAAGGATGTGAATCATTCCACAGATGTCTATCTTCTAGCACCACCCCTGGTATTTCCTCTACATACCAGGTCTTCAGCTGCATTCTAGGAACACCATATACTACTGAGCTGCAAATCGATGCTAAGCATGTGAGACAATGACTGACAGGGAAAAAAATTTTTAATTACAAACTCAATTCATTTGGTGCATTTCAAAGGTGCAATACTTTTCTTCATTTATTAGTGAAAGAAGTTAGAAATTAACTTCCCCCCAAAATCAGCAAATGGCAAACAAATGTCTTTGAAAGTCACAGTCACATATAGTGTGTCCTAGAAAAGAGGAGGGGCAAGACAGGCTCCACCCACTTTCATGAGTTTCATCAAATACTGGATCTACTCAAAGGTGGAGAGAAAAGGCAACTTTCAAAAAGGAGTCTGTTATTAAATGAGGCATTTACTATACTCCTTCCTGAGAGCCCCAGGTGGGGAACATGTTTTCTAAACCATATCTAGGAAGTGGAATGTGGAATCAATCCGTCCTCCTCCCCTAAGGGCTATCCACTGGTTAATGAATTAAAAAAAAAAAAGGACTAAAAAATAAACCCCACACACACTCCTCCCAAAGAAAGAGGAGACACACACACACACACACACACACACACACACTAAGATCTCCCAGATTACTCTCCAGAGTGGAACCAGGGAGCAGCTTCAACAATTCCAATTAGTCTGTTACAGAGTCATCCACAAGCATGCCTTGCTTTTAAACAAAAAAATTTTGAAGCAACAAAACAAAAACTTGTACTAATCACTTTTCTGACAATACGCAATTACTCAAAATTAACTAGTACTGGGAGGGGGAAGAGGGGGCCATACCTATGGACCTTGTCTCACACGAGTGCATGTGGGTAGGTGCAGGACATTTGTCATTATTGCAAAAACGAATTTTAATTTTTAATCTTTAGTTTGAGTTAAACATTGCTTTTAGTATGATGCTGACACCAGCTGTGCAGAAAGGGCTCTGGAGAGATGTTCCTAGCAGCACACACCTGTGGCTCTTCTTCAGTTCTGGAGGCTCCAGGGAAGCCAATATTGCTTCATCAAATACATTCCTTAGGCCTTTCTGTGTGAGTGCAGAACACACCACATACCTGACAGCCTTCAGGTCACGGATCAGCTTTTCAGCAGTCTCTGGAGTGGTGGGCTTCTGTTTGTTCTTGGCAAGTTTCTCAATAGTAGAGGGGTCATCTCTGAGATGAATTAGGGTCCCAACAAGCAAGAAATGAGTCTTTGGACAGTGGTGAGTTATCTTAGACACCCACTTTCCTTTCACATTTTCAAATGAAGATGGAGAGACCACTGAAAAACAGACTGGAAATACATCTGTTTGTAGATAACTCAGCGGTCATAATCTGTCATCATCGTCTTGCCCTGCAGTATCAAAAAGTCCAAGAGTATATGTTTCTCCACCAATCATAACAGTGACTGCATAGTTGTCAAAAACAGTTGGTACATATTTTGATGGAAATTTGTTTGTTGTGTAGGATATCAGGAGACATGTTTTACCAACAGCACCATTGCCCACAAAAACACACTTAATTGTCTGCATTGCTGAAATAAGTTTGTATCCACTTTAAATATTTCAAATCTGATGTTGACCTCAGCTTCTTCACTGGGGCATTAGCAGCACTCTACAGCTTTTCACAACTGGGTAAAGTACCCTCCTGTGAGTAAACTCTGAAGTACATTTCTGTCTACCTGATTTCTGTAGAAATTTGAAAACTATTTGCAAGTATACTTAATTTACGGCAGTATAGTTATTTGCATAAGTTCAATAAGAATGTATTTTCTTTTGTAACAGGACATAATTGGAGACACTGGTTATTTTACCAAAGCTTTGACCGGAAGGATGTACTTTTGGATACAAACAGACTGCTTTAAGGAGTCAAAGCTGACTTATGAAGTTGGCCTCATCCCTTGTCTACACAGTCACTGTACAGAGTTCCTTGCCTGTAGTATGTAAAGAATGTCACTTTCTGACAGGCTCAGGAGCCCCAAATTATCCTGGGACCTTGAGGAGAGGACATTGCCCAATTTATATAGGTATTTTCAGGCACCAATAAATCATGGCTGGGCTCAAGGCTTTAAAAAAAGTCAAATCTGGGATTCGTTATAGAATAAAGTTCCAGCAAAGCCAATTTTAAGACAGGCCTATATGGCAAATAATTATTCGTGCTGACATTATGCAAACACTCAGGCCAAGTATAAGATGAAAAATTATTTTAAATAAATTTGTCCTACTATGATTTGTCTTCAGTAAAAACAGGTACTGGGCTGGGCATGGTGGCTCACAGCTGTAATCCCAGCACACTGGGAGGCCAAGGCAGGCAGATCGCTTGAGGTCAGGAGTTTGAGACCAGCCTGGCCAACATGGTGGTGAAACACCATCTCTACCAAAAAATATAAAAATTAGCCAGGTGTGGTGGCATGTGTCTGTAATCCTAGCTACCCAGGAGGCTGAGGCATGAGAATTGCTTGAACCCAGGAGGTGGAGCTTGCCTGAGTCCTGGTAAGGCACAGACAGAAAGGGTTGTCAGCCATTTTTTTCTGAGGTTATAAGATCTGCAACTTCCCCAGTTATTCCTGCAGATAACACCACTATTGTAGATTGGCTTTTTGAGAAATCTTTTCCAGTGTTTGTGCATGACCGTGGCTCCACCTGGACCCACCTGGACCTGCCAATCCCACTCGTGTGACCCCACCCAGAAGTGACTCAGTCCTTAGGACTCAGCGTTGACCCCCTGTGATTTCATCTCTGCTCTAAGCAATCAGCAGCAAGCACCTATTACCTGGCCTCCCCAACTCCTTCCCCTAAAACTGTCTTTGAACAACCCCTAACCTGTGAGTTTTGCATGAGGTTGTTTGAGTGCTAACTCCATCTCTGTAGCGTGGCCAGCCTTTTGTCTATTAAACTCTTTCCTTATTGCAATGCCATGGTCTTTCTTTATGCAGCAGGCAGGAAGAGCCCCTTCAGTGTTTACAAAGTCTTACCTGCACAGAGAGGTCCCAGAGAGGCTGGCTGGGCACTGGGGATCTGGGGCTACCGTTGTTGATGGTCAATGAGACATGGAGTGGGAGCCTCCCACCCTGACATACCTAAAGAAGACACCACCTCCTATTTGGCAAAAGGTCCTTTCTTCCCACCAGCCTCACACTCCTGGTCCTGACGGCCACCTCCTACCGTGCTAGGGTCCCACACCCTGGGCTTCCTCCACACCAGTCAGTGGTTGGTGTTGGTGGGGAATCTTAGAGTCACCCTCTCAGACTCCCACTGAGGGGGACTGGTCTCCCTGTCCCTGGGGCTAGCCTGGAGCTGGGCCTGCCAGTGGTCACCTGTCTGAGCATGGGTTAGGAGGCTGGGAGGGCTGCCCACCACTCCAGGGCCTGCCTCCAGCTGCCTCCAGTTGCCTCCAGCTGCCTCCAGTTGCCTCCACCCTCAGGCACTCCTGGCCCCATGGTGCTTGAACAGGGCAGGGCAGGCTAGCTGGCTGAGGGCAGGGGGTTCCACGTCAGCGTTCTGAGGACTAAACTCTGGCCCTTTTTTCTTCTTTTGCCCAAATTCCTACCTAAGAGGCCTGGGGAGTGTGCCCTACAGACCGTAGAGTCTCTCAAATGGGTTTTATTTAACCCCACATAACACGGCTGCCTTTCCAGCCTGACTGTGGTGTAGCATCACATGACGGACAAGGAAGGAAATGAGGTATTTTAAATGCATATACGTTTATTTGCCATATCTTGAAGTAGCCGTGCAAAGTTGTCTCTTGTGGGAGAAACATCTACAGTCTGTAGAGAATCCCCTTCTTCTGAGGCCTTTTTCC
This sequence comes from Homo sapiens, assembly GCF_000001405.40. NCBI lineage: Eukaryota > Metazoa > Chordata > Mammalia > Primates > Hominidae > Homo > Homo sapiens. The sequence goes on along the minus strand of NC_000008.11, from coordinate 142,993,640 downwards.
TGACCCAGGAGAGAATCAGCTAAGGGACTGACACCCTTTTAGATCTGATAAGAAACATTTACATTCCATTCTCCCTGAAGCCTGCTATCTGGAGGCTTTACCTGAATGAGAAGAATCTTGGTGTCGCAATCCCTTATCTTAACCCAGACATTCCTTTCTATGGATTCCAAGTCTTTTTTTTTTTTTTTAGACAAGTCTTGCTCTGTTGCCCAGGCTGGAGGGCAGTGGCGCGATCTTGGCTCACTGCAACCTCTGCCTCCTGGGTTCAAGCGATTCTCCCATCTCAGCCTCCTGAGTAGCTGGGATTACAGGTGTGTGCCACCACACCCAGCTAATTTTTGTATTTTTGTAGAGATTTCTACAAAAATGTCAACACGGGGTTTCACCATGTTAGCCAGGCTGGTCTTGAACTCCTGACCTCAGGTGATCTGCCTGCCTTGGCCTCCCAAAGTGCTGGGATCACAGGCGTGAGCCACTGAGCCCAGCTACAAATGATTTTTTTTTTTTTTTTTGAGACGGAGTCTTGCTTAGTCACCCAGGCTGGAGTGCAATGGTGTGATCTTGGCTCACTGCAACCTCCACCTCCTGGGTTCAAGTGATTCTCCTACCTCAGGCTCCCAAGTAGCTGGGATTACAGGCACCTGCCACCATGCCTGGCTAATTTTTGTACTTTTAGTAGAGATGGGGTTTCACCATGTTGGCCAGGCTGGTTTCGAACTCCTAACCTCAGGTGATCTGCACGCCTTGGCCTCTCAAAGTGCTGGGATTACAGGCGTGAGCCATGGCGACCAGCCATACAAGTGAATTTTTAAAGGCAAAAAGGGGGCAGAGTGTGGCTGATATAACGTTGTTTGTCAGGAATTCTGATTGGTTCACAGAAGTGACATTGCTGGGTGATTGGCTGGACATGGTTAAGCTCCAGGGTGTGGGTTTTCGTTTCCAGTGTGGCATTATCAGGTGAATTCATAGCTGCTGGCAATGGCAACCACCGGAGATGAGTCCATAGCTCAAGGTAGTAGAAGGAAGCACCTGCTGTCTCATGTCAGTATCTCTCTGGGCCTGATAATAGAAAAAGACTCACATTTCTCAGATAATAGTTCTTTTCTTTTCTCACTCCCAGCAGGGTGAGTGGCAGCCTGCTTCCCAGACACCATTGGGCACACAGCCAATTGGAGGGGGAGAGGACCCTGCATTTGAAGCAGGAGCTGGCCTCTGTTGATGCAGGTTCAGTACAGCCCCAGCCCCTTCCTTCCTGCTTGCAGGGACACAGAATCCCTGCAGTTCCCTTTTCCCTGCCCCCACCCACGCCAGCTGGGCTCTGCTATGGCTCAGGGTGGCTCCTCCGGGTCCGCTCTGGCCTTGGGAAGACCCTGCAGGCTTCCTGTGGCTGCTCTCCCCACAGTGCTGACCCCCAGCACCTGATGAGGATGGTTTGCTTGGCCAATCTGTAATCAAGCTTCTGAACCTTCCCCCAGGCCCATCTGTGCCTTTCCTCTACGATTCAATTTTAGCAAGAATCCTGCTAAGTCAGTTTAGCCCAAAACCTGCAGCCTCGATGTCTGATCCCTCTCACGTCTGATGGGGTTTCTCATCCTTTACCCAGGGCCAACCTGGGAGACTGAAGCAGGGGTCTCCATCAGCTGAAGCTTGTTGAGCCACAGCTTGAGGGCATGGTCGGGAAAAATGTGGGCCCAGAAGCTTCTGTGGCCCGTGTCCTCTGAGGAGGTCTGTAGGGGGCTCAGTATAAACACGTTTCTTTAACCGGGAGAAGGAGCGCAGGAAGAGGGGGCAGGCGTTTAGGCAAATTGGTTTCATTAACGAGTGCCCAACAGTAATCCGTGGGCAAACATTGCTGGGGATGAGGGGAGGCAAAGGAAGAGTTAATCCTGCTGACCTCTGGTCTCAGGTAGGCAGAGGAATCTCACCTGGCCTTTGTTCTGCACCTGGGAAGGTCCGCTTGGAATCCAGCTTGTCGGTGTGCATTCTAACAGACTAGCTTTGGGGACCGGGTGTTGCAGGCTAAAGTTGCAGTTGAGGTGTTCTTTTCTTGTTTATGGAAAGATAAACATCTTGGAAGGTTGGGCCAGCAAAGAGTGCTATGAATGTGGAGGCTATGGTCGGCCTGGGGCCCTGCCCCTCTCCTCAGCTCCTGGGGGCTGTCAGAACACCCGGTGCTTCCAGTTGCTCAGGGAGCGCCCAGGGTCACTGCTTTGTTCTTGGAGGCCTTAGCTGCTCCCTGCCTTGGGCCTGCTCAGGGGCCCCAGGCCTGCCCAGCAAGTCTCCCCAACTGGAGTCTTGGGGTTCCTTTCCTCTAGAAGGCAAATCTGCTCTTTGGAGTTTCCTGGGGTTGGGAAGAATGCCCGCCTGTGCTCACCTGCTGCTGTGGGTGGAGGCTGTGGGTGGAGGCTAGGGAGGCTGTGGGTGGTGGGTGGAGGCTGTGGGTGGTGGGTGGAGGCTGTGGGTGGTGGGTGGAGGCTGTGGGTGGAGGCTGTGGGTGGTGGGTGGAGGCTGTGGGTGGAGACTGGGTGGAGGCTGGGTGGAGGCTATGGGTGGTGGGTGGAGGCTGTGGGTGGAGACTGGGTGGTGGGTGGAGGCTGTTGGTGGTGGGTAGAGCCTGTGGGTGGTTAGAGGCCATGGGTGGAGACTGTGGGTGGTGGATAGAGGCTGTGGGTGGTGGGTGGAGGCTGTGGTTGGAGGCTGTGGGCGGTGGGTGGAAGCTGTGAGTGGTGGGGTGGATGCTGGGGAGGCTTTCCTGGACAGAAAAAGCGCTGAGTAGCACCCCTGAGGCGCAGCGGGAGAAACCTCTCTTTGTGCGGTAGCCAGGGGCGGGACAATGTGGGGTTGCCCATGTAGGTTATGAGACTGGAACCACATATTCCAAACACGGGTTTCACGAGGCCAGGCCCAGTGCACTGTGAACCCATCCTTACACACACACACACACACACACACACACACACCACAAATGCATACCTACCAAACGCATAGACACACAACACAAATGCACACCTACCAAACACACACACGCACACCTACCACACACCCATACACCCACATTGCACACACATGCACACCTACCACACCCCCACACACATGCACCCCTACCACACACCTACACACCACACACATGCACACCTACCACACACACACCACACACATGCACACCTACCACACCCACACACACCACACACATGCACACCTACCACACACCCACACATTCACACCACACACATGCACACCTACCACACACACACACCACACACATGCACACCTACCACACACCTACACACACCACACACATGCACACCTACCACACCCACACACACGCACACCTACCACACCCACACACCACACACATGCACACCTACCACACCCACACACCACACACATGCACACCTACCACACACCCCCACACATATGCACACCTATCACACCCACACACCCACACCACACAGATGCACACCTACCACACACCCACACACCACACACATGCACACCTACCTCACACCCCCACACACACCACACACATGCACACCTACCTCACACCCACATACACACCATACATAAACGTGCACGCCCATCATACCCACACACTGACACACACATTTGTGCACGGGCACACCACGCACACCACAGCACATCACATGCATGCATGTGTACACACGCTCCCCCCATGCATGGACGTGCTGTGAGCCTGGGAGCCAGGCTCTTGGTGCACTGTGTCAGGGGTGTGTAAAATGAAAGCTTTTTGAATTAGACACACAGGTGGCCATTCCAGAGCCCTCCTGTGCACATGTCATGTCGCGTTCAGTCACTTAGCGCTGTGGACGTCCCAGCTCAGAGACGGCAAGGAGCCCTGCATGGGTTCGCCCGCGACGGCGTGCTGGCTTGGTTGAGACTCAGAGGCTGGGATGTCCAGAGGCGGCCCCACTACATCCATTCTGCCCTCTGTGGGCACACCTTGCTCTCCCGCAGAGACTAGAAAGCCAAACACGTTTCCCAAACTCCTTTCAGCAGAGTGTCTGGAAGTGGCTTCGGTGCTGTCGAGCGATGCTAGGTTTATGGTTTGGAAGGAGGGCGCTCCTGTCTCTGTCGGCGTGCGACACATCCCCAACTTACAGCTGAAAACAGCCATCTTATTTTGGTCATATTTTAGGGTGAGGAATTCGGGGAGGGGTCTTTGGGGCAATTCTTTCCTGAGTCTGTCATATGAGTGTGTTCAGAAGTCACTGGGCTGTGAGTCCAAGATGGGACACCCATGAGGCTGGAGCTCTGGCGGGGCTGTTGCCTGGACGCCACACATGGTGTCTGCAGAGTGGCGCTCACAGGGTGCTGGGCTTTTCCGCATGGGGCTGGTCTCCTCTCGTGGAGCCTCCGAAGATGTCAGGTGGGAGCTGCAGGGCGTTTCTGACGTGGCCGCAGGAGCCCTGTGCCTCCACTCCCTTCTCAGACCTCACCTCTCCGTGGGACAGCCCCACAGAACTTGCAGAGCTGTTAAAGGCTGTTGCAGAGGGAGGTGGCACCCTGGGGGCCGCAGCAGCCCGGGGAGTGTGGCTCCCCCGCAGGCGTGGAGACTGGGCTCTAGGTGTTTCTGGGGCAACTCAAGCGGAGATTCTGGAGACGCTCACATCTGCTGGAATGCAGGCTTTTCGTTCGTAGAAACAGCAAGCGGCCATGAGTGTGATTAATTGGGAATTGGAGGTGAGTAGAGGGTTTCACGGTCTCCTAAACCAACCTGAGGAAACAGGTGGTCATTGTTGGCATTTAACTGTGAGTATTTCCAAAGCCCGCCGTAGATTGAAACTCACTGCCGTAGCTGTGCAGGGTGTGGACAGGATGGGGATGGGGGTTGGTCTCAGTAGGGAGGCAGGGTCCCCGTTTTTACTAACATCAGATTTACAGGATCAGCTCGACAAACAGACTGCTTTTTTCTGGCTGGCTGAAAATAAATGGGAGAGAGAAAATAAAACAATACTGGTGCATTAGTTATCTATTGTCACATTAAAAGAATTGCTCTGAAACTTAGAGGTTTACAACGTCAAAAAGCATTTACGATCGCAGTTTCTGTGGGTTGTTCAGAAAAGCCTGCTGGGTGGCGCTCTGTGGCGAGCAGGTCTATGCCACTTACCCACAAAGGCTGAGGGAGCTGAGAGGCTGAAGAAAAAGGCCGACAAATCCTGTTTCTCAGAAAGAAACATTCAACAGTGCGATGGGAGCAGAAGCCACGGTGCGGGCGGCCGCGAGATCCATGCATTGCTACCCGCGGACCCAGGGCTTAGGTAGCAGAGGGAAAGGGAGCGGGAGCTTCAGAAGGATGTGTAAGACAACTGGCCTACCCCTCAGGAAGAAGCAAGAATGCCGCCTGCTGGTCCACCCTCAGGAGAAGGCAAGAATGCCACCTGCACCGCAGCCTGTAACTCGCTTAAGGGCAGGATTTTGTGTTTACAATAACATTAAGGTTGTTTTGACCTAAGGACCCAGAACTAGGGTTCATCGGAAGTCCACATGGCGGGTCAGCATCCAAGATGGAGTCATTTTAGCCTTCGCCACAGGTGGTTCCGGCTGCGTGAGGCTAGATGTTGTCTGGGGTGAAGTGGTCCGAAGGCTCGGCTAGGGCTGGAGGACCCATCTCCTAGATGGTGCACTGTGCTGCCGGCAGGCAGATGCTGCCCTTTGGCGGGAGGCCTTGGATTCTTGGCACGTGGTCATCTCTGCACGTCTTCGCTGAGTGTCCTCATGGGTGGCCTCTTCCTCCACGCAGGGATCCCAGAGAGCACAGCGGAGGCTGCAGTGTTCTTTGCAGCCTCATGTCTGAAGTCACACAGTGTCACTCTGCCACATTCCATGTGTGGGGTGTGAGCCTCTAAGGCTGATTCTGCCTTTAGAAAGGAGGGGTATCAAAGACGTCGGAACATATTTCAACAAAGACATGACTATAAAAAATAAAATGATTAAGTGAATTATATCATATGTATAATTTTATGGCAAGAAATGTGAAAATTGAGAGGAAATACATTACCAGAATAAGTGGAAAACTTGGGTAAATCAAAAAAGGAAGAAATTGGCAAGTCCATTTAACATTTGTTAGTGCAAAATGTGCCAACACCAAATGGTTTTAAAGCTGACTTCTTCCTCATTGGTAAGGAACAAGTTCTTCTAGTATTTTAAAAAATATTCCAGAAAATAGAAAAAGGTGAAAATTTTTCCAATTCATATTATATAGCTAATGTAACTTCGTATCAAATTTTGATATAGTATGAGAAAAATATTCCAATTTATTTTGTAAAATGGACGCAAAAATCCAAATAAAATATCATAAATTTGTACACAGTCATTTATTAAGGAACAGCACACCATAGTCAAGCTTTGATTGCATACATGTAACAGTGACTTGATATTAGGAAGCAGAATATAATACATTACATCAGTACACTAAAGTACACAAATCATGTAATTATGTTGTAATTAGTGAAAAAAGTACTTGACGAAATTTAGCAGTCATTTCTCATAAAATCTTCTATTTAAAATAAAAGGGGGCCGGGTGTGGTGGCTCACGCCTGTAATCCCAGCACTTTGAGAGGCCAAGGTGGGCAGATCACTTGAAGTCAGGAATTTGAGACCAGCCTGGCCAACATGATGAAACCCATCACTACTAAAAATACAAGAATACAAAAATTAGCCGGGCGTGGAAGCACATGCCTTCAGTCCCAGCTACTCGGGAGGCTGAGGCAGGACAATCGCTTGAACCTGGGAGGCAGAGGTTCCAGTGAGCCGAGATCACGCCACTGCATTCCAGCCTGGGCGACAGAGTGAGATTCTGTCTCAAAAAAATAAAGTAAAATAAAATATGGAATTTAAATAATGCACCTACAAATCACACCTACTTTTTCAAAAAGGACAGATAACATATTAATTGATGAAATATTAGTGATCAGCATTAAAGCTGCGAAAAAGTCAGGGATGCCTGTCTCACTGCTACCCCTCAACCTGCATTTGGGGATCCTCATGGCAGATGAAGGCAGGCAGATGCAGTAGAGATTGTGCACGGTAGGCCAGAAGTGCTGACATTCTCCCCTCCCTGCAGAAGACAGGGATGCCCATCGAGAAGATCCAAAAGCTTCATTCATCTGATAACCTACAGAACCAATAAGATGCTTTGAGTAAGTGATTGAACATATAAAATTGCTTTTATGTACTGGCAACAACCAGTTATCATAGAAATTGAAATAATAACAATGAATTCTACATGTAACAGAGTCAAAAGCAACAAAATAATGCCTAAGAATATGTTTAATAGATGGCAAGATGACGAACCAGCACTGGCCACCGGCCCCTTGCCCCAGATCAACCCTGGGCAACGGCAGAAGGACACCCTGCCTAGCCCTCTTGGGGGTGGGGCTGGAGGCCAGGCTGGACACCCATTATATAGGATCTGAAAGTTCTTCTGAGGTAGGGCACGGCACACTGACACTCCAGAGATGAAAAGCAGAGCACTCTGTCACTTACAGCTCCAAACGAGGAAGGCGTCCAGGCAGGGCTGCATGAGGCACCCGGGGACAGGGTAGCAGACAGCTGGGGCTGCCGGGTGGCTGGTGTGTGGACAGCAGGTGGGGTGGCTGGGTTTCTGGGGCTCCCTGTGGATTGGCTAATTTGGGTGATTTTGAGCTCTGGGTCACAGGGCTGTCCCTGATAGTCTGGCCCTTGGCCCTGGGGCAGATTTGGACAAATGTGCAGTGGCCTGGAGTGTGAGGGGCCAATGAGGAGGTGGTTGGGTGTGGACTTAACTGGCTGCTCAAGGAGGGAACTGACCGGCCTCTAGGGCCTCAAAACTGGGTCAAGACAGCACATCAGTAATAATAAAACCCAAGATCACCCCACCAAGGCCAGGAGGGCAGGGTGTGTCCCAGAATGGAGGCGACTGGCCCCGGCACAGATGCACCTGCTGCCTGTGGGGTCAGGGTGTCTGCAGGCACTTCCCGATATCCACCCCTTGGATCTCTGGGTCTCACCTCCAGGGACCCAGCCTTGGTGCACAGACCTGCCTTGGCTGAGCATTAGAGCTTCCTGGGCTCGCACTCTGTTGTGTTCTGACTGCCCCACAGCTTTGCCCATCCTCTGCAGGGGCCCATGCCTTCACACTTGTCCTGACGCTTATGCACCTCCTGGTGTTCTCATTATCCCCTGTAGGGTTAGTGTGACTTGATGACGGCTAGCGCATGGCTGTCCCTATAGGCATTTGCCCCCAAGACCCTCCAGGCCGCTTAACCATCACATGGGCTAAAGCATAGTCCTTCCCGGGGTGCTTGCTCAGGCCACCGCCAGTGAACCCTCCGTGACCAGCCCCTGCCTTGAGCCAGGGACCATCCAGGTCCCACCTTCCACTCCAGGTGGCCCTCCCTTGCCAGGCAGGCCATGGCTGGCTGGTCTCAAAATCCCACTTGCTGTCTGCTTTCTCCCTTCCCTTTCCTCCCCCTCCCCTTTTTTTTGAGATGAAGGCTCGCTCTTGTGCCCCAGGCTGGAGTGCAATGGCACGATCTCCACTCACTGCAACCTCCGCCTCCCTGGTTCAAGCGATTCTCCTGCCTCAGCCTCCCGAGTATCTGGAATTATAGGTGCTTGCCACCACGCCTGGCTAATTTTTGAATTTTTAATAGAGATGGGGTTTCACCACGTTGGCCAGGCTGGTCTTGAACTCCTGACCTCAGGTGATCCGCCCACCTCAGCCTCTGAAAGTGCTGGGATTACAGCCGTGAACCACCGCGCCCGGCCTTGCTGTCTGTTTTCTTGGCCCATGGCCTGCTAGGACCCAAGAAGGATGTTGCATAGAAAGAGTTTCCAACTTCAGCACAGTTCTAAAAAAGCCTCAGCCAGCCATCAGGTTGCCTTCAAGCCAAAGATGCCCACCAGAGGACTCTTGCCATGGGCAGGAAAACAGCCAGCTCGAGTACCCTCTCTTGCCCTGTCCTTGTCGGGAGCAGCTGGAGGAAGCCCCAGGTTCAGTCCAGCCAAGGAGGTTCCTCCTGCACCCTCTTGGAGAGAGGTCTTGTGGCCACACGCAGCCAGCAGGGAGCAGCTGTGAGCTGCAAGCATCAGGAATTCATGCCAGTCTTTGCTGCCTTTATCCCTTGCGTGTTAATGTACTTGTAAAATCTCTCCTAGGGAATGCAGCCAGTTCACCTCTCAGCATCCCAAGTGGGAAAGGAGAAAAATCAGCTGGCCTGTCCTCATCCCCGGTCCCTGGGGGATCTGGGGGATAAAGAATAGAGGAGCTGCCAATCCTAGAGAACACTGGCTGTCCCTGTGTCCCTTCTGAGATGGGAGAGGCCATGTGGGGTGAACTTACAGGCTTGGGCTTTTGAAACAATTCAAACGGTGAGGCCTCACCAGTAGAGGGCAGAGAAACTACGGCAAGTTCTGGATTTTACCTTGAGTACTGCTATTATTTATTTATTTATTTATTTACTGAGATGGAGTTTCGCTCTTGTTGCCCAGGCTGGAGTGCAATGGCGCAATCTTGGCTCACTGCAAACTCCGCCTCCCAGGTTCAAGCGATTCTCCTGCCTCAGCCTCCCAAGTAGCTGGGATTACAGGCATGCACCCCCATACCCAGCTAATGTTGTGTGTGTGTGTGTGTGTGTGTCTATATATATACGTATATATATATACACACATATATATATATACGTGTATATATGTGTGTATATATATGATACGTGTATATATATATATATATATATATATATATATTTTTTTTTTTTTTTTTTTTTTTTTTTTTTTTTGTAGAGACAGGGTTTCACCATATTGGCCAGGCTGGTCTCGAACTCCTGACCTCAAGTGATCCCCCTGCCTTGGCCTCTCGAAGTGCTGGGATTACAGGTGTGAGCCACCACGCCCAGCCTTGAGTACTATTATTTAATATCCTTTGAAATAAAAGATAAAAGAAGAGAGAATTTTAAGAGGTTTTCATTTTTGACAAAAGTTTGAGCTAGAAGATACTTGAAAAAGTTGAATTCTTTGAAAAGTACGCTGAATTTACAACAAGCAAAGGGGAATCTGGGGGGTGAATTGATACCGCACAACAAAGAGGGCATTGGGATCCAGGACCGTTTGCCTGCAGCGTTGCAGGGGTCTGGTGTGCTTAGCCAAGGGTCTTGGGGACAAGCTCTGGCCTTGGGGGGCGTAAAACTGAGACCTTGCAGGAAGCAGGACTTTGGAAGGGCCACGCTGTCTCTGCAGGGGGGACTACAGAAACCTCTACCCTGCAGAACAGGGAACGAAAAGGGATTTTGCCTGTATCGGCCTGGCTTCTGGGTAGGAAAAAAAACAACTGCCCTGAGATGTACACACAGGCCTGAACTTCAGATGGCTTTGGGGTTGGAGTGGATGCTGCCTGCATAATTGCAGAGGTGCCAAGCCAATAAATCACACCAAAGTGTGGTCTTGCCTTAGTGACATCCCTGCGGCTCCTGGGGAAAGAAGATGAGACCTGGATATGAAGGGAAAGGAATCCCCTGAAATAGGGGCTCCCAGAAGACAGCTTCAAGATTCATGATTTCAAAACTCATTAGGTAACACACCCACTGAGGGCGACATGTTGTAGGCACAGCAAAGGGCAGAATTTGTTCCATGAGACCGCGGAATAATAGCACTTTGGAGAGGCACTGCATGATACATAGTTTTAAATAATTGGAGACGTAAAAGAATAAACTGGGAGCCTGGGCGCAGTGGCTCATGCCTGTAATCCCAGCACTTTGGGAGGCCAAGGCAGGCTGATTGCCTGAAGTCAGGAGTTCAAGGCCAGTCTGGCCAACATGGTGAATCCCCATCTCTACTAAAAATACAAAAAAAATTAGCCAGGTGTGGTGGCGGGCGCCTGTAATCCCAGCTACTTGGGAGGCTGAGGCAGGAGAATCTCTTGAACCCAGGAGGTGGAGCTTCCAGTGAGTTGAGATCGCACCACTGCACTCCAGCCTGGGCGACAGAGCGAGACTTCATCTCAAAAAAAAAAATAAATAAATAAACTGGGAACAAGATAAAATAGACAAGATTCCAAGGTATAAAAACAGGAGTATTTGAAAGAAAAAGCAAACAATCATGTGAGTTCTTGTATTAAAAGCTACATGTTTATTTTCTGTGCAGGGAAGAGTGTATCACAGCCATTGGGAACTTTCTTCACCCATCAAAGCCTCAGGGCTGAAGCATCCTGAACAAGAACTCAGGAGAGTGAAAGAAACAGTTACCTGTCGGCTGCAGCTGGTACCAGCTCCCCACCCCGTACAGAGACCGAAGCGTCCTCTCTCTCCCCATCACCCAGCACCAGACTCTGCCCCGCGACCTCAGCCTGCACCTGCTTCCTGGCTCCATCCAGCCTTCCAGCCTCACTAGATCATCATGGGCCACTGGCCAACACACAGGGCAGTGCCGAGCCCAGGCCGTGGTCACACATGGCTGGGTTAGTAGCTGAAAACATTGTTTTTCACTGGCCTCACAGTAATGGCACCTGCCCCCATTTTCTGTGATTGAATTTTTGGATCCTGCTACCAGGTTATGATAGATTTTATGGTATGTCTCAAGATATTGAGATAAAGGTAATAAAACAGCTATAAAGTCCTGGCTCAAGAAGTGTTACAAACCCAAGCAGGGTAAATACAAGAAAACTGCACCCAGACACAACATAGTAAAATTGCTGAAAACCAAAGATGAATAGAACACTTAACAGTTGGAGGAAAAAAGCCACATTACCTTCATAAGGACACCAATCACACTAACATCTGACTTCGAAATAGAAATATAAAAGCCAAACTACAAGGGAATGTGATCTTCAAAATATTGAAAGAATTTAATTGTTAAGTGAAATAATTAACTGCCAACCTAAATTCTATTCCTAGTGGAAATACTCTCCAAGAATAAAGGTGAAATAAATACAGACTCACACAAGAGAAATCAAGAGCGTTCTTCCTCAGGAGACATGAGCTGATTGGTATAGAAGAGGTGTTTGAAACGTCCTTAGAGGGAGGGCTAGAGACACAGGGAGGAGAAACCTTCAGAACACACCTTCCATTGAGGGCCAAAAAAGTCAACTATCGATTCTTTGAAAGTGCCCCAAACTCGTAAATCTCTGGTGATGCTGACCAAAAAAACAATGAAGGAAGGCACCCTGTGATGGGGAAGGAAAAGGGGAGATTGCTGGAGATCTGTGGATATTAAAAATAGGCACATATACACTATGGAATACTATGCAGCCATAAAAAAGGATGAGTTCATGTCCTTTGTAGTGACATGGATGAAGCTGAAAACCATCATTCTGAGCAAACTTTCGCAAGGACAGAAAACCAAACACTGCATGTTCTCACTCATAGGTGGGAATTGAACAATGAGAACACTTGGACACAGGGTGGGGAACATCACACACCGGGGCCTGTCGGGGGGTGGGGGAGGGGGGAGGGATAGCATTAGGAGATATACCTAATGTAAATGATGAGTTAATGGGTGCAGAACACCAGCATGGCACATGGATACATATGTAACTAACCTGCACATTGTGCACATGTACCCTAGAACTTAAAGTATAATGATAATAGAAAAAAAATAGAGCACAAGGAACATGCTAACAAATTTGAAAGTTTTGATGAGATGGAAAAATTCCTAGAAAATTATAACTTACCAAAACTGAAAGAAGAAAGATAAATGACCCCACATTTGTTAAATAAATTGGATCTGTCATGAAAATATTTCACACAGTGGAACCTCTAGTCACAAATGCTTCACCAGTGAATTCTACTAAACATTTAAGGAATAAATAGCACCCATCTCACACAAACTCTTCTAGAGCCGAGGCATAATGGGAACAGCAACTCCACCTGTCATGTTTCACCTCCAGGAAAACGTGATACCCAAACTCAACAGAGAAAAAATAAACTTACAGACCAGTCTCACTCATGAACATAAACAGAAATCCTCAACAAGATATTAACATATAAGACCTGGCAGTTGGCCAGGCGTGGTGGCTCACGCCTGTAATCCCAGCACTTTGGGAGGCCGAGGTGGGTGGATCACGAGGTCAGGAGATCGAGACCATCCTGGCTAACATGGTGAAACCCTGTTTCTACTAAAAATAAAAAAATTAGCCAGGCGTGGTGGCGGGCGCCTGTAGTCCCAGCTACTTGGGAGGCTGAGGCAGGAGAATGGCGTGAACCCGGGAGGCGGAGCTTGCAGTGAGGCGAGATCACGCCACTGCACTCCAGCCTGGGCGACAGAGCGAGACTCTGTGTCAAAAACAAAAAACAAATAAACAAAAAACCCTGGAAGTATGTAATGAACATATTAAATTGAATCATCTCTCTCTCTCTCCTCCTGCCTCTGTGTGTGTGCTTGTGTGTGTATATATATATATATTTCTACAAACCAATGAAAAAATGACCGGCAGCCTAGGAGGCAATATGCGTAGAATTGAACAAACACTTCACAAAAGAAGATGTCCCGTGGCCAATAAACATGAAATGGTGACCAACCTCATTAACACCAGGGAAATGCAATGCAAAGCAGAAGATACATCAGCACATTCATCAAAATGTAGAAAATTGAGGAGACCAACCACACCGAGCATTGGGGAGGTTGTGGGGCCAAGAGAGCTCTGTGCACAGCGGTGGGGAGGGCACACGTGGAAGGTCCTCCCATTGCCTGCGAGATGGCAGGGCTGGAATGTCTGTGCTGGCTTCCTTCCTCGCTCGTGGCTCTGTGGCTTGGACAGCTGCAGGCTGGCCGGAGCCGCTCCACTGGAGTCGCATTTCTGGGGCCTCAATTCCTGCTGTCAGCTGGGTTCCCCGATTTCTTTCCATGTAGCCTCAGGCTCTCTCCCTCTGCACGTGGCTTCTCCACCTGGTGTCTTTAGAGGGGCAGCTGGGCTTCATCCATGGTCACCTCTGGCTTCCAAGAGGCATAAGACAGAGCTGCCCAGTCCTCGTGAGACTCAGACCCAGAACTACAACATAGGCCCTACCCAGATCCATGAGGTGTGGACTACAAGGGCGCAAATACGGGAGGCAGGTTAGCACCTGCACCACCTGCACCAACATCCCCCCCGTCGTGTGCCCAGACGATGGCAAGTGAGAAAGCAACCGCACAGGCGTGCGTAGGGGATGCCATGATGTAAAAATTTTCAACCAGCCTGACAGACACTGTGTATTAAGCACATCTTTAGCAAAGATACAGACACATTTGGAGGGCAAGGATAGCCCCGTGTGAAGGATGGGGTTACCTCTGGGTCTCACTCTGTTTCCCAGGCTGGAGTGCAGTGGTGCGATCTCGGCTCACTGCAACTTCCGCCTCCTGGGTTCAAGCGATTCTCCTGCCTCAGCCTCCCGAGTAGTTGGGATTACAGGTGTGTGCCACCATGCCCGGCTAATTTTTGTATTTTTAGTAGAGACGGAGGTCTCACCATGTTGGCCAGGCTGGTCTCGAACTCCTGACCTCAGGTGATCCGCCCGCCTTGGCCTCCCAAAGTGCTGGGATTATAGTCATGAGCCACCGCGCCCGGCCAAATCATGTCTTTAAAATAATTAGAAGCAACTATGTCAAAATGTTAAAATAGAACATATGTGGGTGGTGAGTTTACAAGTGTTTGTTATGTTATTCTACCATCTATCTATTATCTATCTATCTACCTATCTATCTATATCTATCTATCTATCTAATCTCTATCATCTATCTATTATCTGTCTATATCTATCATCTCTATCATCTATCTCTATCACCTATCTATTATCTATCTATCTATCTATCTACCATCTATCTATCATCTATCTATCATCTATCTATCATTTATCTATGTAATCTGTATAAGAAATGTTAAGCAACACTTACTTAGAAGTTTCCAGAGCAGTACTAAGAGCTCCCATGTCCCCTCTGTCTCTCCAGGAAGTGGTCACTGCCTTTGCCCCATCGTGCTGCGGACGTGCACTCTCTGCCATCATTCTTTCTCGGATGCCAGCCCTGGCCCCTGGTCCTGTGGGGGTCGGCCAGGTTTCTCCACCTGAGATCTCCTTTTTCCCTTTGTAATTGATTGGTCTTTTGTGGGAGTCGTTCCGGATTCCACCAATGTCCTGTTCTTTAAGTCTCCACCCAGCAGCCTCACAGCTCGAACAACCGCCCCAAATTAGCCGCCTCCAGGAGAGTTGCCCATGGACAAACCTTCATTTCTGTAATTCCTTCTGCGTTTATTAGCTGATATGTGACTATTAACAAATGTGTTTTCTCATCTTCCTTGTTCCTTCATGTACACTATTAACTTGTGGGTTCCTATTTTATTCAGAGGGCTATAATCCATGAATTACCTTTATTTATTTATTTGTTTGTTTGTTTGTTTATTTGTTTTGAGAGTGAGTCTCTGTCACCCAGGCTGGAGTGCAACGGTACAATCTCGGCTCACTGCAACCTCCACTTCCCAGGTTCAAGTGATTCTCCTACCTCAGCCTCCTGAGTAGCTGGGACTGCAGCCGCCTGCCACCACGCCCGGTGAATTTTTTTATTTTAATAGAGATGGGGTTTTACCATGTTGTCCAGGCTGGTCTTGTACTCCTGATCTTAACTGAGCCACCCGCCTCGGCTTCCCAAAGTGCTGGGATTATAGGCATGAGCCACCATGCTCGGGCAATCATTTATTTTTGATGTTAAAATGGTTTCTGATTTAGGCATGGGAGCCCCTTCGGGCTGTGTCCCTTTGACAAGCCTATATCATTCATTGACTAAGTCTGTCCTTTATGGCACAAAAGGATGTCCCAGGCTCATTTTACTCTTTCCCTGCCTGGCCCTGGAATCATTCCTTTTAGTGCAGGATGGTGTTTAGAAACCAAGATCCAGGCACTAGGTCTGCTCATTGCTGCCAGGGTGTTAATGCCGCTGAGTCCTCTCAGTGGGCAGCCTGGGAAGTATGTGTGTGTTTATCCGTACACGACACTCATCTGTAAGTATCTTTGTATCTATCTGTGCATCTAGTCAACAGCCATGAGTTCTTACCAGTACTCTCAGTTCCAACCCAACACCCCAGGATTCTTTCTAGCCTCTCAGACTTCTGTGTTTGTGAATGTCTTCCCCAGCAGGGAGTAACTCGATCTCCTTCATCCTGAATATATTTACTTGTTTGCTTAACATTACTGATCTCCCTATTGCACTGATGGCCTCCGTCCACTCACTTTGTGCCCCTTCCCTGACACCCCTTGGCAATGGGGCCCAGTGGCCTGCATTCTGAGGGGCTCCCCTGCACTCCTGCCACCCCCTGTGTCCTAGGAAGCCAGAGCCCTGGGTCCACACCTTTGTGCAGCTGCCAGGCTCCAGCCTGTGCCTCAGTGTGACTTCCCAATCTCCATCACTTCCTCATGTCCTCAACCCCTTGGCTGTCTCTTCCATGCTACAAGGGGAGGGAAGAGAAGGGGAACGGGAAGGAAGGTGTCTTAGTCTGTTGGGGTTACTATGACAGAATACCACAGCACAGGTGTCTTATAAAAAACAGACACTTATGTCTCACAGCTTTGGAGGCTGGAAGTCCAAGATCAAGGTGCTGGCAGATTCCGTGCCTGGCTAAGGCTTTCTGGTTCATCCAGGCGCTGGTGGATTCCGTGTCTGGCTAAGTCCTGCTTCCTGCTTCATCGAGGCGCTGGCGGATCCCGTGTCTGGCTAAGTCCTGCTTCCTGCTTCATCGAGGTGCCGGTGGATCCAGTGTCTGGCTAAGTCCTGCTTTCTGCTTCATCGAGGTGCCAGTGGATTCCGTGTCTGGCTAAGTCCTGCTTTCTGCTTCATCGAGGTGCCAGTGGATTCCGTGTCTGGCTAAGGCCTGGTTTCTGGTTCATCGAGGCGCTGGCGGATCCCGTGTCTGGCTAAGTCCTGCTTCCTGCTTCATCGAGGTGCTGGTGGATTCTGTGTCTGCCCAAGGCCTGTTTTCTGGTTCATCGAGGTGCTGGCAGATTCTGTGTCTGGCCAAGGCTTTCTGGTTCACAGATGCCACACTCTCACTGTGACCTCATGTGGGGGAAGGGTGCATGAGCTCCCTTGGCCCTCTTTCTTAAGGGCACAAATCCCATTCATAAGGGCTCTGCCACCATGACCTAATCACCTCCCCAAAGACCCCACCTCCTGATACTCAGTCCTTGGGGACTAGGATTTCAGCATAGGAATTTTTAGAGGACACAAACTTTCCAGCCATAGCATTCTGCCCTGCAAAATTCATGTCTTCCTCATATGCAAAATAGGTTCACTCCATCCTAACAGACCAAAAGTTTCCAGTCATTCCAGCATCAACTTGACGGTCTAAGTCCAAAAGTCTCATTTAAATATCATGTAAATCACAGCTGGGTGAGACTCAAGGTGTGATTCATCCCGAGGCGGATTCTCCTCCAGCTGTGAGCCTACAGAAGCAAACGAGATGTGAGCTTGGGAAACACAGGGGTGGGACAGGCAGAGGACAGACGCACCTATTCCAAAAAGGAGAAATAGGAAAGAAGAAAGGGTAACAGGTCCTGAGCAGGGACGAAGGCAATAAAGCAAACAGCATTAGATCGTAAGGCTCAAGAATAGTCTTTTTTTGGCCGAATTCGCTGGTCTCCCATCCCACTGGGGCAGTGGAGGGATCCATCTTTCAGAGACAGTGGGCGCAGCCCTGCTGGCTCGCTCTGTGCCTAGTATCTTGTATCTTTAGTAGAGACGGAGTTTCACCATGTTGGCCAGGCTGGTCTCGAACTCCTGACCTCAAGTGATCCAACCGTCTCGGCCTCCCAAAGTGTTGGGATTACAGGCGTAAGCCACTGTGCCAGTCCGGCTTCATGCATTTTGACATGAGTGACTCCATTCTGAGACATGAGGATCACAACTAGGATGACAGATCTCTCTTCCCTGCCTGCGCTCTCCCAGCCTGCGCTCTCTCTCCCCTGCGCTCTCCCAGCCTGCACTCTCTCTCCCCTGCTCTCTCTCAGCCTGCGCTCTCCCAGCCTGGGCTCTGTCTCCCCTGTGCCCTCCCAGCTTGCACTGTCTCTCCCCTGCTCTCTCCCAGCCTGCACCCTCCCAGCCTGCACTCTCTCTCCCCTGCACCCTCCCAGCCTGCACTCTCTCTCCCCTGCGCTCTCCCAGCCTGTGCTCTCTCTCCCCGCCTGCGCTCTCTCTCCTGGCCTGCACTCTCTCTCCCCTGCGCTCTCCCAGCCAGTGCTCTCCCAGCCTGCACTCTCTCTCCCAGCCTGCGCTCTTCCAGCCTGCACTCTCTCTCAGCCTGCGCCCTCCCAGCCTGTGCTCTCTCTTCCCTGCGCTCTCCCAGCCTGCGCTCTCTCTCCCCGCCTGCGCTCTCCCAGCCTGCACTCTCTCTCCCCTGCGCTCTCCCAGCCTGCACTCTCTCTCCCCTGCGCTCTCCCAGCCTGCACTCTCTCTCCCCTGCACTCTCCCGGCCTGCGCTCTCCCGGCCTGCGCTCTCCCGGCCTGCGCTCTCTCTCCCCGCCTGCGCTCTCCCAGCCTGCACTCTCTCTCCCCTGCGCTCTCCCAGCCTGCACTCTCTCTCCCCTGCACTCTCCCGGCCTGCGCTCTCCCGGCCTGCGCTCTCCCAGCCTGCGCTCTCCCTCCCTTGCGCTCTCCCAGCCTGCGCTCTCCCGGCCTGCGCGCTCCCAGCTCTCCATCTGTCTCTGTCTGCTTCTCACCCCATGCTTTTTCCATTCTCTGTGCCCCACCTGCCTGCACTTGCCGCCACCTGCCTGCACTTGCTCCCGCCTCTGGCCCCCGCCCCCTGCCTATGCCTCCTCACATCTTGTGCAGCCCCAAGCTCTGGTCTGTGCGGGGGGCGGGGGGCGGGGAGGCGAGTGGCCTGCAAGCCGGTGCACCCAGGAGCCTGCGAAGGGAGAAGGGCAGAGGATGCTGAAGTCTCCAGATGCCACTCCTCCCCAGGGACTCTCCACTTCTCTCATGCATTCCCTTGGCCTAGCAGGGGCTCCTTCCTTCTTCAGTTTCCACCAACCACCCCCAGCTTTCAGAGCCTTTGTTCTGGAAGCCTTTGGGGGTGGTGCCTCTGACATCCAAATCAGCCTGTGCAGGCCTCAGGCTCCCAGGCATCCCCAGCAGCCTTGGGGCCCAGAGAGGCAGGCACCTGTGGAGGCAGCACAGCGAGGGGAGGGGCACAGCCAGACCCTGTGCTCCCAGATGGCTCTTTTTGCTAGGCCAGAGGAAGCACCCTGGGGTGACTACCCCAACTGTCCCCCTTCCCTAAATATGGAGCTTTCAACACCTGTTCTCACATCCCAGAAATGACAAACTGAGAAATGGCAGAGCTGCTATTAGAACCCAGGTCCCCTGGCCCAGGCTCTGGTGGCTGCCCAGTTCTGGCAGACACGAGAGAGCCACATTCCAGGCCACAGGCATGTCCATCAGCCCCGGCAAGTGAGGGCAGTCAGGTGAGGACTGGAGCCCTCCCAGCTGCCTGTGGGCTGCCCTGCCTGGTGTCCAGGGGCCCCTCACAGTCAGCATAACCCACCGCCTTCCCCAGCATTCGCCCCCATGGTCTTGCTGTTGAAGAAGTGTGTTGTGTGCACAGCTGCAGATGCAGCTGGAGAAAAGGATGGCAGTCAAGTCACACAGGTTCAGGTGTGCACACAAAACCAGAGGACGCCTGGATTTGAACATCAAGGGTGTAGTGTCCTGAGACAGAGAACCAAGACAAAGGGCACACCCAAGGTGAAGGCCAAGGACAAGATCAGATCCACAGTGAGAACAGCTACATCACATCTAGGGCCAGGAGGAGAATCGAGTCCAAGACCCCTCAACCAAGACCGAAGAAACAAAAGACCTGCAGGCAGAGGAGAGAACAACAAGCAAAAGGATCCAAGAGGAGGGACACCCAGGGGTAGGCCTTGGTCAAGGCTGACAGCAGCCAACAACTCGACCAAGATGGAGGCCAGACCAAAGTCAAGGCTAAGCCCAGGCAACGTCAGCGCACGGAGAGGCTGAGTAGGCTCGCTGGGTTCTGGGCAGGCTTGCTGGGTACTGGGCCTCTGCAACAGACAGCTGGGATGGTTTGGGCCACACCTGGGGTCAGGCCTCTTGGTCCAAGGGTCTAAAGTTTTCTCACTGTTGGAGATAAATGCTCAGTGCTGCAAAGAGAAACCAGCACTCGGGCAAAAGTTTTCTCAGCAAGGCAATTTTCTTCTGCAGAAGGGTGCTGTTTGTGTCACTCATAATCGCAAGAGCACACCAAACAAAGGAGGGAAAGGGTTTTTATTTCTAATGCAGCCCCTACCTTTATGTCATTCTCTCATGGGCTGGGGTCGGACTGCACATTTTAAATTGACCCAATTGGCTATTTGTGAATACTTTCCCAAATAAGGAAGGGAAGTGGGGATGTGAGTTATAGTGGTGGGACGTGCAGTTTCAAAGGGAGGAATGGGTGTACAGCAGGTAACAAAGGGAACAGATGTGAGTTACTGCTCAGAGCTGAGTTGAAGGTTGTTTGCAGTAACTAGGGGCAAGGAGGCATGGAGAACAAGAAAGTGGAGTTTGAGAACAAAGAACAAGGAAGTTAACAGGCTAAACCTTTGAGGAGGAATTTTATTGTATCTGACACCACTAAGTCACATCAACCTGGTGCGTGTTACCCCCCATCTAACTTGGGCTGGGCCAGAAACATTGGAGTTGACTTTTGGGTGTGTGCCTTTCAGAATTTATTTTTATTGTAGTAAAATATACAGAACATAAAAGTTGCCATTTTACCTATTTTTAAGTATAAAGTTCAGGGAGATGATGTGCGTGTGTGCCTGATTTCCCTCGGCATGATGTCATCAGGGTTCCCACGGTGCAGTGCCTGTCAGGATTTCCTTCCTCTTTGAGGCTGAATTCTATATACGTATGTTCCATGTTTTGCTTATTCACTCCTGGATTGAAGACTTAACATTGTAACGACATTAATGGTACCCAGAGCAATCCGGGATTCTACGTCATCCCCATCAGAATCGCAGCAGACACTTGGGCTGTTGTGATTAATATCACTATGAACATGGGGGTACAAACATCTGTTTGAGCCCCTGCTTTCAATTCTTTGGGGTATGCACTCAGAAGTGAAGTTGTTGCATCTTATGGTAATTCTATGTTTAAGTGTTTGAGGAGCCGCCATCCTGGTTTCCATAGCTGCTGCACCATTTTCCAGGCTCTGCCCACCAATGGCACACAGGGGCTCCAGTTCCTCCACAACCTCACCAACACCTGCTGTTTCCTGCATTGTTGATGGAGGCCATCCTAATGGGCGTGAGGCCATTCCTCCTTGTGGTTTTAATGTGCGTTTCCCTGATGCTTAGTGGCATCGAGCATCTTTTCCTGTGCTTACTGGCCATTTGTGTATCTTCTTTGGAGAAATGTCTATTGTTGCATGATGAGCAGGTCTATTCAAACCCATCCCAAAAAGCCAAGGAAGCTGAGAGGCCAAAGAAAGAGGACAAATCCAATTTCTTGGAAGGAAGCATGTAATAGGGACTTATGAACAGAAGCTGTGTCTTGGGAACTGTGAGACGAGATGGTGAATCTCCACACCATTACCACCCACGCCCTGCCCCGAACCAGGGTTTACGTACCATAGGGAGGGGGTTTGCTTGCATCAAGAGGGGCGTGCAGGACAACTGGCTAAGGGCGGGGTTTCTGGCGAGTGCATGCCCTTCTCGTGCCCTTCCGCAAGGATGGTAGATCAAATGGAACTGGGGTTAACCAGAAGTCAGCATAGCAGGTGAGCACCCAAGGTGCAGCCGCTTCAGTATTAAGGCTAGGGCGACTGAGGGGAGACAGGCTCAGAGTGGAAGCCACTTGCCCTCCTAGGATCTGGGACTCAGGGCCCAGTGCTCCCTCTGCTCTGGGTTTAGGGCTGAGGTCAGAGGCAGCCCTGACCTCCTGCAGGTGGTGGGGTGAGTAGTCCCACCAGGTTCCTGCTGCCCCACCCTCGGGAGGTGGGAGGCCCCCCAGAGACAGGTGTTTCCAGGAGCAGAGGGAGGGAGCCTGGGTTGTGTCCCGGGCCTGGGGCAGAGGGAGAAGCCCAGCGCACAGAGTTTCAATGTCCTGAAGCCTAGGGGAGGGAGGCTGGGTGGTGAGGGGTGAAGTGGGGAGGCCTGCAGGGAAGGGGAGGGAGAGGAAGGGAGGCCATCTCAGGGCTCTGGACCTGAGCCTCCCACCCACACCCTGCTAGGAGCTGGGATTTCCCAGTCTCCATGCCCCGGCCCGAACTGGGCCCCCTCCTCTGCGAAGCCCTATCCACACCCCACTTCCCGGCATCTGCCCGCAGATAAGCCTCCAGAGGATGGGCGGCCCATCCAGGTGCTGCCCCTCACCTGTCCCCCACCGCTCAGCCCCTGTGGGGACCTGGGGGGGTTGGGGGGCGAGGCCCAGGCAGGACCCTGTGCCGCCTCCCCCATCCACAGGCTCTGAACCCCTTGAAGCCCCCACCCTCTGCAGAGCCTTGCAGGAGTCGCCAGCCTGTGGGCCCGGGACCCTTTGACAGCTGTCCATGGTCATGGAAACCCAGCAGCCACGCCAGGCCTGGGCAGGCAGTGCCTCCACCCCTCCGCCGCCTCTGGCAACCCCCAGTAAATCTTCCTTGGGGGGCTCAGCCCCGAGTTTGAGACCCTCCACCCCTCCGCCGCCTCTGGCAACCTCCAGTAAATCTTCCTCGGGGGGCCCAGCCCCGAGTTTGAGACCCTCCACCCCTCTGCCCTCTCTGGCAACCCCCAGTAAATCTTCCTGGGGGGGGCCAGCCCCGAGTTTGAGACCCTCCACCCCTCTGCCCTCTCTGGCAACCCCCAGTAAATCTTCCTGGGGGGGCCAGCCCCAAGTTTGGGACCCTCCACCTCTCCGCCCTCTCTGGCAACCCCTGGCAAATATTCCTTGGGGGGGACCCAGCCTCGAGTTCGAGACCCTCCACCCCTCCGTCTCCTCTGGCAACCCCCAGCAAATCTTCCTGGAGGGGGCCTGTCCCAAGTTCGAGACCCTCCAGACTGCTCCTGGATCTCAGGCTGAGTCCAATCCTGGCTGGAAATGAGCACAGGGTGGGGATGGCCTGGGGAATCCCCTCCCATCTCAGAGCCCCACCCTGGGGAATTGACTGGGACCCCTTGAAGGCCACAGGCCAGACCCCGAGGGTTAAAAATGGGACAAAGTCTCTGGGCTGAACGCATTTACTCTCCAGCCAGCAGGCTGGGTGATAGGGGTGGGGGGCAGGGCCTGAGGGCTACCTTGCTCTCCTCTAGTTTACCCAGAAGTGGCAGCGTACTGAGTGGGCTGGGCTCACAACGGGGCCTAGAGGAGGGGCCCCAGGTTGAGCAGGCAACCATCCTCCACTGCCTCCCCCGGCTCCCCTCTTTTCTCCATCCCTTCCTTCCCCCACTTCCTCCTGCACACCCCCCACTTCCTTTTGTTACCACTTCCCCATCCAGGTCCCAGGCAAGTATGTGCAAACATTTACAAATACTGATCATATAATGAGCCATAAAAAAAGTATCCAGAAAGTTCAAAGCATTGAAATGATACAAAGCAGCTTCTGCATTTGCAGCGTAATTATACTAGAAATAATTGACAAAAGCGCAGAAAATCTTGATCTTTTTGGAAATAAGGAAACATAAATATTTATGAATAAGCCACAGATCACCTAAGAAATTGAAAGGAAAGTCCTGACTTGGTGGTTCATGCCTGTAATCCTAGCACTTTGGGAGGCTGAGGTGGGCAGATCACAAGGTCAGGAGATCGAGACCATCCTGGCTAACATGGTGAAACCTGTCTCTACTAAAAATACAAAAAATTAGCCAGGCGTGGTGGCGTGCGCCTATAGTCCCAGCTACTTGGGAGGCTGGGGCAGGAGAATCACTTGAACCCGGGAGGCAGAGGTTGCAGTGAGCTGAGATTGCACCACTGTGCTCCAGCCTGGGTGACAGAGCAAGACTCTGTTCCAAAAAAAAAAAAAAAAAATTGGTGGGGGAAAGGAAGAGAGATCAGACTGTTACTGTGTCTATGTAGAAAAGGGAAGACATAAGAAACTCCATTTTGATCTGTACTAAGAAAAATTGTTCTGCTTTGAGATGTATTAACCTATAACTTTAGCCCCAACTCTGTGCTCACAGAAACATGTGCAGTATTGAATCAAGGTTTAAGGGATTTAGGGCTCTGCAGGATGTGTCTTGTGAACAATTTGTTTGCAGGTAGTATGCTTGGTAAAAGTCATCACCATTTTCCATTCTCTATTAACCAGGGACACAATGCACTGTGGAAAGCCCCAGGGACCTCTGGCCGAGAAAGCCTGGGTATTGTCCAAGGTTTCCCCCCACTGAGACAGCCTGAGATGTGGCCTCGTGGGAAGGGAAAGACCTGACCGTCCCCCAGCCTGACACCCACAGGGGTCTGTGCTGAGGAGGATTAGTAAAAGAGGAAAGCCTCTTTGCGGTGGAGATAAGAGGAAGGCCTCTGTTTCCTGCATGTCCCTGGGAATGAAATGTCTCGGTGTAAAGCCGACCATTCATTCTATTCTGAGATAGGAGAAAACCACCCTACGGCTGGAGGCGAGATATGCTGGTGGTGATACTGCTCTGTTACTCTTTGCTGCACTGAGATGTTTGGGTAAAGAGAAACATAAATCTAGCCTATGTGCACATCCGGGCACAGTACCTTCCCTTGAACTTATTTATGACGCAGATTCCTTTGCTCATATGTTTTCCTGCTGACCTTCTCCCCACCATCACTCTGTTCTCTTGCCACACTCTCTGTGCCGAGATAGTAAAAATAAAATAGTAATCAATAAATACTAAAGGAACTCAGAGACCAGCGCCGGTGCAGGTCCTCGCATGCTGAGTGTGCCGGTCCCCTGGGCCCACTGTTCCTTCTCTATACATTGTCTCTCTGTCTTATTTCTTTTCTCAGTCTCTTGTCTCCACCTGACGAGAAATACCCACAGGTGTGGAGGGGCAGACCCCCTTCAAAAATTAAAAGGAAAATCAGAAAACAAACTAAACGATGAGAAACGGGCTCTATGTCAAAGTTCACAGGGTGCGTCTCGGGCACACGTAGAGGGAACCGTGTAGACCTCATATATTAGAAAACCAAAAATGTCGAATTTTAATGAACTAAGTATGCACCTCAAGAAGTTACAGAAGAAACAGGAAAGTACAAAAAATAATAGAATGGAAATTAAAGAGTAGAAGTTAATGATACAAGATACAATAAATTTTTCTGAGTTTCTCTTTAAAGGGTTTAGCCTGTTAACTTCCTTATCCTTTGTTCTCAAACTCAACTTTCTGGTTCTTCCTTGCCCCTAGTTACCATAAACAGCCTACCCCCTTCCCGTCAGCTCTAATCAACTCACACCTGTTCCCTTGGTTACCTGCACGCATTGTTCCCCGGAAACTGCATGTCTCACGCCTCTGTACCTCACATCCCCCTCCCCTTCTATATTTAGAAAAATATGTACAAGTAGCCAATCGGGTCAGCTCAGATTGTGCAGTCCAACCCCAGCCAATGGGGGAGTGACACAGAGATAGGGGCCGCGTTCAGGATAAACCCCCTGGTCTCCTTTGTTCTGTGTGCACTTGCCATCTTGATTGACACGAGTGACGCCCTTCTGCAGAAGTAAATTGCCTTGCTAAGAGGATTAAACTTTTGCCAGAGTGCTGCTTTTACTTTGAGGCACTGCGCATTTATTCCTGGAGCATTTTATATCCAACAATGATATAGAAACTATGTATGCATTAGATAAGATCAATAAATTAGTTATTTCTTTGGAAAAGCTAGTACCGTGGATAACTCTGGTGAGACTAATGTTAAAGCAAACTAAATATGACCTGAGAAGGACTCTGTACTTCTATATCTGAGTTCTTGTGGGTGATTGTAACCTAGCTTAATAGTCAAACAAAATTGGAAACCTAACTTAGGAGTATTCACCTATAACAATAACTGAATCTTGGTCAATCCCAGTGGCCATTCTTCAACCGCTCAGACTGCCGAGTGTTCAAACTGTATTAAAATCAGGCCAATGCCAGCCTGTAACCCATCCAGCTGTGCTGTGCCTCACTGTCAATTTCTATATGTCATTTCCTTTTTTTGTCTATAAATCTTCTTCCACCACGTGGCTGCACTGGGGTCTCTGTGAATCTGCTGTGATTCTGGGGGCTGCCCAATTTTCAAACCATTCATTGCTCAATTAAACTCCTTTATATTTAATTTGGCTGAAGTTTTTCTTTTTCTTTTTAGACGGAGTCTTGCTCTGTTGCCAGGCTGGAGTGCAGCGGCACCATCTCAGCTCACTGCAACCTCCACCTCCCAGGTTCAAGTGATTCTCTTGCCTCAGCCTCCCAAGTAGCTGGGACCACAATGCCCCGCTAGTTTTTGTATTTTTAGCAGAGACGGAGTTTCACCATGTTGGCCAGGATGGTCTCGATCTCTCGACCTTGTGATCTACCCACCTTGGCCTCCCAAAGTGCTGAGATTACAGGCGTGTGCCACCGTGCCCAGCCTGAAGTTTTTCTTTTATCGCTAGTAAAGAGAAAAACATTTAAAATAACTAGTATTGGCAATGGAAAAAAATAAAGATCAACGGAGATTTAAAACATAAGAAAATTTTACAACTGTATGCCCCAAAATTGGAAATTTAGCTAAATTGAATAAATTATTAATAAAAAGCTAACAAAAACTGACAAGAAAAAAGTTTTCCATTTTTATTTGTATTTCTACAAATAGCTCTGATTTTAGAGAAACATTTTACTTTGAAATATTGACAAAATAAAAACTTCAGCCAAATAAAATTTAATTGAGCAATGAACAATTTGAGAATCCAGCAAGCTTCCAGTCAGAGTAGGCTCAGAGACTCCAGTGCAGCCATGGGGTGGAAGATTTATGGACAGAAAAAAGAAAGTGACTTACAGAAAATGGAAGTGAGGCACAGAAACAGCTGGAGGGTTACAGCTTGGTGTTTGCCTTATTTGCACATGGTTTGAACAGTTGGCTACATTTGGTTGGCCAAAACTCAGTGACTGGCACAAGTGTAGGCTATGGTCTGTTTACACCTCCCCCTGTTACAGTTCATGATGTACAGAAAAACCTTTAGGCCAAACTTAAAATATGTAAAGACGTGGCTTTAGGCTAAACCTGATTTGACGATTTCTGTGCAATCTCGGGTGTTACAGGAAAGGGGCCCCAGTCCAGATCCCAAGAGAGGGTTCTTGGATCTAGAGCAAGAAAGAATTTGGGATGAGTCCACAGTGCAAAGTGAAAGCAAGTTGATTAAGAAAGTAAAGGAGGCTGGGCGCGGTGGCTCACGCCTGTAATCCCAGCACTTTGGGAGGCCAAGGCAGGTGGATCACGAGGTCAGGAGATCAAGACCATCCTGGCTAACACGGTGAAATCCCACATCTACTAAAAGTACAAAAAATTAGCCAGGCATGGTGGCAGGTGCCTGTAGTCCCAGCTACTCGGGAGGCTGAGGCAGGAGAATGGCGTGAACCTGGGAGGCGGAGCTTGCAGTGAGCCGAGATCGCGCCACTGCACCCCAGTCTGGGTGATGGAGCAAGACTCCACCTCAAAAAAAGAAAAAAGTAAAGGAATAAAAGAATGGCTACTCCATAGAGCCACCCTGAGGGCTGCTGGCTGCCCATTTTCATGGTTATTTCCTGATGATATGCTAAACAAGGGGGTGGATTATTCATGCCTCCTCTTTTCAAACGGTATGGGGTAACTTCCTGACATTGCCATGGCATTTATAAACTGTTATGGCGCTGATGGGAGTGTAGCAGTGAGGATGACCAGAGGTCACTCTCATGGTCATTTTGGTTTTGGTGGGTTTTGGCTGGCTCCTTTACTGCAAACTGTTTTATCAGCAAAGTCTTTGTGACCTGTATTTTGTGCTGACCTCCTATCTCATCCTGTGACTTAGTATGCCTTAAACATCTGGGAATGCAGCCCAGTAGGTTTTAGCCTCATTTGACCCAGTTCCTGTTTAAGATGGAGTTGCTCTGGTTCACATGCCTCTGATATTTCCCCCCTTCCTTTTATAAGAGAACACTTATTCCTAAAGGTTGCAGAGGGATGGAGATCCATCTTCTGTAACTTCTTCAGGCTGAATAGGGGTGATGATATTCCTCTCTAACTATGAGGGTCTCTTGCAATCAGGGTAGAGAGGAGCTCAGTCAGAAAGCATCAGTGTGGTAAGTCCATTAATAAGTCTTGAGTTTTGACGAAAGGTGATATCTGGAAGATTAATATGTGTTTAATTTAAGAAAACATTCAGTAAGCTTGTCCTGTATTTCTATACAAAGAGTATAACAGCAATATATTCCCCAAGAGTAAAGCAAAATAAGTAAAGTTATTCCAAGTAAACATAATTAGAAGGCTTTTCATGAACTGGGCAACTGTTGGAACTAAGCTGGTATGGGGTTGTTAGCTGATTGTCATGTGCCCAGAATTAGAATACCAATTCAGAGTTTTACATTGCCCATCCCTCTTTGTTGTGGGAAGTCAGGGACCCAAAATGGAGGGACTGGCTGAAGCCATGGCAGAAGAACGTGGATTGTGAAGATTTCATGGACATTTATTAGTTTTTATAAAACTAATACTTTTATAATTTCTTATGCCTGCCTTTACTGCAATCTCTAAACATAAATTGTAAAGATTTCATGGACACTTATCACTTCCCCAATCAATACCCTAGTGATTTCCTATGCCTGTCTTTGCTTTAATCTTTTAATCCTGTCAGCTGAGGAGGATGTATGTCGCCTCAGGACCCTGTAATAATTGCATTAACTGCACAAATTGTACAGCGTGTGTGTTTGAGCAATATGAAATGTGGGCACCTTGAAAAAAGAACAGGATAACAACAATTGTTCAGGGAATAAGAGAGATAACCCTAAACTCTGACTGCCAGTGAGCTGGGCAGAATAGAGCCATATTTCTCTTCTTTCAAAAGCAAATGGGAGGAATATCACTGAATTCTTTTTCTCAGCAAGGAACATCCCTGAGAAAAAGAATATGCACCTGGAGGTATAGGCCTATGAACGGCGCCCCCCCCCACCCCCAGGTGTGCCTGTCTCTTATGGTTGAAACTGCAGAGATGAAATAGACTCCAGTCTCCCATAGCACTCCCAGGCTTATTTGGAAGAGGAAATTCCCACCTAATAATTTTGGTCAGACCGGTTGCTCTCAAAACCCTGTCTCCTGATAAGATGTTATCAATGACAGTGGTGCCTGAAACTTCATTAGCAATTTTAATTTTGCCTCGGTCCTGTGGTCCTGTGATCTCGCCCTGCCTCCATTTGCCTTGTGATATTCTATTACTGTGTAAAGTACTTGATGTCTGTGACCCACACCTATTCGCGCACTCCCTCCCCTTTTGAAAATCCCTAATAAAAACTTGCTGGTTTTTGCGGCTTGTGGGGCATCACGGAACCTACCGATATGTGATGTCTCCCCCGGACGCCCAGCTTTAAAATTTCTCTCTTTTGTACTCTGTCCCTTTATTTCTCAAGCCGGCTGATGCTTAGGGAAAATAGAAAAGAACCTACGTGAATATTGGGGCAGGTT